>NC_000001.11:188184587-188809587 GCF_000001405.40 Homo sapiens | reverse complement strand
CATGTGTGTCAGATACATCCTGTAATTTTATTTACCAGTATATTTAAAATCTTAGCACTTAACATCTCTGAGTAGTACCTTATCAAATGATTATTTTTATCTCTAATGTCTTTACTTTTTAATATTTCCAAATATGTGTATTTGTTTTAAGAAATATATAAAACACGTCAATTCATGTGCATTGTGATCACTTTGCCCTTGTTCTATGCAGCTGATTAGATTATAAAGCTCATGAATAGTGGGTTTCCACACTTTGTTATCTATTGTCAATTTTAGTGTCACTTGAGAACTTACTAGAGATTATGCCACTGATGCCTAGTGCCTTATTAGTCAGTGCTAGGCAAACTTCTCATTTTCTGCCTGAAAGTGGTGATGGGGTAAGGAGTTACCTGTCCAGGACAATATGAGGATATAATGAGTATGCATAAAAAATTCTCCCTCATGTGTAAGAACCAACCACTTTCAGTTGTCTTCATTGGTTTCTCAAAGTATTGGTGAAGGGGGAGCCAGAAGATAGATAACAGTCAATGCAAGTGAATAGAAACAATAAATGTCTCAGAGTAATAAAAATAGGTTTTTGTAAAATGTCCATATTTTGTGAGGGTATACATCTTTGCTCTTTGTATTGAGGATGGATGTCTCTTACCTCCCTTACTCCTACCTCCTTACCTCTCTTCCAAAAGGCACAAGCTAGGTCTGAGAACCCAATCCTCTTTGTACAACTTTAGGAACAATTAATAATTGTAACCATTGCAGTAGATAGAAAAAAGATCTGAAAACTCAGACCCAGTGGATTAAATAAACAAAAATAATTATTTTCAAGGTATCGTGGAAATAGTTAGAAATAGTTACTGTGAACTAGAAGGAAATGTGCATGTGAATCAAAACCAATGTACATCCCCAAATTCTAGGCACCAGTGACCAAAACAGCAGAGTTTACCATATTTTCTTGAGACAAACAGCCCTGACTATATACATGTTTTCCAAAAACAGAATAATATAGAAAACAAATTTACTCAATTTTTTACATTATTGTACTATAACACTAAGAAGATTATAGTTGGTAAAATACAACAATATCATTAACCATTCTGATATGGTTTAAATCTGTATCCCCACCCGAACCTCATCTTGAATTGTAATCCCCATGTATTGAGGGATGGTCCTGGTGGGAGGTGATTGGATTATGGAGGCGGTTTCCCTCATGCTCTTCTAATACTGAGGGAGTTCTCACAGGATATGATGGTTTAAAAGGGGTAGTTTCCTCTACTCTCTTTCTCTCTCTCTCCTGATGCCTTGTGAAGAAGGTGCTTGCTTCCCCTTCCCCTTTTGCCATAATTGTAAGTTTCTTGAGGCCTCCCAGCTATAGGGAGCACAGGAACTGCGAGTCAATTAAACTTCTTTCCTTCATAAGTTACCCAGTCTCAGGCAGCTCTTTATAGCAGTATAACTATAGCATCTATAGTTTTAACAGACTAATACATGTTCATTTATGAAAATATATATATATATACATATATATAATTCCATTCATGAATCTAAAAATATTATACAATATAATATTATTAGGGGTTACCCAAAGAATGTTAGGATAATTTAACCAAAAAGGAAAGTAAGCAAAAAAAAAAAAAAGAAAAAAAGAAAAAACACTACATAATTTCCATGTGATTTACCCCATCAGTGGCCTCCGAGAGAGACCTTATATGTTTTTATTTTTTAAACAAATTTTTGTGGGTACATAGTAGTTGTATATATTTATGGAGTACATGAGATATTTTGATACAGGCATGCAAAGTCAAATAAACACATCATGAGCAATGGGAAACACATCCCATCAAGCATTTATCCTTTGAGTTACAAACAATCCAGTTACACTTTTTTTGCCTTTTTTATTTATTTATCTGCCTATTTATTTATTTATGCTGATCCTCTCCCTCCTCCCACCCTCAATAATTACAATCTTTAAGTTATTTTAGAATGTACAATTAAGTTATTATTGACTATAGTCACCCTACTCTGCTATCAAATTGAAGGTCTGATTCATTCTTTCTATTTTTTTTTTGTACCCATTAATCATCCCTACCTCCTCCCGACTGCCCCCTACTACCCTTCTCAGCCTCTGGTAATCATCCCTCTACTCTGTATGTCCATGAGTTCAATTGTTTTGATTTTTAGATCCCACAAATAAGTGAGAACATGCAATGTTTGCCTTTTTGTGCCTGGCTTATTTCCTTCAATATTTTGACCTCCAGTTCCATCCGTGTTGTTGCAAATGACTGGATCTCATCCTCTTTTATGGATCAATAGTACTCCATTGAGTATATGTACCACATTTTCCTTATCCTTTCATCTGTTGATGGACACTTACAGAAATCTTGTAAGTTAAGCTTAAAAAAGAAAAGCATCTGGAAATATTCCACATCTATGTTTTCTACAAACTCTTAGAAAATATCACTGAAAATGAACTGTTTTAATGATAAAATTGCACACCAAAAAGGTACAGATAGCATCTACTTAGTAAGAAAACTTTGGCTATGTTTGCCTTATTACCATGACCGAATTAGAATTTTCATTGTCACCCACATCACAACAGTTACCAGTAGAGCACAGTTCCCTGATCAATGTGATTACAAGGGATTAAATTCAAGGGATGCATCTAATAATTCTAAAAGTAAAAGAAGCAACACATATGTTACTTGTAGATATCATAGTCTACAAGAGAGGAAAACCAGTAGATTTAACTGATAATACTCTAGTCTCAATCTTAAAAGAAAAAATCAGTAGAGATCCTGGAAGATATAGCAAAATTAGGGAGCCAGAAAGAGCATAATTTTTATGAGAAGACAGAATATAATATATATAATAGAAAATATTTTTTAAAAAAATTTAAGTGATGTCTCCACAATGTTTAAAACAAAAGAACACTTAGAAAATTTGCTAGCCTGTAGAAGAAGTTGTTATGGCCTATTACACACAGCATAGATCAACTAAGACTGTGAGTGGATGGACTTATTGACTATTAATAGAATAATAAAAGATCTATGAACAGGAAACATAATAATAAGGTGACATGATTTCATACAGTTTGTGAAGAAAGAAAAAGTCAAGTATATTTTTGGTGACAGTAAAATGTCTCAGGTATGACTTTTTCTATGTCTGTCACTCACTAATTAGAGACTCTTGGTCATGGGAAACGTTCTCTCTGTAAAAATAAAGTACTACGTTTAATATATGCATATGTTCTTTATATAACTTTACATAAATAATTATAATTATGGCCATTTAATATTCAGGATATAGATCCCAAAAGAGCCCCATTTTGTATGTCATCCTCACAACCTTTTACATTAAAATGTGCTTTTGCTAAATTATTTGATGTGATCTGAGATGCTGTATTAGAGCCTATGTAAGCTATCATAATTTTAAGCTAGGAGCTCACATTATGATATTATGGCCCCTATAAAGCACATTTCTATTTCCACTCCTTTTGTGAAACTATAGTTTCCGCAAAAATTGTAAAATTACTGAAATACATTTAACCTACTCTTCAAAGGGTATCTTTTGTCTGGAACAAAAACTTAGTACTAAGATATTGCATTAATTGTAAAAATCTGAATAGAGGTGTTCATCCCCTCTTCAAAGGATGTGGAAAGTTATTCTCAGATTTAATTTCTTTTTTATGATGAAATCTATTTTTTTGGCTTTTATCCATTTATACACTATCATATGAAAACGTAGTTATGTTCTTTGTGTATATAATTATTTTCTGTATGGAAGCAATCCCTTTCATGGTACATATTTCAATTATCTGCTGATAAATTTCGTTTTATTTTCACTCAAACAAAAAAGTGCCTTTATGCAATCTTTACAATAATATTTTTAAAAGGCTTGATTGCTGGGTGCAGTGGTGCAATCATGGCTCGCTGCAACCTCCGCCTCCCAGGTTCAAGCAATTCTCCTGCCTCAGCCTCCCAAGTAGCTGGGATTACAGGCGTGTGCCACCACATCTGGCTCACGCCGGTAATACCATTTGGGAGACTGAGGCGGGCGGATAACCTGAGGTTGTGAGTTCAAGACCAACCTGACGAACATGGAGAAACCTCATCTCTACTAAAAATACAAAATTAGCCAGGCATGGTGGTGCATGCTTGTAATCCCAGCTGCTTGGGAGACTGAGGCAGGATTATTGCTTGAACCTGGATGGCGGAGGTTGCGGTGAGCTGAGATTGCACCATTGCACTCCAGCCTGTGCAACAAGAGCGAAACTCCATCTCAAAAAAAAAAAAAAAAAAGAAAGGAAGAAAGAAAGAAAAGAAAAAAGCCTTGATCATCCCTGTTGCAATGGCCACTATTTAATTCATGCTCAAAATTAAGAAATATTTACAATTTATTTAACATCAGTGTAATATTTGTTTATAACATTTTATATGCAAAATAGAAAGCTTTCTTTTTCAGTTGGCATCTCAATTAACCAATGGCATTAAAGGGAGGGATGGATAGTTTTCTAAATCTGATACAGACACCTCCCATGATTGAATTGATCATTGTTACTATTTGGTTCCCATAATGAGTAAATTTACCCATTTATTTGGTTTCTGGAACAAAAAAAAATAGTGAAAAAACAATGACTTACCAACCTCATCCAGATTCCCTAGTTTTGTTTCCACAGAGAAGAATATTCTCATAATTCAGGTGTTCTCCTTTAAGATGAATAGAGATATTAATTTGATGAAGTGGTAATAATTATCCATCATGGCTTAAATGCAGATGGGAAAATGAAGACGGTGTTTCCCCTAATTGAGGACAGCCATTGAATTACTTTAATTGTCAATGTATCCTCTAAATTAGCAGGATAAGTATGTGAGCAGGACATAGTTCTTTTGTGATATCTCTATGACCCTTTATTTGGAGAGTGGATTGCTCCCTTTTAGAATTTCACAGCAGACACAGTTAATGGTCTACATTCTTTCTTTGTATTTATTAACACAATCTATGGTTCTTGTTAGCAATAAGCTAAGTTAAAGCAAAACAAAATAGAAGAAAATATGTAATTTATTATTATTTTCAATTGTTTGGTGAGTTGGTGATGAGATTTAAACTTTCTTTTGACTGGATGGCTAAGAAACCACAATTTGTGATGTTTAATTGACAGGCTTCCTTTTATCCATGCCCTTTATTTTTTGATAATACAGCTAATATAGCCAATATCAGAGAAGAGATAAAGAAGATCTGGATTGATAAAACTTCTGATATGTTGGACTGCCTATTTCTGTATTTTTCCATGAAAAAACATACTTGTAAATGTTGATGACATTTGTCATTATAATTTGGATACTTATACATGCAGCTGAACAGAATGTCAGATGATACTGTCTAAGTCACATTTACACATAAACAAGTATTTAATTCTAAGACCTACTCATCAGAAAAAAAAAATCCAAATTTGGAATGCTACATAAATAATCAGAGAATCACAAAACGTAAGGGAAACAAATGATCAAACTCACAAATCTCAGGCAAAATATTATATCTAATACATAGATAATGCCATATCATAATTGTAAAAAATGTTTAGGACTTGTATAGATTGTAAAACATCATTTATTAAATATGGCAAGTTAAGGCCTAAGCATTTCTAGTATTGTTAAAAAACAATGTCATATACCTAGTTTCTGTGAGAAAAATATCTGTATCTGACTTACCTATTAATACTATGCTAATTAAAATATATGGACATGAATTCAGAGCAAGAGCCAAACCTTAAAGCAAGAATGAAAAAGAACTGTAAGATGTAAAATATATTGTGATGAAAAACCTATGTTTTAGAGTAATTGAATATGAGGTTTGAAGAAGAATTTGTCTTCAGAGAATAAACTTTAAAAATCAAACTAGACAGTTGTGTTTTCATATGCACTCAGTTCAAAATATTTTCTAATTTTCCTTTTGATTTCTTGTTTGAACCATGAGGCAATTGTTTGTCACATCTCTGAGAATTTTCAAGATATTGATTTCTTATTTAATTCTATTGTGGTTAGAAAACATATTTGTCGTAACAAACCTGCACGTTGTGCACATGTACCCTAGAACTTAAAGTATAATAATAAATATATATATATATATATATATATATATATATATATATATATATAAAATAAAATAAATTTCTTGGCTAGGCCCAGTGGCTCACACTTATAATCCCAGCACTTCGGGAGGCCAAGGTGGGTGGATCACCTGAGGTCAGGAGTTTCAGGCCAGCCTGGCCAACATGGTGAAACCCTGTCTCTACTAAAAATAGAACAATTAGCTGGGCGTGGTAATATACACCTATAATCCCAGCTACTGGGGAGGCCAAGGCAGGAAAATCACTTGAGCCTGGGGAGCAGGGGCAGGAGAGGTTGCAGTTAGCCAAGATCGCACCAGTGCACTCCCCATCCTGGGTGACAGAGTGAGACTCTGTCTCAGAAAGAAAATAAATAAATAAATTACATTTCTTGAGGTGTGAAAGAAATAAAGAAAACATATTTGTCATGGCTAGAATAATTTTAAATCTTTTGAGACTTACTTTATGGCTCAACACATGGGCTGTTATTTAGAAGTGTTTCAATATAGCAGAAACTATTTTGCTAGTTTTGTGTGGAGAACATTATAAACATCAATTAACCGAGTTGGTTAATACCATTACCTACATCTTTGGTATTCTTATTAATTTCTCTCTACTTTTCCTAACAATTATTGGGAGAGTAATATAATTGTGAATTTGTCTGTCTCTTATGCAAGTTCTATCATTTTTTGCTATATGTGTTTTGAAGCTCTGATATTGGGTGAATACACATTTAGGATTATTACATACTTTTTATGAATTTATTCCTTTATTGTGGTAAAATGACTGTTTGCATTCCTGGTAATATTCTTTGTTCTGAAATCTAGTTTCTTTGATATTAATTACTCTAAAGCTTTTAATTGGGCTGGCAGGGTTGGTCTTTTCCATAATTTACTTTCTTTGCTATTACTTTATTTGAATATTTGTATTTAAAGTTTTTTGTGTTTGTTCTTTTTTTTTTCCTTTTGTTTTGTAGGTAGCAAATATTTGGGCCTTGCTGTTTTATTTCATTTGAAAACTTCTGTCTTTTTGGGGGGCAAGAATATTTAAACAATTTACATTTAATGTGATTAAACACATTTGGATCGATCATTTTCAACTTTTCTCGTGTGATTTTTTCTACTTTTTTTATATTTTCTTTTAAATTCTGCATTTTTATAATTTCCTTTTATCTCCATTGTTGAATTATTAGCTATAACTGTTTGTTGGGTTGTTTTAGTTTTTATGTTAAGGATTATTTTATACACCATTGAACTTCAAGTGACAAATTTACAACTTCACTAGTATAAGCACCTTTTAAAAGTACATACTTATTACTCCTCCCCAAATATTTGTGGCACATACTTCTATATAAGTCATAATAACACGAATTATTTCTACTTATTTTACTTCAAATAAATTAGCTGTTTGTACATTAGTAGACACTGTTTTTAGAGCAGCTTTACTAAACATAAAATCTAGAGCAGTTTACAGAAAAAAAATTGAGTAGAAAAGTGCCGGGGTATTTCAAATACCTCCGCAACACCCCCTTCCCAGTTTCTCCTCTTATTAACATCTTCCATTAATATGGTACATTCCTTACAATCATAAACTAGTATGGTTACATTATTATTAACTAAAGTCCTATTTTACATTAGGATTCACTCTTTGTGTTATACCAGTTCATGGATTTTGACAAATGCGGAATGATATGTATCCAGAATTAGAATATCATACAGAGTATTTTTACTTCCCTAAAGATCCCTTATGTTCCTCTTATCCATGCCTGTCTCCTTCTCCACTGAATCCTGGCAACCATTGTGTTTTTTACTGTCTCCATAATTTTGGTTCTTTTTCTAGAATATCATATAGCTGGAATCATACAGTACATAGTCTTTTTAAGTTATCTTCTTTCACTTAGCAATATGCATTGCATTTAAGGTTCCTCCAAGTCTTTTGATGAGTAAATTATGTAAATCCTTTAAGAAGAGTTATGTAAGTTACCCTTGCCAGCTTTCCTCATTCTTTTGTGTAGGTCAAGAGTTCCATCCGGTATTCTTTGCTTTCTGCTTGAAAAACTTCCTTAATTTTTTTTTTTTTTTTTTTTTTTTTAGACGAGAGTCTCACTCTATCACCCAGGCTGGAGTGCAGTGGCGCTATCTGGGCTCACTGCAAGCTCCGCCTCCCAGGTTCACGGCAGCCATTCACCTGCCTCAGCCTTCCCGAGTAGCTGGGAGTACAGGCGCCCGCCACCACCCCCAGCTAATTTTTTGTATTTTTAGTACAGACAGGTTTTCACCGTGTTAGCCTGGATGGTCTTGATCTCCTGACCTCGTGATCCACCCGCCTTGGCCTCCCAAAGTACTGGGAT
This sequence comes from Homo sapiens, assembly GCF_000001405.40. Lineage (NCBI taxonomy): Eukaryota > Metazoa > Chordata > Mammalia > Primates > Hominidae > Homo > Homo sapiens. The sequence continues at coordinate 188,801,137 of NC_000001.11, read as the reverse complement.
TACAAGTGTGAGCCACCACGCCCGGCCCCTTTAATTTTTTTAATATAGATACTTTGGTAATGAACTCTTTAGCTTTTTTGTATTTGAAAAGTTATTTATTTATTCTTTGTTTTTTTGAAGTATTATCATAGTATAAATAATTCTTGTTTGATTTCTATTCCTTTCACTCCATCAAGGATATCATTCCACTCTTTTATAGCATGCATTCTTTCTCATAAAAAAAATCTGATGTTATCCTTATCTTTCTTTTCTATTTGTACAAAAAGTATGTATTGTATGGTTTCACTGATATAAATTTCTAGAAATTTCAATCTAAGCTACATTGACAAAAAGCAGATTGGTGGTTGCCTGGTAACAAAGAGAGTGAGAGGAAAAATGTTAAAAGGAGGCACAAAGGGACTTTTGATGGTGACTAATTTGTTCATTATCTCAATTATGATAGTGGTTTTATGGTTGGATATGTCAAATATTATATGTCACATATAACTTGTTAAGCCTGTAAAATATCAAAATAAGGATATTTTTCTTCTGATCAGCAGGGAGCCAAAAAATATGGTGATAATGACTGGCATCTATAAATCTTGATGTACTTAGAAGTAGTAAAAAGTGTAGGTTAAAAGCAGGAATAGGGTAATATATGGCATCAGTTAAAGGTTATTTTAATAACCATATTTAAGAGTAAAGATCTTTCAAAAATTATCATCTTACTGCATAAAGAGGAGTGAACATGCTAGAGTCCTGGAGTAATCAGTATAATTGTTACAGAACACTCAAAGGGCAAGGGAAGAATGCCCCAAGTGAGAACACACTGGGCATGCCGCCCCTCCCAAGTGCTTGCAGGCCACTGTGCATGTGAACAGTACACCCAAAGGGAAGAATCAGGGCAGAAAAGACCCAATCCCCTGGAAGTGAGCCAGTGTACAAAACCCCAAGTCAAAAGTCAAGCCGCACACTGAATCTCGCAAGTCACCCACTTGGCCCTCTTACAAGTGTACTATACTTCCTTTTGTTCCTGCTTTAAAATTTTTAGCAAACTTTCACTACTGGTCTAAAACTTGCCTTGGACTCTCCTGCCCTATGCACCTTAGTCAAATTCTTTCTTCTGAGGAGGCAAGAATTGAGGTTGCCGCAGACCCACACAGATTTGCCACTATTAACATACCATGAACCAAAAATAGGAGAGTATAGGCCCAGTGTCAATTTTGAGGGGACATAGTTTAATAAAATAATGTTAAACAGTAATTTAATATATAACTGTGTCGTAGAAGAATTTCATAATTAAGAATATTGTATTTTAAAATAGTAAAAAGAATGTGGAATTTTTTTTTTTTTTGAGGCAGAGTCTTGCTCTATTGCCCAGGCTGGAGTGCAGTGGCGCGATAGCTCACTGCAATTTCTGCCTCCGGGGTTCAAGTGATTCTCCTGCCACAGCCTCCCAAGTAACTGGAATTACAGACATCTGCCACCACACCCAGCTAAATTTTTTTGTATTTTTAGTACAGACGGGGTTTCACCATGTTGACCAGGCTGGTCTTGAACTCCTGACCTCAGATGAGCCACCTGCCTCGGCCTCCCAAAGGGCTGTCATTACAAGCGTAAGCCACCGCACCCGGCCAGAAAATATTTTTAAAACCATTAAAGAAATGTATGATTGTTGTATGATTCTTTGCCTTCCTTAGTGGGGTTTTGGAGGCAGACTTCTCTTTTAGAATTTCCATGTAATAGAAAAATATTATACAGGTATTGAGGAAAACTAATTCACTCTTCTCATTGAACTCTGGATTTAATTGGTGCTGAGCCTGAACTCGTGAGGAAGAGCTGCTGCTGATCAGAAGAAGAATAAGAGGGAGGCTGAGATGAAGTTTCAAATGGGACTGTATGGGTAGATCTTGCAGATGATATATTTGAAAAAAACAATATACATACTGGGAGATATCCAGCATGGAGACCATCAATGCCCGTTTACTGTGAAGCTGGAGATGGGTAATATTTAACAGGAATCTGGAAACAATTAAAAAGTGACTTAAACTAATATTTGAGTGACACCACCAACAATCTTCTGCTTTATTTGGCCATGTCGGCCTCTGAAGCTTCCAGGATTTGAGGCAGTGAGTATACTGTCCTTCAGCTTCCAGAGATCAAATGTGGGCCTCATAGTGGTCAGTAAGAACCAACACTGCTATTCTGTTGGAGATAAGGATTCCTGGCATATAAGGTACTAGAGGAGAAGCATAACAGAATCCCCTGCAAAAATGGACAAGCAGAGATTAGGAGTCGATATACTTTAGACTGTTTATGGAATGGAATTTCACAAAAAAGTAAACTAAATACATAAATGTTTAATTAGACCCGCAGTTACGTGACCTGCCAACAAATGAGCAAACAAACAAAAAGAATTAAGAAAATAGCTTATCTCCTCGCAAACATCTCAAATGTAAAAAGTACGTAAATGTTGTAAACAGTCATAATTGTTATAATTGGAGCATACAGTGCTTAATGCTCAATTAATGCAACTAGTTGGCATTTTATACTTGTTTTGTGTTGTTTTTGCCAATTGTGAATCTGCTGCACCTTGATTTATTATTTATTTACTTATTTATTTTTTATTGTTATACTTTAAGTCCTGGCGTACATGTGCAGAACATGCAGGTTTGTTACATAGGCATACACCTGCCATGGTGGTTTGCTGCACCCATCAACCCATCATCTACATTAGGTATTTCTCCTAATGCTATCCCTCCCCTAGCCCCCCACCCCCCAACAAGCCACAGTGTATGATATTCCCCTCCCTGTGTCCATGTGTTCTCATTGTTCAACTCCCACTTATGAGTAAGACCATGCGGTGTTTGGTTTTGTGTTCTTGTGTTAGTTTGCTGAGAATGATGGTTTCCAGTATCATCCATGTCCCTGCAAAGGACATTAACTCATCCTTTTGTATGGCTGCATAGTATTCCGTGGTGTATATGTGCCACATTTTCTTTATCCAGTCTATCATTGATGGACATTTGGGTTGGTTCCAAGTCTTTGCTATTGTGAATAGTGCTGCAATAAACATACATGTGCATGTGTCTTTATGGTAGAATGATTTTTAATCCTTTGGGTTTATACCCAGTAATGGGATTGCTGGATCAAATGGTTTTTCTGGTTCTAGATACGTGAGGAATCGCCACACTGTCTTCCACAATGTTTGAGCTAATTTACACTCCCAACAACAGTGTAAAAGCATTCCTATTTCTCCAGATCGTCTCCAGCATCTGTTGTTTCCTGACTTTTTAATGATTGCCATTCTAAGTGGCGTGAGATGGTATCTCATTGTGGTTTTGATATGCAATTCTCTAATGACCAGTGATGATGAGCTTTTTTTAATATGTTTGTTGGCTGCATAAATATCTTATTTTGAGAAATGTCAGTTCATATCCTTCACCTACTTTTTGATTTTTTTGTTTTGTTTTGTTTTGTTTTTTCTTGTAAATACCTAGGAATACAACTTACAAGGGAAATGAAGGACCTCTTCAAGGAGAACTACAAAACACTGCTCAAGGAAATAAGAGAGGACACAAGCAAATGGAAAAATATTCCATGCTCATGGATAGGAAGAATCATTATCATGAAAATGGCCATACTGCCCAAAGTAATTGATAGATTCAATGCTATCCCAATCAAGCTACCATTTACTTTCTTCACAGAATTGGAAAAAACTACTTTTAATTTCACATGGAACCATAAAAGCGCCAGCATGGCCAAGTCAATCCTAAGCAAAAAGAACAAAGCTGGAGGCATCACACTACCTGAATTCAAACTATACTACAAGGCCTACAGTAACAAAAACAGCATGGTACTGGTACAAAAACAGATATGAAAGCCAATGGAACAGAACAGAGGCCTCAGAAATAATGCCACACATCTACAACCATCTGATCTTTGACAAACCTGACAAAAACAAGCAATGGGGAAAGGATTCCCTATTTAATAAATGGTGCTGGGAAAATTAGCTAGCCATATGCAGAAAGCTGAAACTAGATCCCTTCCTTACAACTTATACAAAAATCAACCAAGATGGATTAAAGACTTAAATGTAAGACCTAAAATTATAAAAACCCTAGAAGAAAACCTAGGCAGTACCATTCAGGACATAGACATGGACAAACACTTCATGACTAAAACACCAAAAGCAATGGCAACAAAAGCCAAAGTAGTCAAATGGAATCTGATTAAACTAAAGAGCTTCTGCACAGCAAAAGAAACTATCATCAGAGTGAACAGGCAACCTACGGAATGGGAGAAAATTTTTGCAATTTATCCATCTGACAATGGGCTGATATCCAGAATCTACAAACAATTTAAACAAATTTACAAGAAAAAAGAACCCCATCAAAAAGTGGGCAAAGGATATGAACAGACACTTCTGAAAAGAAGACATTTATGCAGCCAACAAATGTATGAAAAAAAAGCTCATCATCACTGGTCATTAGAGAAATGCAAATCCAAACCACAATGAGATACCATCTCATGCCAGTTAGAATGGCGATCATTAAAAAGTCAGAAAACAACAGATGCTGGAGAGGATCTGGAGAAATAGGAATGCATTTACACTGTTGGTGGGAGTGTAAATTAGTTCAACCATTGTGGAAGACAGTGTGGTGATTCGTCACATATCTAGAACCAGAAAAACAATTTGATCCAGCAATCACATTACTGGGTATATACCCAAAGGATTAAAAATCATTCTACTATAAAGACACATGCACACGTATTGCAGCACTGTTCACAATAGCAAAGACTTGGAACTAACCCAAATGCCCATCAATGATAGATTGGATAATGAAAATATGGCACATATACACCATGGAATACTATGCAGCCATACAGAAGGATGAGTTCATGTCCTTTGCAGGGACATGGATAAAGCTGGAAACCATAATTCTCAGCAAACTAAAATAGGAACAGAAAACCAAACACTGCAGGTTCTCACTCATAAGTGAGAGTTGAACAATAAGGGCACATGGATACAGAAATGGGAATATCATACACTGTGGCTTGTTGGGGGGTGGGGGGCTAGGGGAGGGATAGCATTAGGAGAAATACCTAATGTAGATGATGGGTTGATGGGTGCAGCAAACCACCATGGCACCTGTATGCCTATGTAACAAACCTGCATTTTCTGCACATGTATCCCAAAACTTAAAATATAATAATAATAATAAAGAAATGACTAGGTTTCTGGTTCTAGATATGTGAGGAATCACCACACTGTCTTCCACAATGGTTGAACTAATTTATACTCCCACCAACAGTGTAAAAGCATTCCTATTTCTCCAGATCCTCTCCAGCATCTGTTGTTTTCTGACTTTTTAATGATCACCATTCTAACTGGCATGAGATGGTATCTCATTGTGGTTTGGATTTGCATTTCTCTAATGACCAGTGATGATGAGCTTTTTTTTCATGTTTGTTGGCTGCATAAATGTCTTCTTTTCAGAAGTGTCTGTTCATATCCTTTGCCCAAGGATATGAGCAAGAAAGTACAGCAAGAAAGATTAAAATGGCCTATTCTTTGATAGTGCAATGGAGGATTTATGCAAGGAGTTGATAGAATAAATAATAAAAACTTGTGAATATTATAAAATATATATTTGCCCTTTAAATTCAGAGTGATAAACTTGTATCAGTGTTATTTAGTGTAATGTTACATTTTTAATCTTTAAAATTGGAGATATTGGAGATGACTTTGGCATATGAGTAAATCTATTTTAAGTATTATTAAGCAGAATGTGAATAAACAACATACCAAAATTTATAAACTTTCCAGCTAATAAAGTTACATATAAACATAAAGACATAGAAGGAAGAATCTTTCAAATAAAATTAGCATTCAGGTGTAATTGGCAAAGCTCACAGCTTCTAATCTATTTTGCATTCTTGCTTTTGTTAAAGGAACTCACCAGTTTTAGTCTTTCACATGGGCATGAAACTGAAAGTTACATTCCCCAGCCTTCTTTCTAAGCAAATAGAAGCCTTGTGTCTTCTACTTTTCTGCCTTTTTTAAATATTTGACTGCAATGTAGAAATGGTTGTAGGAGCATCTCATCTTGAGCTATGGGAAGAAGACCTATGATGAGGACAGCAGAGGAATTTCACAACTGTCACCTGTATCCCAAACACTCCAGAGCTGCCATATCAGCTCTGTTTTGCTTATATTTAAAATTTTGTGTGAGTGAAAAATAATCATTTTTTATAAACAGCTGTTTTAAGAGAAAAGTTTTTATTAAAGCAATAAAGCATGTGTCTTAAGCAAGGCAGCAAACACAAATAAAAATAAAATAACCACCATCATATAAAGCACATGAAACATTTAAAAATAGCAGTTCAGCTGTGTTGTATATAAAATTCAGTTGTGTATTTCTAAATCCACATTGTCAAAATTTTATTTTAAATTCTTTTAGTTATTTTACTGAATAATAAAGTGTCTTTTACATTACTCTTTTAAAAGTCCATCTAAATATAAACCGCCTTCAGGTTATATTTAGCCAAATTGACAACTGATTCAATTTTTGCTTGTTAGTTTTAGGGTTTTTTTATTATTAACAATGCATATCCAAATAAATTTATTAGTGAACTTGAGGTAGTAGGAGCTGGCTATAATAATGGAATAAGATTTTTAATGTTCATATAATTGCTGTTCATTTGTAGATGTAAAAATAGACATTGAATGGTAAAGTATATCGTTGGTCATTTTGCTTTTCCAAATAAATTAGTGTTATTGAGGAAGAAAAGAAGAACTAACTCTGAAACAAGATTAACTATTAAGCTTGAGGTTTAGGTCATATTTCCTTTTTTCTTTCCTTTTTTTTTTTTTTTTTTTTCCAGACAGAGTCTCGCTCTGTACCCCAGGCTGGAGTGCATGCAGTGGCATGATCTCAGCTCACTGCAACCTCCGCCTCCCGGGTCCCGGGTCAAGCAATTCTCCTGCCTCGGCCTCCCGAGTAGCTGGGATTACAGGCATGCGCCACCATGCCCAGCTAATTTTTGTATTTTTAGTAGGGACGGGGTTTCACCATGTTGCCCAGGCTGGTCTTGAACCCCTGACCTCGTGATCTGCCCACCTCGGCCTCCCAAAGTCCTGGGATTACAGGTGTGAGCCACCGTGCCCGGCCAAGGTCAGATTTTCGACTGAAAACTCATTTTCACTATTCAACAATTACAATCTATTTTAAACAGTTATATTGTTGCATATGATTCCAAAGTTAGTGGTTCCATTATGAAATCTTCAGTTTCTGGTAACGGTATAGCAATTATGCTACTTTTAATTTTCAGAGTCCCATATATACACAAATATTTCTATAGACCTTTCTCCCTTTATTAAGATATAGTAAATTGCTACAGCCCAATACTACTACACCAAGAATTAAGGAAGCCTGGAAAATCACATTAATTACATATCAAAATATAGTGGAGAGATGTGGAACAGATGACTTGCAGTTCAGAAGAAGGAAGCTGACCTGAAGTGAGCTGACAATCACTGAAATCTTTATTCCCTGGACACACTTGCCTCTTCTTGCTATAGACTGAGAATTAAGCTCATCCCATAAAGAGGTGCTTTTCTGGGGAAAGAGAAACCAAAAAAGTCTTAATGTTTTATATCACTTTATTTCTCCTAGTAACCTCCAATTCTCCTACCCCAGAAATGCATTTTTTAATCCATGCAATTATTTTCTTTTGTCCTTCTTAATGAATCATTCCGCACATCATACACACACACACACACACACACACACACACACACACATCACATTCATGCTGCACTATTTTGCATGATGGGTTACCATTTGTGTGTGCTATTTTAAACACACCTGTTACCATTTTTCTCCTATGGACCAATCCACACAAACTTGATACTATCTACTCACAAATTATTCTCACAAATTTCCAATACAAAATTAGAAATGTTCCAAAATTGAGTCTACAAAGAAAGACCATTTCTTAGACTGGAAAATATAGGAGGCAATACAAAGTTAAAGAATGTAAACTTACTTCCAGGCAAGGCGTGGTGGCTCACACCTGTACTTCCAGCACTTTGGGAGGCTGAGATGAGAGGATGACTGGAGGCCAGGAGTTTGAGACTGACCAACATAGCGAGACCCCATGTCTACAAACAAACAAATGACAACAACAAACATAAACTTCAACTGCAGAACTTCCCTTAGAGCTGGAGTTTATATAGAGCCAATAATTTTTATATTAATATTTTTTCACAATATTACTCTACAGTGTGTTTTCTTCCCTCATAGAATGCGGGTAATATGTCAAATGCCTCCTTTAGAGACTGTCTTTCTTTTTGTTTTAAGAAGAAGTGTTATGGGATATTTACCCTATGTTACTCTGAAGAATTTGTTAATCCAAGCCTGACTGAATCCATCATATTAACTTTTTTTTTCTTTTTGTAAACTTGAGTTTAATTAATGAAATGGATGATTTTTAGAGGAGAAAACTCAATATTCATTACCCATTTAATATTTTCTTTTGCCGAAATCATCTTCAGTAGGGTGAGAAGAATGATCACAGAAGATAAATAAGCACAGAGCCAGACATACCAACCACTAATTAGGGAGCATGATCCACAAGTATATGGTTAATGTGGTGTCATTTATAGCACACTTCACTTCATTGGGGAACCTGCCTATGTCTTCACTTTTGATAGTACCTGTCTGATGCTTACTTAAAAAGCCACCCAGTTATGGTTTCCAAGTTAGCACTCTTGTCTTAGGCCTGGGTCGCATTATTGGGTCTTGTTTTCTGTTTGACAATAGGTTTGCTTGACTTATCCTTAGCTAAATATAATCAGATTATATATAAACACAACCATATATATAGTTCCTCATTATAACAATGAGGTCCAAGAGTATTAATTATTGAATGTTTGAGAGGCCAGTATCCTATTTTGGATTTGTGTATGTAGTTGTTCAATATTTTTTAAAAATCGTATTACATTGTTTCAGACTAGCCTTAGGACTATTTGCTGAAATTTTAGCGATTATAAAATTTAATATATTTGCCTTTCTTTGAAGCTATGCCATGTGCTCATAGTCATTCTCTCTGTGCCCTTGACCTCAGAACGATAAATACACAGCTATGGTGCCAATGCTCATTGTTCATGGAATGAGAGACTGATAGCATAACACTGAAAGTGGGCATCAGGTAGTGTGTCCCTTTTTTTTTGGCTGCTTTATCTAATTAAAGTTAATTCTTGGATTGACTCCACCAGAATGACAAATAACAAAATATTACTAGAACTTGTAATACCATATGTCAATGGACTTGTTGCTACTGGTGTTGAAAATTTAGGATCATTAATTATTTAAAACACTGCCACTACCACATTTAAAGACATATAAGGAAAGTATAAGATAATGGTTAATATTATTAAATATACTTTAATTTGCTTAGTGCCACCTTCAAAGGAAATTACTTCTATTCTTAATAAAAATTTGATTTGATTTCAAGAGACCATGGTTAAGTATACAACTTATTTAATTACTTAGCAATTATGTGCATGGATTCTACTTCTGTATTAAATAATATGTCATATGGTATCACATCCTTTTATCTTAAAATAGTTGGTTATTAACAAGTTTGTACACGATTTAAATCTAATGTAGTTCTTGTAATAATTAGCATTATTTGAATTATTTTATATGTTTTAAATAAGAAAGGTGGGATAGAAGTGCAAAGGAAAATTTTTCAGAGTAATTTTCCAATGACCTACAAAGCCATTGGAAATATATTTTTTTAAAATAATTTCAACTTTTATTTTAGATTAGGGGGTTTACATTCAGATTTGTTACATGGGTATGTTGTGTGACACTAAGGTTTGGAGTGTCAATGATCCCATCACCCAGGTAGTGAGCATAGTACCCAATAGGTAGTTATTCAGCACTTATTCCCCTTTTTCTCTCCCCTCATAGTAGTCCCCCGTGTCCATTGTTCCCAACTTTATGTCCTCTTGGACCCAATGCTTACGTCTTACTTATAAGTTAGAACATGCAATATTTGGTTTTCTATCCCTTTGTTAATTTGCTTAAAAATGGCCTCCAGCTGTATTCATGTTAATCCAAAGGACATTATTTTGTTCTTTTTTATGACTTCATAGTATTCCATGGTGCATATGCACTCCATTTTTAAATGCAATCTACTGTTGATGGACACCTAGATTGATTCCATGCCTTTGCTATTTTGAATAGTGCTTCAGTGAACATATGACTATATCTGTCTTTTTGATAGCTTAACTTATTTTCCTTTGAGTATACACCCAGTAATGGGATTGCTAGGTTGAATGGTAGTTGTGTTTTAAATTCTTTCAGAAATCTTCAAACTCCTTTCCACAGTGACTGAACTAATTTGTATTTCCACCAACAGTGTATAAGTGTTGCCTTTTCTCCACAGCTGTCCAAACCATCATGTCTTGTTTTTTGACTATTTATTTATTTTACTTAAGAATTTTTTTTGAGTCAGGGTCTCACTCTGTTACCCAGGCTGGAGTGCATCGGCACTGTATCAGCTCACTGCAGCCTCAACCTCCCGGGATCAAGCAATCCTCCCACCTTAGCCTCCTGAGTAGCTGGCATTACAGATATGTGCCATCTGCCTGGCTAATTTTTTGGATTTTTGTTAGAGACCGGGTCTCATCATGTTACCCAGGCTGGTCTCAAACTTCTGAGCTCAAGCAATCTGCCCACCTCGGTCTCCCAAAATGCTGGCATTACAGGCGCGAGCCACCATTCCCAGCTGTATTTTGACTTTTTAATAGCCATTCTGACTGGTATGAGATGGTATGTCATTCTGGTTTTGATTTGCATTTCTCTGATGATTTGTGATGTGGAGAATGTTTTCATGTTTGTTGGCTGCTTGTATGTCATCTTTTGAGAAATGTCTGTTCATGTCTTTTGTCCACATTTTAATGGGGTTACTTGTTTATGCTTGCTGATTTGTTGACACACCTCAAAGATTCTGAATATTAGACCTTTCTCAGATGCATAGTTTGTGAATATTTTCTCCAATTCTGTAAGTTGTCTGTTTACTCTTTGGATAGTTTCTTTTGCTGTATGGAAATCTGTAGTGTATTTAGATCCCACATGCCAATTTTTGTTTTTGTTGTAATTACTTTTGAGGACTTAATCATAAATTCTTTCCCAAGGCCTATGTCCAAAATGACATTTTCTAGGTTTTCTTCTCAATTCTTCTAGTTTGAAGACTTACATATGTGTTGTAAGATGGGGGTTCCAGTCTCATTCTTCTGCATATGGCTAGCCAGCTATCACTGCACCATTTATTTAATAGGGAGTCTTTTCCCCATTGCTTATTTTTGTTGACTTTGTTTAGTATCAGATAACTGCAGTGTGAAGCTTTACTTCTGGGTACTCTATTCTGTTCCTTTGGTCTATGTGTCTGTTTGTATGCCAGTACCACACTATCTTGGTAAATGTAGCCTTAGAGCATAGTTTGAAGTCAGGTAATGTGATGCCTCCAGCTTTATTCTTTCTGCTTAGAATGACTCTGGCTATTCAGCCTATATTTGGGTGCCATATGAATTTTATAATATTTTTTTAAATTCTGTGAAGAAAGACATTGGTAATTTGATAGGAATATTGTTGAATCTTTAGATAGCTTTGGGCAGATGGCCATTGTAACAATATTGATTGTTACACTCTATGAGCATGGAATCTTTTCCTCCCTCTTTTCTTTCCTTTTCTTTCTTTCTTTCTTTCTTTCTTTCTTTCTTTCTTTCTTTCTTTCTTTCTTTCTTTCTTTTCTTTCCTTCCTCCCTCCCTCCCTCCCTCCCTCCCTTCCTTCCTTTCTTTCTTCCTTTCTTCCCTCTCTCACTCTGTCACCCAGGCTGCAATGAAGTTGCATGATCATGTCTCACTGCAACCTCAACCTCCTGGGCTCAGTTGATCCTCCCATCTCAGTCTCCTGGGTAGTTGGCACTATAGGCATGTGTCATCATGCTTGGCTACTTTTTAAATATTTATTTTAGAGATGAGGATCTTGCTATGTTGCCCAGGCTGGTCTCAAACTCCTGCACTCAAGTGATGCTCTGTCTTGGCCCCCCCAAAGTGCTATGATTACAGACCTAAGCCACTGCACCCATCTTGTTTTTCTGTTTGTTTTGTGTCACTGATATGGCGATATGGTTTGGATTTGTGGACCTACCCAAAGGTCATGTCGAATTGTAATCCCCAATGTTGGAGGAGGGGCTTGGTGGGAGGTGATAGGATCAAGGGGGAGGAGTTCCCCCTTGCTGTACTCCTGATAGTGAGTTCTCATGAGATCTGGTTGTTTAAAAGTGTGTAATACCATCCTCCTCTCTCTTTTCTTCCTACTCCGACCATGTAAGATGTGCCTGCTTCCCCTTCACCTTCCACCATGTTGAAAATTTCCTGAGGCCTCTCCAGCCATGTTACCTGTACAGCCTATGGAATTACAAGTCAATTAAATTTCTTTTTTAAATAAATTACCCAATATCAGGTATTTCTTTATAGCAGTGTGAGAACGAACTAATTCAGCCATCTATGATTTATTTCAACAGTGTTTTGTAGGTCTCCTTGAGGTGATCTTTTACCTTCTTGGTTAGATGTATTCCTAGGTATTTTTGTGTGTGTGTGGCTATTGAAAATGGGATTGCATACTTGATTTGGTTCTCACCTTGAACATTATTGATATATAGAAATGCTACTAATTTCTGTACATTGATTTTATATCCTAAACTACGGAAGTCATGTATCAGTTCTAGGAGGCCTTTGGCAAGATATTTAGGGTTTTCCAGACATAGAATTGTATTATCAGCAAAGAGAGGTAATTCGATTTCTTCTTTTCTTATTTGGTGGCTTTTATTTTTTATCTTGTCTGATTGCTTTGGCTAGGGCTTCCAGCACTATTTTGAATAGGAGTGGTAAGGGTGAGCATCCTTGTCTTTTTCCTGTCTTTTAGAGGAATGCTTCCAGCTTTTACCTGTTTGTATACCAAAATCTGGAATGCAGCAAAATCAGTTTTAATAGAAAAGTTTATGTCACTAAACATCTACATCAAAACTTTAGATCTCAAATTAATGACCTGACATCACACCTAGAGGATTTAGGAGAGCAAGAACAAGCTAATCCCAAAGCCAGTGGAAGAAAATAAATAACTAAAATCACAGGAGAACAGAATGAAATTGAGACCCAAGAATCCATACAAGAAATCCATGAAAACAAAATTTGGTTATTTGAAAGGATAAACAATATTGATAGACTGCTGGCTATATCTGCAAGGAAATAAAGAGTATCCAAAAAAGCACAAGCACAATTAGAAATGACAAAGGTGACATTACAACCAATTTCACAGAAGTACAAAAGATCCTTAGAAACTATTATAAATCCCTCTGTGCAAATAAACTAGAAAATCTGGAGAAAATAGATAAATTCCTGGAAACACACAGCCTCCTAAGATTGAATCAGGGAGATACTGAAACCCTGAACCATGACTGAGTTCCAAAATTGAATCAGAAAAACAAAACAAAACAAAACAAAAATTATCAACCAAAAAAAGCTCCGGACCAGAGAGATTCACTGCTGAATTCTATCAGACATAAAAAAGAAAACTACAAACCAATATCCCTGATGAACATAGACACACATATCCTCAACAAAATATTAGCAAACCAAATTCAGTAGCATATAGCACATCAAAAAGTTAAGTCACCATGATCAAGTAGGATTAATTCCTGGAAAACAAGGTTGGTCAAACATATACAAATCAATAAATGTGATTCAGCATGTACAGAATGTTAAACAAAAACATGTGTTTTTAAAATTTTTTAACTCGCTTCAAGGATTGATGTGTTTAGTTAATGAAGTGTGCATATCTAGTGAATCAAATTGAGAGGACTTTCTCTTGTTCAGCTGAATAAGAAAATATAACATCAAGAGGAAAGACTGAGAAGATCCAACAAAATATTACAGGAAATAGGATTGAGAAAAGAAAAATTACGTGTAGAAATGGGTAGAGTAGGGTGGGCTCCAAATCTGAAGAAATAGGATCATGAGTAAATGTTATTTAGCATTGTAGCAGAACATATTGAAACAAAAGATATGAGTACCAAAAATAAAATTTAACCTAATGGAAATGGAATTACATGTGATACAGAGAAAAATGCAAGCAAAACTTTTGTAATATTTCTAATGAACTTGCCTTTGTACTAACAAGAGAAACCTCCAAAATGGAAGACATCAAATGAACATTGAAATACCTAATTACCTGCAAGGGTTATATAATATGAGAATATATATAGTTGAAATTTGTGGCATTGGCTCAATACCACTTTTGTGATTACTGCTTTTATGAAGTAAAGCTTATTTAAGCTGGGAAATAAATAACATTTTTCTATACCCATTTTTATGTTGATTTCAGTGTTTGCAAGTGACTGGAATGATATTTAAGGATAAATACATTATGAACAAATATAATTGATAGGAAACCATTTTGCTGAGAGAATTTTTAGCCTGTACACATACGCACAAATGTACATGTAATCCACTCTGAGTTAATGAAATTATGGCAACTATACAGTGTGTGATTAATCATCTATGAAAATAAGATGATATCCCATATATATTTAACTTGCTAGGATACATTTCAATAATAATATTTAAAGGATAAGGTGGCCTCGAAACAGAGTTGAAGTTGTGGATTTTTAAGGTTATGTTAAGCATTGCAATGTGGTACTAACCTTTTTCACAGATGGAATAAAATCTCAGTCTGCAATTTCAGCACCTGCCCTTCAGGGTCTTTATAGCTGATATTTTAAGCAGACAGTAAATGTAGAAAGAACGTTTCATAAAGCATACTCAACAAATATGTGTAAAAATTCAACTCTGTAACTGAAATCCTATTACATATCTATTTAATCTGATTTTGAAGGAAATGCTATTTTTTCTTTCTATAGCAATAAAATGCTACATTTAAAGTCAATCTGTGCATAACTCACTGACATGGATTAAAACTCTAGCTCGTATGGCATTTTTAGCAGACTGTACAAAATGGAAATGTCACCTTTTCTTTGGGGTGAAAGTATTTTGGCTTTCCCTAGAATGAAATATACAGAGTTTAACATTAGCTTTCAAATGAAAAATTCTATTTTAACCTAGAAGTTCAACAAAATGTTAAGTCTGTGAAACTATTACTAAATAACAGAATGTCTAAGTATTTATCCTTGGCCAAAGGTAGTAACTCTATATATTTTTTCTTTTTATTTCTCTTGGATGTATTTGGTAATCCCAATAAACCAGAAGCAATTTCCAAAGATTATGTATGAAAATCTTAATTAACTATGTAATGCATCTATTCATCAATTTTATTTGAAGTATTATTTTGAAAGTTAAATATAGATGATTCCTAAGTATACGAAGTCTACTTATGTGACCAAAATAAGCTAAAATGATGAATGTGATAGAGATCCTGATATCCTCACACTGGGTTTATGAACTCTCCTATAATGATGAGATTATTTCTTTTGGCCCTGAAGACTTGAACTGGTTATACTGACACTGGCCAAAAGAGTATAATATTATATGATACATAACATATGATTGTATCTACTTTATGATATGATTTATTGCTCAATAGAGTGGGGGAAACATTATGCTAAAAAACAAAGAATACAATTTAAACAGCCTCAATAATTATATTTGTCTTCATAGAAATTTAGCAATCTCAACTATAGTAAATGATCAGCACAAAAGTTTGGTTCAATTTTAGAACTAAAATATTATTTTAAATGTCTGATTATCATAGGCTCTGTTAATTCTTTATAACAACATTGCTTATTCACTTTTGTAAATTAGGACAACATAAAGCAATCTGTCTATTATTTAAAAGAATTATAGTATTTTACTTCATTTTTATATACTACAACCCTGTAGATCTTAGCATATTCAAAGAGTTTTGGGTTGTAATTTAGCACAAATTTACTAAATTTGAAATGTAATTTTTCACTAATGTTATCTAATGCTAAAGTTGATATGAACAGTCATGGGTAACTAATTGCAAATAGAAGAAATCTAAAAGTAGATCAGGATATGTAGTCACTTACTGATATGCTTAGGCATCTAGTCATTTGCTTGGCACATTGATACTGATTATTCAGTGACCTGAAACTTGTCTGGGTATCTCTTAAAACAGAAATTTTGGTGTGTAGAAAGTTTTAGTAAAAAATTACTAAATTTTAAGCCCAACAACTATTATACAAAAAATACAGTGCTGAATAAAAGAGAAATAATTTATTCATACAGGAGAATCAACAGGAATGACAGACATGAAAATATTTTCTGTGATAGTGTCACAAAGATAAAATAATAATCTGAAATGGAATCATATGGAGTGACTCTTGCATGATTATACAATTCAGGTTTATTTTATTCAAAATTTAGATGCAAGGCTTTATGCCAATTGTGGTAGATAGATGAGTTTTCTTCGGGGTTTAAAACAAACTTTTTGAGAATAAGAGTTGTAAACATTATGTGTGAATAAATTATTCAATTAATTATGGTAAGTTCTGCTTTCACTCAACATTGCACCCCTAGTGCATACCACACTATTAATTCATGAATAAACGAATGTGTGGCTAATTAGATGAAGGGGTAAATTAGTAACCACAAGAACATGGAGGAGAGGCCACTTACTATGTCTTGGGAAAAATAAGGAATTATAAGTATTATAGAAAATCCTGTGGTCATGCAAGCTAGTGAGTAGTTTGACATGTTATTCATAAATTGTAAGCAGGGAGGGCACCAGAATATTTTTTCATGTTTAAATTATTGTGGCATAGTAGAGGCCAGAATAAATTTAGAGTGAAAGGTTGAAATGTAAATTTAAGAAATTTGAAATTTTTTGAAAATTTTGTTTAGTTAAAAAGTATCCAGAGATTCTACAAAATACCGAAAGGTTTAAACGGACAGAAGGATATTTTAAGAGGTCAACTCAGTAAATAGCCTAGTGTGATGAGTCTATTTTTTGTTTTTGTTTGTTTAATGTTTTTTCAAAGATGTATATACTAAACACCCTAGATAGACATAGTAATTTTATAGTGTTACAGATAAGCATCATAAATAATACACCTGGAGTTTATTCAATGGAGTATAATTTTAGGAATAGAAAATACTATCCAATATCGATGGCTTAAGCCAAATACTTGAAATAAAAAAATGATAAAAACAGGCCAGGCATGGTGGCTCATGCCTGTAATACCAGCACTTTGGGAGGCCCAGGCGGGTGGATCACTTGAAGCCAAGAGTTTGAGATCAGCCTGGCCAACATGGCGAAACACTGTCTCTACAATAAATACAAAAAATTATCCCGGCATGGTGGCACATGCCTGTAATCTCAGCTACCTGGGAGGCTGAGACGCGAGAATCACTTGAACCCAGGAGGCAGAGGCTGCAGTTAGCCGAAATCCTGCCACTGCACTCCAGTCTGGGCAACAGAGTGAGACTCTGTCTCCAAAAAAAAAAAAGAAAAAAAAAAGAAAAGAAAGGGATTACACATATTCTTACAACATGATTGTCTCTAAAATTGAAGGAAGAAAATAGTTCAGCTTTGTAGTTTTTAAAAAAGCCTTCTTTTTATGGGTAATTAAGAGTAGATATTGTTTGTCTGTGTCAATATAAAGAAGGTTAAGAGGAACCTTTATTTAAAATTAATTTTACATGTATATACTTCACTCAAGTACATTTTAAAAGTTCAGAATAGCAGCATATTTTCTTTAGAGTATCACATGTATAACAAGTCTATAACTGCCTTTAATAATCAGTCTTATTTATTTTAATTATTTTAAATGTTATATTTTACATTTATGCATAGTTAGAAAAACATAATTCTTCTTTCCAGGCTTTTATTTAATTTGAATAACTTCATCCCTAACAGTTATAAAACCATGATAAGGTATTATTGCAGAGCGTTGGTAAAGTAACCCTGAAAGATTTCGGTGTAGCATAGCCCATAATTTAATATTCCTCTGCTCAGAGTTAGATAATTCTACTTTCCATTTTAACATTTAAAAACAAATCCCCAGAATTAGAATATGCAACATTAAAAAAGAAGAAAAAGAAATACATAGTAAACATGAATCAATTTAACAGGAAAAGTGTTTATTTTGTTGACAGTGTTTATGGAAACTTTATTCAATTATTTGCTATATTTGAGTATATGTATGGTATGTCTACTATGATTTCATCATCCAAATATATTTTATATTTATACTAAAATGTCTTAACAAAAACATACAACAATTTAAATTTAAAAATCTATTGAAAAACCAAAAGTCTAAGAAAGAATGTTATACACACATACAGACACACACAGACACACACACGCACAAAATTCTTATAAGATTGTGAAAGGTACAAGAGGTAGCCTCTAACTCTAACATAGCTCCTAGTGATTTTTGTTTTCTAGTATAATGTGTGAGTGTGTATGTGTGTGTGTATCTCCAAGCTTATAATTTTTTTATATATATTTCTACATCTATATCTATCTATCCCTTGAGTGTGTGCTATATTTTGTAACTTGCTTGTAAGCAACAGAATATAACAAATTAATGGGATATCATTAGTTACCAAAGACCTGTGACTTCCGTATTACTGGCTACCTCTCACCCTCGCTTGCTCTCTTACTTGCCCCCTCTGGTGGACAACAGATGACAATTCATGAGCTCTCCTGTGGAGAAGACTCCAGCCTGTGAGGAACTGAGTCCTGTGTCCAACAACATGTGAGGAACCGCTAAGTCTTTGAATGATCTCGGAAGATAATCTCCCAGTTGAGCTTTCAGATGACTGCAGTCCTGGCTGACACCTTAATTGTCGCTTCATGAAATCCAGAGTCACAGGGCCTGGGAAAAGACATCCGTGTCCTTAAACATGGAAAATGTTAGATAATAAATGTTACTGTTAATAAGATATTAAATTTTGAGATGACTTGTTATGCAGGCATAGATAACTAATACAATCTTTTTAAAAACAAAAGCTAAAAAACCCCATAAGCTTGGATAAAAAAACATTGTAATATGTATACATTAATAATTACATAAAACCAATAAATCAAATAGCAAAATATAGTCTTTATAAATATTAGTACCTGTATTTAATCATCTATTAAAATCATTTAAAATATAAATAACCCTATGATAAAGATAAAGTTTGTAAATATATTATTCACGCATAGGCATGTAATAGTCCAAACAATACATAAATATAATTATATTTGTTAATGCTAAAATCTATTAAATGTCATAGCATTTTACTTATGCATTTATCAAAATTTTGTAAACATGGTAAGGTACTGTTCAAAATTGACTTGCCACTGCCAATTATGGCTAAAGAAAGTATATTTTTTTCTTACAGACATTTTTGAAGAGCTAATAGGAACCATTAAAATATGTCACCATTTTAATCCTATAGTTTAATATTACTATAGATTATTAAAGGTATTGGAGACTGGTAAAAGACTTAAGAAATAATCCATCATATATTTTGCCATTTAAACAATCATTTTAACATAAATGAATGTTAAATAACCATTTTAAAATATATTTTTTAAGTGCAAATCGCATAAGATCATATAAATGTGTATAAAGACAAAGGTAGGGAAAACAACAAAAAATTAAATCATATATTTAATGAAAATAGTTTAAAAGAATATTCAATTCAGATTTTCACAGCCCAACATGATGTTATTCATACATACTTTTATGTAAAACTGAATAATTTAACTTTTTAACAAGTTCAGATTATGATGTAATGGTTACTGGGGTCATATGTGGACAGATCATAAACTTGTGGGTTTTAAGAAATTTTTACTACAAGAAACAAATATATACTTATTCCCAAACACATCAAGTTGTATACATTAAATATCTAAAGCTTTTTGTAGGTCATCACACCTAAATAAAGCATTTTTAAAAAGATTACATTTCTATTAAAACTTAAGTATTAAAGTACTAAAACTGAAGTACTAAAGTACTAAAATAAATTTGGCCCAAGCTGTTGCTCAAGTTCTGGCTGGACTGCTGACAGGGAGGGGAATGGGGCAAGAACATTAGTTTCTCCTGACCAAACTGGAGTGGCCAGCCATCAAAGAGTTGGCTCCACAAAGGGCCTTTAAATTGCTGGCAATTGAAACACACATATATTATTTGCCTTAATTGTTCTCAAACATTTCTTAATATCAATTTGAGATGTTGCAATCTTTTCCTCATGTTTTCAGAATTAACTGGAAAACGACGACTGCAGTGGCAGTAGTGGGGAGTGGTAATCGAGCAGATCTGGGTTCTGGTGGCATGATGATCACAGAACTATTAAAGCAAGCTCATGAATAGGAGATTAAAGCACAAGGCCTCAAATATCCTGCTTATAAGCACATATTAGTCAGTGCCCCATAGACCTCTTAGAAGATAGGGGGACACACTGAAGGGAAGCTGAGACAGCCTGGGGGTAAGCAGGGAAAGAGAGCGTAAAGAGAGTAACAAAGAAAATGTGCCAATATATAAAAATATGGCTACTTCACAATGGTGAAATTACGGAATCATTTTTTATTTGCAGCCTCCCTTTTTTTTCTCCAACCATGCATGTGATGAGAAGCAGGAGAAAGTTAATCCAACTTATTAAAAACTAGAAACATGATAATTCTAAATTTGTATATATTATTGAAACATAACATTAGAGATTTCTTATTAATGGTTTAAATTTTTCAAATGTATTGTCACACAACGATATAAAATAAATTGAAGCATTTACATGATTTTAATTTGATAATTTCGATAAAAAGGATATTTAATTCAAAATATCATTGTCAGCCTGGGGGAATACAAGCTATTTCTTTCTCTTATAAATAGAACACAGAAAGTTTTTTTATTCCTTAGGAAATTCTGTGAATACAAGTATTAAAACTAAGACTGAGACAAGTGATTGACAACAGTTCAGCGAGTTCAGCAACATTCTTTTGCTTTATATTCAGGATGTGCTGCCTGTAGCATAAATTAGTCTTAAACCTTTGAGTTTTGTCCTTTTCCTTTAAAGAAGTAGCAATTGTAATATTTATGCTTTGGCTCATCTGCCTAAGTGAGCTATGACAATTAAGGCACATTTTTTGAATAAGTATTTCAAAGCAGCCTTCTGATTATCAATTTGGGGATCTTTAAAGCAGAATAAAAGAGAATCAAAAAATTGGTATTTGACGTAATTTTGTAAACTAAATTAAAACATTGGTTATTGTACATTCATTGAAATTTTAATGCTCCTTTAAAAATGCAATAATAAGTAACACTATACTGAAAACATTCTGAAGAAGCCATGAACACATTTATTATTCCATACAAGGAATTATATTGACATTTCCTATTTATCTTGTCTCTTTCACTATAAGAAAAGCTCAGTGAACTCAGATAGTAGGCCATGTTTATATTTGTATTGGCAGCACAATAGGATATATAATATTGTAAATTTATATTTGTTACCTAATTAACTTTAGTAAGATAATAAAGAAGTTTAGAGAAGTATAAAGTTGATAATAATTATGTAAAGACAACAATCATACTGTTTACACTTTAAAATCAGTGAAAGTTCTTAGAGTACCTACTTAGAATTATTAGAGCTTAAGTCTAGATTGATCAATCATTTCAGATATGAGTGCTGGAAGTTAATTTTAATTTTCTCTCTCATTAGTGTTTACATCTATCTAAAGCAAAAGATAATAGTATTGAGTAAGGTAGAAGAGAAAAAAATGCTACATTCAAATAATTAATATTTTATTTAGGCAGAGTATTCGTTCATTTTCACACTGATAACAAAGACATACCTGAGACTGGGTAATGTATAATGAAAAAGAGGTTTAATGGACTTACAGTTCTACGTGTCTGGGGAGGCCTCACAATCATGGTGGAAGGTGAAAGGCACATCTTACATGGTGGCAGTCAAGAGAGAATGCGACCTGAGCAGAAGGGGAAACTCCTTATAAAAACATCAGATCTCATGAGACTTATTCACTACCATGAGAACAGTATGGGGGAAACCACCCCCATAATTCAATTACCTCCCACCAGGTCCCTCCCACAACACATGGGAATTATGGGAGTTACAATTCAAGATGAGATTTGGGTGGGGACACAGCCAAACCATATCAGGCAGATTCAAAGGCAGAAATAAGATAAATGTTCTTATATTCTTATATTGAGAAATATAAGTCGAATTCTATGAAGTCTTTGCAGCTGACTATATGGGCTCATTCTCTCTGGAACAGTGTCAAAACAAATGCCCAAAGTAAAATTTTCTTCCCTTTTGTAATAGTCATTTTATATTGAGAATGAATCATTGTAGCAACAAATACGGTAGATAAACAGTCTGAATAAATGTCTGAGTAAAGATAAGTGGCATGATGTTCTTTTGGCAGTAAAAGGAAATTCACTTTTGACATGTTCAAGAAAATGACACTAATTGAAGTGTTCTCCTCACTTATCCATATTTGACCATTATACAGTTTCGTGTGTTGATTAATGATTAGCCAATGTCAACAGTGAAAAAATATTAGCATATAATATATGAATTGAGCCAAAGCTAATTGTGTTGGAATACAAAATTCAGACATTATAATACCAATATTTTCATAGTATGGTATGAACTGAAGAAAAATATCCATATAAAGACAAAACATTAAAGCTGTATGTCTGCTCTTTACCCTAATGTCCATTTTTTAAATTAAATTTTTAAAAAAGAAAATTAGTGCAGAAAATTTAACCCTAAATGAAAAGACAGTAACAAGTGTAAAAATTATAAGAAGTAAAATCTGCTATAGATGGTAAAATTTAAGCAAAGTTTCATAGATAGCTAGAGAAGACACCCATCTCTGCAGACTTTGACTACAAGTATGCAGCACAACCTGAGAGCCCAGGTATCGAAGTTTTATGAGTCAACCAAATCCTGAACACTGGACAATAGAAAGGTATCTCCTTCTTTTTTTAATATTGTGGAGTGGCAAATGAGGAACTGTTTGTAGCAGATAATGTTCATTGCCCCATCATTGGCCATTTTCAACTTTCCACTTGTTTTGAAAAACTTAAGGAATCTGAAATACAGCTAGATATATGCACACAATTTTTAACTGGCAAGTGTGAAATCCAGTTTGATGAAGAGTAATAAAACTTAAATCCCCACTAATACTTTCAATATTTTGAAATTCAATTTTGGATAAACATATATGAATTAAGAGCCAGTGATTAATTTAATAAAAATGTGTTTCAACCACAGGCTTAATTGTCCAAGCTTTGCTAAAGAAAATACACACATATCAACAAAAGGGACACAGGATTCACTAAGGAAAATAAATAAATACATAAATAATAAATAAATTAACTAATGAATTAAAAAACAGACTGCAAGTTAAAATTAACTTAAAATCTCAAGGAGATAACTTTTTGTCAAGTTCACAAAATGTATCTTTGTTGTCAAAGTAGAGATCTTTCAGCCAAAATTTAACATCTTTCTGGAGTAGACCTCCTCCCTCTTACATTAGATTTAATTACAAACGCCACACTCAGGGATGCGGGTCTGCTATTCTGCTGCTCTCCTAATATATATTCAGTTTTACCTTGAGCTGTTTTATATATCTT
This sequence comes from Homo sapiens, assembly GCF_000001405.40. Lineage (NCBI taxonomy): Eukaryota > Metazoa > Chordata > Mammalia > Primates > Hominidae > Homo > Homo sapiens. The sequence continues at coordinate 188,777,451 of NC_000001.11, read as the reverse complement.
TATATATATGTCTTTATATATATATCTTCATTTTTTCTCAGATATCGCATGGCTCTCATTCTTATTTCATTCAGTTTTTCACTAATTCCTCACACTATCAGAATGAGTTAACCTAGTCATACACATGAATACTCACCACATTTGTGTTTTATTTTTAATTTTTTTTTTAGTGTTGGGGTACATGTGTGGGATATGCAGGTGTATTCATTCGTTTTCACACTGTTGATAAAGATATATCCAAAACTGGGAACAAAAAGAAGTTTAATTGGATTATAGTTCCACATGGCTGGAGAGACCTCAGATTCATGGTGGGAGGTAAAATGCACTTCTTAAATGGTGGTGGCAAGAGAAAAATGAGAAAGAAGCAAAAGCGGAAACCCCAATAAACCCTTCAGATCTTGTGAGACTTATTCACTATCACAATAATGGCACGGGAAAGACCAGCCCCCATGATTCAATTACCTCCCTCTGGGTCCCTCCCTCAACAGGTGGGAATTCTGGGAGATACAATTCAAGTTGAGATTTGGATGGGGACACAGCCAAACCATATAATTCTACCCCTGGCCCCTCCAAGTCTCATGTCCTCACATTTCAAAACAAATCATGCCTTCCCAACAGTCCCCTAAAGTCTTAACTCATTTCAGTATTAACCCAAAAGTCCACAGTCTAAAGTCTCATCTGAGACAAGGCAAGTCCCTTCCATCTATGAGCCTGTAAAATCAAAAACAAGCTATTTACTTCCTAGATACAATGGGAGTACAGGTATTGGGTAAATACACCCATTCCAAATAGGAGAAATTGACCAAAACAAAGGGGTTGCAGGGCCCATACAAGCCCAAAATTCAGCAGTGCAGTCAAATTGTAAAGATCCAGAATGATCTCATGTCCAGATCACACTGATGCAAAAGTTGGGTTCCCCTGGTCTTGGGCAGCTCTGCCCCTGTGGCTTTGCAGGGTACAGCTTCCCTCTTGGCTGCTTTCATGGGCTGCTGTTTAGTGTTTGCAGCTTTTCCAGGTGCATGGTGCAAACTGCCAGTGGATTTACCATTCTGGGGTCTGGAGGACAGTGGCCCTCTTTCACAGTTCCACTAAGCAGTACCACAGTAGGGACTTTGTGTGGGGGCTCAAACCCCACATTTCCCTTCCACACTGGCCTAGCAGTGGTCCTCCATGAGGGCCCCACCCCTTCAGCAAACTTTTGTCTGGGCATCCTGGCATTTCCATACATTTTCTGAAGTCTAGTTGGTGGTTCCCAAACCTCAATTTTTGACGTCTCTATACCTACAGTTTCAACACCATGTGGAAGCTGCCAAGGCTTGGGGCTTCCACCCTCTGAAGCCACAGCCCAAGCTCAATGTTGGCCCCTTTCAGCCACAGCTGGAATGGCTGGAACAGAAGGCACCAAGTCCTAGGCTGCATACAGCATGGGGACCCTGGGACTGGCCTACAAAACCACTTTTTCCTCCTGGGCCTCCAGGCCTATGAGAGGAGGGGCTGCCATGAAGGTTTCTAACATGGCCTGGAGACATTTTCCCCATGGTCTTGGGGATTAATAGCTGGCTGCTTGCTACTTATGCAAATTTCTGCAGCAAGCTTGAATTTCTCCACAAAAAATTGGTTTTCCTTTTCTGCTGCATTTTCAGGCTGCAAATTTTATGAACTTTTATGCTCTGTTTCCCTTTTAAAATGAAATGCTTTTAACAGCACCCAAGTCAGTTTTGAATGCTTTGCTCCTTAGGAATTTATTCGGCCAGCTGCCCTAAACCATCTCCCTCCACTTCAAAGTTCCACAAATCTCTAGGGCAGAGGCAAAATGCCACCAGTCTCTTTGCTAAAAAAATGACAAGAGTCACCTTTGCTCCAGTTCCCAACAAGTTACTCATCTCCATCTGAGACCACCCCAGCCTTATTGTTTATATCACTAACAAGATTTTTGTCAAAGCCATTCAACAAATCTCTAGGACGTTCCAAACTTTCCCACATTTTCCTGTCTTCTGAGCCCTCCAAACTGTTCCAACCTCTGCCTATTACCCAGTTCCAAAGTTGTTTCCACATTTTTGGGTATCTTTTTGCATCACCTCACTATACTGGTACCAGTTTACTGTTATAGTGTGTTTCCACACTACTGATAAAGACATATTAAAAACTGAGACAAAAAGAGGTTAATTGGTCTTACACTCCACATGGCTGGGGAGGTGTCTTAAACATGGTGGGAAGTGAAAGGTACTTCTTATATGGCAGTGGCAAGAGAAAAATGAGGAAGAAGCAAAAGTGGAAGCCCCTGAGAAACCCATCAGATCTCGTGAGACTTATTCACTATCACAAGAATAGCATGGGAAAGACTGGCCCCCATGATTCAATTACCTCCCCTGGGTCCCTCCCACAACATGTGGGAATTCTGCAACATACAATTCAAGTTGAGATTTGCGTGGGGACACAGCCAAACCATATCAGGAGGTTTGTTGCATAGGAAAATGTGTGCCATGGGGGTTTGCTGCACCTATCAATCCATTACCTAGGTATTAAGCCCAGAATGCATTAACACTTGTCCCTAATGTTCTCCCTCCCCTAGGTTCCCCAGACACACCCCAATGTGTGCTGTTCCCCCTGCTGTGTCCATGTGTTCTCATTGTTCAGCTCCCACTTATAAGTGAGAACATGCAGTGTTTGGTTTTCCGTTCCTGCAATAGTTTGCTGAGGATAATGGCTTCCAGTTTCATCCATGTTCCTGCAAAGGACATGATCTCTTTCCTTTGTATGGCTGCAAAGTATTCCATGCTGTATATGTACTAAATTTTCTTTATCCAGTCTATCATTTATGTGCATTTTGGTTGATTCCATGTCTTTGCTATTGTGAATAGTGCTGCAATGAACATTCATGTGCACATATCTTTATAATAGAATGATTTATATTCCTTTGGGTTTATACCCAGTAATGGGATTTCTATGTCAAATGTATTTCCAGTTTTAAATCTTTGAGGAATCACCACACTGTCTTTCACAGTGGTTGAACTAATTTACATTCCCACCAACAGTGTAAAGGCATTCCTATTTCTCCTCAACCTCACCAGCATCTGTTTTTTTCTTGAGTTTTAATAATTGCCATTTTGACTGGAATGAGATGGTATCTCATTGTGGTTTTGATTTGCATTTCAACATCAGTGATGTTGAGCTTTCTTCATATGTTTGTTGGCCACATGTTTGTCTTTTCTGAGAAGTGTCTGTTCATATATTTTGCCCACTTTTTAATGGGATTGTTTGTTTTTATTTTTCTTTTAAATTTTCTTAAGTTCCATGTAGATTCTGGATATGAGACCTTTGTCGGATGGATAAATTGCAAAAATGTTCTCCCATTCTATATGTTGTCTGTTTGATCTGATGATAGTTCCATTTGCCATGCAGCTCTTCAGTTTAATTAGATCCCATTTGTCAATTTCTGATTTTGTTGCAATTGCTTTTGGCTATTTCATCATAAATTCTTTGCCCATGCCTATGCCCTGAATGCCATTGCCTAGATTTTCTTCTAGGGTTTTTATAGTTTGGGATTTTACATTTAAGTCTTTAATCCATCTTGAGTTAATTTTTGTATAAGGTGTAAGGAAAGGGTCCAGTTTCAATTTTCTGCATATGGCTAAACAGTTCTCCCAGCACCATTTATTAAATGGGGAATCCTTTCTTCATTAATTGCTTTTGTCAGGTTTGTTGAAGATCAGATGGTTGTAGATATGTGGTTTTATTTCTGAATTTTCTATTTTGTTCTATTGGTCTATGTGTCTGCTTTGGTAGCAGTACCATGCTATTTTGGCTACTGCAGCCTTGTAGTATAGTTTGAAGTTGCATAACAGATGCCTCCAGTTTTGTTCTTTTTGTTTAGGATTGTCTTGGCTAAATGAGCTCTTTTTGGCGTTCATATGAATTTTAAAATGCTTTTTTTTTCTTTCTGTGACGAACAACAATGGTAATTTAATGGGAATAGCATTGAATCTATAAATTGCTTTGGAAAGTATGCCATTTTCACAATATTGATCCTTCCTATCCATGAGTATGGAATTTTTTTTTAATCTGCTTGTGTCCTCTCTAATTTCTTTGAGCAGTGATTTGTAGTTCTCCTTGAAGAGGTCTTTCACTTCCATTGTTAGCTGTATTTCCAGGCACTTTATTTTCTTTGTGGTAATTGCAAAAGGGAATTCAATCATGATTTGGCTCTTGGCTTGTCTGTTATTGGTGTATAGGAATGCTTGTGATTTCTGTATATTAATTTTGTAAACTGAGACTTTGCTGAAGTTGCTTATCAGCTTAAGAAGCTTTTGGACTTAATCAAAAGTCTTTTCTAGATATATTAACATGTCATCTGCAAACAGAGAGAGTTTGACTTCCTCTCTTCCTATTTGAATACCATTTCTTTCTTTTTCTTTTTTTTTTTTGCTTGATTGCCCTAGCCATAACTTCCAATACTATGTTGAATAACAGTAGTGAAAGAGGGCATCCTTGTCTTATGTTAATTTTCAAAAGGAATGTTTCCAGGTTTTGCCCATTCAGTATGATATTGGCTGTGGGTTTTTCATAAATGGCTCTTATTAATTTGAGGTATGTTCCTTCAACACCTAGTTTACTGAGAGCTTTTAATATGAAGGGATGTTGAATTTTATTGAAGGCTTTTTTTCTGCTTCTATTGAGATAATCATGTCGTTTTTGTCTTTAGTTCTGTTTATGTGATGAATTACATTTATTGATTTGTGTATGTTGAACCAGCCTTGCATCCCAGAGATAAAGCCTGCTTTATTGTGGTGGACAAGCTTTTTGATGTGCTGCTGGATTCCATTTGCCAGTATTTTACTGTGAATTTTTGCATCGATGTTCATCAGGGATATTGCCTGAAGTTTTCTTTTTTTGTTGTTGTTGTGTCTCTGCCAGGTTTTGGTATCAGGGTGATGCTGGCCCCATAAAATGTGTTAGGGAGGAGTCCCCCCTTCCCCCGTTTTCAATTGTTTGGAACAGTTTCAGAAGAAATAGTAACAGCTCCTCTTTGTACTTCTTATAGAATTCAGCTGTAAATCCATCTAGACCTGAGCTTTTTTTTGGTTGGTAGGCTATTTATTACTGCCTCAACTTCAGAACTTCTTATTGGTCTAGTCAGAGATTTGACTTTTTCCAGGTTCAGTCTTGGGAGGGTGTATGTGTCCAGGAATTTATCAATTTCTTCTAGATTTTCTAGGCTATTTGCAGAGAGGTGTTTATAGTATTCTCTCATGGTTGTTTGTATTTCTGTGGGGTCTGTGGTGTTATCCCCCTTATCATTTCCGATTATGTTTATTTAAATCTTCTCTCTTTTCTTCTTTATTAGTCTAGCCAATGGCCTATCTATATTATTACATTTATTTATAAAACAGCTCCTGGATTCCTTGATTTTTTTGAAGAGCTTTTTTTTTTTTTGTCTCTATCTCCTTCGGTTTTGCTCTGCGCATGGTTATTTCTTGTCTTCTGCTAGCTCTGAGGTTTGTTTGCTCTTGGTTCTTTAGTTCTTTTAGTTGTGATGTTAGGGTGTCAATGGAGATCCTTCCAGATTTTTGATGTAGGGATTTAGTGCTATAAATGTGTCTTGTAACATTGCTTTAGCTGCATCCCAGAGATTCTGATATGTTGTCTCTTTGTTCTCATTGGTTTCAATTAACTTCTTGATTTCTGCCTTAATGTCGTTATTTACCCAAAAGCCGTTCAGGAGCAGGTTTTCCAATTTTCATGTAGTTGTGGGGTTTTGAGTGGGTTTCTTAATCTTGAGTTCTAATTTGATTGCACTGGTATCTCAGAGACTGTTATTATTTCAGTTATTTTGCATTTGCTGAGGAGTGTTTTCCTTCCAATTATGTGATCAGTTTTACAGTAAGTGCCCTGTGGTGCCAAGAAATATGCATATTCTGTTGTTTTGAGGTGGAACTTTCTATACATAACTATCAGATCCACTTGGCCCAGAACTGAGTTCAAGTCCTAAATATCTTCGTTAATTTTCTTTCTCAATGATATGTCTATTACTGACAGTGAGGTATTAAAGTCTCCCACTATTATTTTCTGGGGGTGTAAGTCACTTTGTGGGTCTTTAAGAACTTGTTTTATGAATCTGGGGGTTCCTTTATTAGGTGCGCATATATTTAGGATAGTTATCTCTTCTTGTTGAATTGAGCTCTTTACCATTATGTAATGTCCTTTTTGTCTTTTTTGACTTCTGTTGATTTAAAGTCTATTTTGCCAGAAACTAGGATTGCAACCCCTGATTTTTTTGGCTTCTCATTTGCTTGGCAAATTTTTCTCCATCCCTTTATTTTGAGCCTATGTGTATCTTTGCAAGTGAGATGTATCTCTTGAATACAGCACACTGATGTGTCTTGTCTTTTTATCCAGCTTGCCATTTTGTGTCTCTTAATTGATGCACTTAACCCATTTACATTTAAGGTTAATATTGTTATGTGTGAATTTGATACTGTCATCCTCATGCTAGGTGGTTCATTTTTTAGACTGGTTAATGTAGTTGCTTCATCGTGTCATTGGTCTGTCTACTTCAGTGTGTTTTTGTAGTGGCTGGTAAAGGTTTTTCCTTTTCATGCTTTCTTCAGGAGCTCTTGCAAGGCAGGCCTGGTGGTGACAAAATCCCTCAGCATTTGCTTGTCTGAAGAGGATTTTATCTCTCCTTCATTCATGAATCTTTAGCTGGATATAAAATTCTGGGTAAGAAATTCTTTTTTTTTTTTTTTTAAGAATATTGGCCCCCAATCTCTTCTGGCTTGTAGGGTTTCTGCTGAGAGGTCTGTTGTTAGTCTGATGGGCTTCCCTTTGTAGGTGGCCTGACTTTCCCTCTGACTGCCCTTAACATTTTTTCCTTCTTTTCAACCTTGGAAAATCTGATGATTATGTGGCTTGGAGTAGATCTTCTCATAGAGTATCTTATTGGAATTCTCTGGATTTCCTGAATTTGAATATTGACCTGTCTTGCTAGGTTGGGGAAGTTCTCCTGGATGATATCTTGAAGTGTGTTTTTCAACTTGATTCCATTTTCCTCATCTCTTTCAGGTAATCCAATCAGTCATAGGTTCAGCTTTTTTACATAGTCCCATAGTTTTCAGAGGTTTGGTTCATTTCTTTTCATTCTTTTTCTTTAGTCTGCCTGCCTTAATTCAGCAAGATAGTCATCAAGCTCTGATATTCTCTCTTTCATGTGGTTGATTCAGTTATTAATACTTGTGTTTGCACCATGAAGTTCTCATGCGGTGTTTTTCAGCACCATCAGGTCATTCATGTTCCTCTCTAAACTGGTTATTCTAGTTTACAGCTACCCTAATCTTTCATCATGGTTCTTAGTTTTTTGTTTTGTTTTGTTTTGTTTTGTTTGCATTACATTAGAACATAATCCTTGGCTCAGTGAAGTTTGTTATTACCCACTTTCTGAAGCCTGCTTCTGTCAATTTCTCCATTTCAGCCTCTGCCCCATTCTATGCCCTTGCTAGAGAGGTGTTGCAACAACTGGAGGAGAAGAGGCATTCCGGCTTTTGGAATTTTCAGCGCTTTTTTGTTGGTTTTTCCTCATCTTCATGGATTTATCTACCTTTGATCTTTGAGGCTGTTGATCTTTGGATGGGGTTTTGTGGGGTCTTTTTTGTTGATGTTGTTGTTGTGTTGTTGCTTTCTGTTTGTTTTTCTTCTAACAGTCAGGCCCCTCTTCTGCAGGTCTGCTGCAGTTTGCTGGGGGTCCACTCCAGACCCTGTTCACCTGGGTATCACCAGTGGAGGTTGTAAAACAGCAGATTACTGCCTGCTCTTTCCTCCAGAAGCTTAGTCCCAGAGGGGCACTGACCTGATGCTGGCTGGAACTCTTTTGTATAAGGTTTCTGGCCACCCCTGTTGGGAGGTCTCACCCAATCAGGAGGCACGGAGTCAGGCACTCACTTAAGAAAGCCGACTGTCTTTTAGCGGAGCTGGTGTACTGTGCTGGGGCACTCCCCTTCATTCGGATCAGCCGGACTCTTCAAAGCCAGCAGGCAGGAAAGATTAAATCCGCTGAACCTGAGACTGTGGCCGCCCCTCCCCCCAGGTGTTCGGACCCAAGGAGATTAGAGGTCTGTCTGTAAGCCCCCGGCTGGAATTGCTGGAATTCCTGTAGGGAGGCCCTGCCCTTTGAGGAGGGATGGATCCTGGTCCCACCTAAAGAAGAAGTCTGGCCGCAATCTACTACAGCTGCTGTGCTGTGCTGTGGGTAGTACCGCCCAGTCCAAATCTCCCTGTCTCCCTAGCACTGTCAGGAGAAAACCATGGACTAGAGCCTCAGTAATGGTGCTTGCCCCCACCCTTGGGAATTAGGTCGTTTTAGGCCAACTCCAGGCTGCTGTGCTGGCCAGTGGGGATTTCAAGCCAGTGGGTCTTAGCCTGCGGAGTTCAATGGGAGTGGGACCCACTGAACGAGTCCATTTGGCTTCCTGGCTTCACCCCTCTTTCCACAGGAGTGGATGGTTCTCCTGCCTCACTGGAGTTCCAGGTGCCACTAGAGTATACAAAAGCTCCTGCAAGCCGGGCGCGGTGGCTCACGCCTGTAATCCCAGCACTTTGGGAGGCTGAGGCAGGCGGATCATGAGGTCAAGAAATCCAGACCATCTTGGCCAACATGGTGAAACCCCGTCTATACTAAAAATACAAAAATTAGCTGGGTGTGATGACGTGCGCTTGTAGTCCCAGCTACTCGGGAGGCTGAGGCAGGAGAATCACTTGAACCAGGGAGTCGAGGTTGCAAGTGAGCAGAGATCCCGCCACTGCACTCCAGCCTGGCGACAGAGAGAGACTCCTTCTCAAACAAACAAACAAACAAACTCCTGCAGCTCAGTGCCTGCCCAAACAGCTGCTGATGGGAGCAGCTGCTTTGGGTCTGCCCAGTTTTGTGCTTGAGACCCAAGGCCCTGGTGGTTTAGACTCATGAGAGACCTCCTGATTCCCAGATTGAAAAAAAATCTGTGGGAAAAGCAGTGTACCCGGGCAGTTAGCACAGTCCCTCACTGCCTCCCTTGGCTGGGGAAGGGAGGTCCCTTTGCCCCATGCAGATCCATAGTGAACCATCACCCCATCCTGCTTTGCCTTGCTCTCCATGGGTCACGCCAACTGCCTAGTCAGTCCCAATGAGATGAACTGGGTACCTCAGTTTGAAATGCAGAAATCACTCACCTTTTTTGCATTCATTTTTCTTGGAGCTACAGACTAGAGCTGTTTCTATTCAGCCATCTTGGCCCCTCCCCCACATTTTTCTTTCAATCTTTGTTATATTTTCTTCATAGAATATTCCTGCCACTAATTATATATATAAATTTAAGCTGTATGAGATCAGAATCTTTGTCTTGTCCACAGATTTATCATAAGCAATTTTTATTTCCTACCATGGAAAAAACATTTTAATCAGAACAATAATGCACGATATTCAATTATAATAACAAATATAAGTTATTGGTTAAAAAAATCTGATGCAATAAAATATTGATAAGTAAACAGGTCAAGTTAATTAATAGAAGAACAGAAAACGATTAAATTCTGTAATAAGGTGACATCAATTTTACAAAATGAATAGATCTATGACTATCAGAAAAAGAAAATTGCTAAAAGAAAACATCTTTGATGTAATTTATCATGAAGACATAACTGAATGCTGAAAAGGAAGTGCAGGAATGTACTTCAATAGATAAGGTTAGACTTTTCCTAACGGATTCAACACATCCCTTGATATTCTTGAATACATTGTTGAGTTCACTTTATGCTGCCAGTCAACTCTTGAATATTCATATTGTTATAATAATACATCAGCACAGAAAGGCAAAGTTTAATCTGATAGTAGCTGTGGTTTTGTCTGAGACACAGTCAGTGAAGGAAAGTCAGCCCCTGATGAGTAATGGAGTAGAGATAATTGACTACCTGTATAGTGAAAAGTGGTTATTTGGAGATGATCCTCAATCCTAATTTAGACACGTATAGTCAGAAGTTGATTAACTGCAATATTCTAAAGCCAACATTTTAATCCATAGAGAAATAATTAAATACTACTCTGTGCCAGGCACAACCATTTGTAAGAAAATGGTCAATAGCTTTCTTTAGCATTAGGGTATCTAATGAACAATTAAGCAATTAGGTAATTACTTAAAGAATTCCTAGGGTCATTCTAAGATGCTAAACATTAATATTTCTGAATGAGAAAGAGATACATTCATTTCAACAACTACTTTTAAATCTGCTTCCTATATGCATTATTTACATTATTAACACATCCAAACAAACCAAATAATAAGGTCATTTCAGGTGAGTGATTACATTAATTAAAAATAAGTTGACAGAAACAAAAGGTCAAATTTGTATCATGAAAAATTAATGAATTAATTTATCAAGAGAACAAAATGTATTAAAATTGTATGTGCTTTTTTCAACTTATTTATGGAAGTAGAGATAGCCACATTGTTTTTATGCACTTTCTGTTAGATAATAACGTGTGTGTTTTGTGGAAAGCTCTATTTTGATTACTTTTTGCTATTTTGTAGGCACAGTTTCTAAAGGGAGCTTTGAGACATTCAACTCATTGCAAATATTTAGAAATTATTCTAAATTATTTAGAATTATTAAATTATTAGAATATAAAGTTTTAAAATATATTTTCACTTTAAAGAATAGAAGTAATACACTACAATAATTATTGGCTATAATACCAGACAAATTGGCATAGAGATAATTTAATTCTCTCTCAAACATATGGTGAACACTGATGACTAATGTCATTTACCAATTTATCAGTTACTTCTGTTTTACTTAACTGTCCTTGTTAGCCTGGTATATATTCTACTATAGTTTGTTTTAAAATTAAATAATTATCCTGACTCTATGGCTCCTCAAGTATCCATAGGCACAAGCCAAATTCTACCATCTGAAGAAACAAGCCTAAGAGTAGAGTAAGGGCAACTGAACATTTGCTTGATAGATAACTTAATACAGAATGTTTTCAATCTTATTTTAAATTGCATGTTGCATGCTGTTTCTTTTAACACTACTTCAACGTAGTCTTAATGATTGTATCACAAAATTACATTAAAGTAATAATTATAATTGTGTATGGTGTTTATGCCGATAAGTATACTTTGTGCATATGTATTTGGGCACTTTTCAGCATGTGCACTGCACTTTGATAAATGATTTATTTAAAAGAGAGCAATCAACAAGAGTTTTAATTGTATATAAGACTGTGAAGGTAAAGACGAAGAGTGATCATTCAATCAAATAAAATCAGAGGGATAAATCAAGAGAGTGGAAAGACTTACAATAAGGTGTTAATGGATGATATCTAAAGTCATAGAGATTATTTTTCTATTAGCTATCGTATTGTGTTGTATTTATTGTTATAAATACAACTGTTAAGAAACTACAAGCCTTCCTAAGTTTTGTTTTTAATAAAATCACATAATTAAGAAGTGATACTACAATGTGAAGTTTATTTAAAAAGATAAAGAAGTGGAAAGCAAGATTGCAGAGAAAAGGGAATGCTTATGTACTCTTGGTGGGAGTGTAAATTAGTTCAACCATTGTGAAAAGCAGCGTGGCAATTCCTCAAAGAGCTAAAAACAAAACTATTATTTGACCCAGCAATCCCATTACTGAGTATATACCCAAAGGAATATAAATCATTCTACAATAAAGACACATGTATGTATATGTTCATTGCAGCCCTATTCACAATAGCAAAGACATGAAATCAACCTAAATGCCTATCAGTGGCAGAATAGCTAAAGAAATGTGGTACATATACTCCACAGAATGCTATGTGGCCATTAAAAAAAAAAAATGATCTCATGGACACAAAGGAGGGAACAACAGACACCGAGGTCTACTTTTAGGGTGGAGGGTAGGAGGAGGGAGAGTGTCAAGAAAAATAACTATTGAGTACTAGGCTTAGTACCTGAGTAATCAAATAATCTGTACAACAAACCCCTATGACATGAGTTTATCCATATGGCAAACCTGCACATGTATCCATGAACCCAAAATAAAAGTTTTAAAAAATCATGTATCAGGAACTAGCAATAAGAATAAGCTGCTTTAAAATTTGTATTTCCTGTTTGTTTTCCATGGGGGTATCTGTGTGAAAGTCAGTATGTTAGGGTAAAGGAAGCAGCGAGGACAATGTACTTAAAATAAATGCAATCACAAAATTACAAAGAAAAAAAGATTAAATAGATGCATCTAACATATTTACATATGGGTGTATGGGTGTGAGCTAAACTCACATATTTAACAAATAATCACTATCTGATTTCATAACAAAATAAAAGATGACTTTAAAGTGTAGAAGATATAGACCTAAATAAAGGGTGTTACTAAGATCAAAGTGAAGAGAAAATGAAAAGATGTAATATGCAAAGGCTAACAACAATCACATATCAGTTATTCCAATCTTCCTATTGAAGAAATTTAAATGTAGATATAAATGCTAATCAAATTTATAATAAGACATACCAAATAAAAATGTGTGCTACAAACAACTTAGCAGCAACATTTACATGAAAAGATACAAGGAATATGAAGAAAATAGATATAAACAACAAAGTCACATATTAAATTATCTCTTGAAAGAATATAGATTTCCAAAATGAAATACCACAATTATTCAGGTTAATTTATTTAATATGTACCAATTTTTAAATCAATATCAATATCACAGAATATAAATGTTTTAATGTAAAAATGATGAATACATATAATATTATATACATTAGGTTGTAAATAAAACAATAATAAATATATACATTTGAAATGTGTATGGAAGTGACCTAAATAAAGGGAAATGAGTAGTCTTAAAACTAAAGGCAAATGGAACTGTACAGACGCACTCTTCTTTAGTAGATAAAGTTGTTTTCACATTGTATGAGATATAAATTGTATTCATGTATACTGGAATTGAATAGTTAAGGTAAATGGGTAGTGGACAGTGGTAGCCAGGTTTCTCATCATTTTAGATAAGCAATGTAGGAGGCTGGATGATCCATGTGGTAATAGATTAGTGGCAACTTCATTATGAACTTGTGTTTAGTTTAATATAGACACAGATGATTACATAGAGAAATATAGATATAAATTTTGATATGTATACACACACACACACACACACACACACACGGTCAGTATATGCACATATAGTTCTTGTTCCGTCATCTTTGAGGGCTTAGAAGACAATGACAGCTGGCTAAGAGGACAATAACACCAAGTAACAATGAGCCCATTCAGAGCCCAGCACTGAGTTTCTAACACTATTCTTTAAAAGGCACCAGGGATCTTTAGAGAACTGGCTGGTTCTAGGATTGGGGCAAAGAGTTATGCAAGACGAGCCTGGTACATCTTGTAGTGCTAGGAAGTAAGAAAGTATTAAAAGTAATACAATGGTTGGAGTATGTCAAAAGGATATAGGAGCCAACTGAAGGGGCCTCAATGGCAAAATCTAAAAAAAATAAAAAGCAAGAATATGAAGTACTATTGAGTTGTAACTCAAAGTATAAAATAAATATCCATAAGTTCATACTAACATAAAGAAAGGATTATGTAAACAACTAAGAGATAAGAGATAATATCTTGTGGAGAATACCAAATATTTATGTAGATATTATGAATCTCAAAAAGGTGAATCATAACTTCTCACTCATTGAAGAATACAGTGGGACAGGGTGTAAGCTTAGTGAAGAAACCACGGGGCAAGCACTACCTCAGTTAGGTGATTAAGGTCAACATTAACTGTGATATATCGTATTATGTTGATAACATATGGCCTTTATGTCGTAAGATAGAAATTTCTAGCTATCTCTGTGGTTTCCCTCTCAATAATATAACTCCAGTTTAATCATGAGAAAATATCAAGAGGATCCAAATTGAAGGGCATTCTACAAAATTCCTGATTTGTACACCTTAAAAGTCTCTGTCAAGGGTGTTAAATACAAAAGTCTGAGAACTGTCTTAGCTAAGAGGAGCCTGAAGAGGCATGACCATTAAATGCAATGTTATATCTTGGATGGTTGCTAGAAGAATAAAAAACCTTCAGGTAAAAACCAAGGAAATCTGAATATAAAGTATGGACTTTAATTAATAATGATGAAGCAATATTAATTCATTAATTGTGACAAATACAGTATACCAATATGAAATGCTAATATTAGGGGATATGGGTGTTGGATATGTGGGTACCTTCCATAATACCATCACAATTTTTCAGTAAATCTGAAATTGTTTTAAAATTTTTATTTCTAAAATTTCCAGAAATCAGGAAAACTAAATTTAGCATTAGTTGCAAAATAAGGAAACAAAGAGCATCTAACAGCCGATTAATTACTCTCAAATCACATGTATAAAATAAGAAATACATGCTAACATTGTAGAATATCTTGAAAATAATGATAATTGACATGTTATTTCAAGAAAACCTGCAGGAAAATGTCAAAAAATATAGTATTCACTTTTGTTAAAATACAATAAAAAATAAGTAAGTTAAGAAATATATTTAATATACACAAAGAGATAAGTAAACTATAATTTACATAAAATAACAGGAAATTAATAAAGTAGAAAACTGTAAAATAATGGAACAAATAATTATATCTAAGAGCTAGTTTAAATATGTAAAAACAGCCATATATTGAAGAAAAGATAAGACAAAAAATAGGAAGAAATGGAATAGATTAAAAACAAGAAAGGATGAGGAAAAATGACTATAGAGTAAGAGACAACTAAATTACAAAAAAACTTTTATCAATATTTGAAATACCTTTAAAAGAAATGTAAAAGGCTGAACAATGACTATGCAAAAACATCAGCACCCAATCCCTGAAACATTTTGTTTTACTTTATGAGGAAAATAATTTTTGCTGATGTGATTAAATTATTGAATTGGAGAGATTATACTCTATTGTCACTGTGGGCTGTAAATCAAATCACAAGTGTTATTTAAAGACAGAGGCCGGAGGAGATTTGATATACACAAAAGAGGCAGAGGAAATGTGACCATGGAGGCAGAGATTGCAGAGACATACTCACAAATCAAGGGATGTAGGCAGCCACTGTTTGCTGGAAGGGGAAAGGAATAGATTTTCAGCTAGAGTCAGCGTGGCTCTACTGACACCTTCATTTTGGCTCAGTGACACTGATTCAGACTTCTGGACTCAGAACTGTGAGAGAAAAAAAATGTTTTTAATTCACCAAGTTTTAGGTCATTTGTTTAGGCCAGGAAACTGATTTGCTTAAAATTGATTTATCAAAACAATTCAAAAGAGAGTGAAAATTCTCCACATACCAATTATGGAAAAAAATAGAAGATTTCTTAATATGTGTTTAGTCACTCAGTCCTTGGTGCTGATACTGCTGTAGCTTTCACTCATAGGGGAAGAGGTAGAGGAGTATTGATAAACAGCATACCAGACCTGGCTCTCACCATAGAGGTTGTAGAGATGGAGTAATATTAGAGGTTAAGGCAACAACAGTGGTGGCTCTCCAATGAGCAAGCAGTAGTAGGAGAGGGGAAGAAGCCTGAGGAGTTCTGTAGTCTATTTCTTCTGCCACTCATATTCACACATAGGTACTTCTAATAAGTGGACTTCTTTCTGAAATCTGAGATCAAGGTGTCCTCACTTCTTGCCTGAATTGAATTCCAAATCCAATCCCTAAAGATGGTAGCCTGTTGCTACCTGCTAATAAAGCTGTAAAGACAGCTTAAGCTTGAACAGTCTTCACTGCTGCAGTTTGTACTAAGTCCATAGCAGGGAACCATCATTTTGGTCTTTCTCCTCAGCACAACTTTGGATGGTCTGGGTCAATTGCCTCGTGACAAAATCCAGACAAAATCTCCTAGGTGTTTGAGCCCTAAATTGCCTCCCAATCCTCATGCCATTGTTGCAACAATTAGCCAGTCATGAATCTTATTGGTCTTGAAGCAGTACAAATGCCTTAGTAAGTACAAATAGTTCCACACAATATGTAAAAATAACTCAAATTCCACATGGTTATCAGAGCTGATTATGCCAGACAATAATGCAACACTGTGTTTTGCCTACTGATCCTCTGAGATGATTTTGAAATATATGTACAAATTATTTCAGCCCCTAGAAGAGGTGAGTGTAATTTTCCTTTGCTTGGACATGGTCTTGTCTTTGTGACTTGCATCTAACAAAGGGAATGATAAGAAAGTGACACTATTATTTCGGACTTTATGTCATAAAATTGTTCATACAATCCCTCCCATGCCATCTCTTTTGCTCAATGTAGCCCTGAGACACTGTGTAAGACATCCATATACAATTAAGCCGTCGTGCTGAGAGAACGTTTCTAGAGGGCATATAGAAATACAGATGATAAAAAAAGATGCCTGAGGACATCTGCCTGTTCCAAGTATCCAACTGTTGAGTTTTTATAGCTCAGAAGTGAGAAATGTGAGTTACCAAACCTTCAAATAATAACCCTCAGTTTCTTTATGCATCCCAACTAACTCCATGTGGAGCAGAGATGAGCTGTATTTTCTAAGGCCTAACCTTCCTGCAGATTTGTGAAAATACATTTTTATGTGAGACAAAAGATGGTTTGCTATACAACCATAATAACTAAAACATAATAAATAAATTTAAGTGATCAGATGGTAATTGCAGCTCAGAGTTCAGTAGACATTTACATTGTGAAGGAGGAAGAGAAAACCCCCAAGCCTCCTGGGAACTTTCAGCCATTCAACCAAAGATCAGTTGGAATGTACTTATAAGTCACAAAGTTGGGTTAGTTGGTACTTGTGGCATCAAGAGAGATTACCCATAATGGGTAGCCGTGGAGAATCTCTATAAGAGAATGAAGGTGTCAGGGGAAGGAGCTTGCTACTTGAGCTGAGCTTTTGTTATATGCATTAGAGGAAGAGTTCAGGAAGTCTGGGCTTTGCTGTAGGATTAAGTGGTAATATAATGTTCAAGCATTTCAAATATTGGTATTTTGATAATTTTTTTCTCAAGAAGGAGACTAAGGATAATAAAAATTAGGGATAATAAAAATATCAGAAGGCACTTGAGGTGGGGGATGATTGATGATTTTTAAGGTCTGTACAGTTTTTCTGTGTTCATACAGGATTTTGAATATATATGTGTATTTTCAAAATGCGTATGTATTTACATTCAGCAGGAGAATACCGTGGGCTAGCTGTTCAAGTTAGACAAGCTACCTGCTGATAGCTGTTAGAGTCTGCTGTTTTGTTTTGTTCTTCTCCACAAGAATTTCATATTGGAAACCTGACTGTTTCAGAGACTAGAAATATAAATTAATTCAGTTGGCCATTGGAAATCATGGGTAAGGAGCCAATCCAATCCCTTAGTTCTCAGAACCATGTATTCTAACTATAGGACACATAGCACAATCTATTAAATGTTGGTTCAATAATCATTTCAGATACAATGCATTAATTTTTAATGTAGTGCCTTAGCTGAGCCTTCAACAAGTCATTCAACCACGTTGTTAGGCCATCAAGTTCTGGGATATAGGGTACATGATGAGATTAGTGAATACCATGGCCAATAGCTATGCCATATTGAGTGTAAAATAGGTGTGTTAGACCCATATGGGATTCCATGTTTATAGATGAGACATTCTGTAAGTTTTATGATTGTAATAATAGATAAACCAATATATGTAGAAAAATAAAATGAGTCATATGATACACACACATACACATACACACACATATATTTTTTAAAGTAGGTTTCCATTTTAATAACAGATTTTCCCTCTGTGATGAAAATTATCCAATATAATCCACTTGCCACTAAGCAATTGGCTTTTTCTCCTAGAAAACAGTGTGATTTTGAAGGTTTAGCATCAGCCTCTGTTGGTGATAGGTTAGTCATTCAGGAGTAGATAGCAGCCTGTAGATGAGATGTACTGAGTGGAATTTCATTCTGTTTGAACCCAAAGCTTTAACTCTTTATTTTCATAGCTTCTCCACTTATGGGCCAATTGTGCAAATATTTGAGAAGTCAAAGAGAAATGTTGGCTGACTTCCACATCATTGATCATATTAATGCAATTTATTCATGCATTAGGGATCTGCTTACGCCTGACCCCAAATGTATGTTTTCTTACTTCATTTGTGCAATGGGTTTTTGCTCTGTCTTCCTGATCTTGTGATTTGTTGAATCTCTTAACACTTGGCTCATGACATTCAACTCTGGCTGCATAGTCACTTTGTGTGCTTCCAGTTTTTGCCCATTCAGTATGATATTGGCTGTGGGTTTGTCATAGATAGCTCTTATTATTTTGAAATACGTCCCATCAATACCTACTTTATTGAGAGTTTTTAGCATGAAGGGTTGTTGAATTTTGTCAAAGGCTTTTTCTGCATCTATTGAAATAATCATGTGGTTTTTGTCTTTGGCTCTGTTTATATGCTGGATTACATTTATTGATTTGCGTATATTGAACCAGCCTTGCATCCCAGGGATGAAGCCCACTTGATCATGGTGGATAAGCTTTTTGATGTGCTGCTGGATTTGGTTTGCCAGTATTGTATTGAGGATTTTTGCATCAATGTTCATCAAGGATATTGGTCTAAAATTCTCTTTTTTGGTTGTGTTTGTACCATATGGATATGCTGATCATCTGGCTAAAAGAGGATATATTGCATTAAAGTCTAGGCCTGCTGCAGAGCCCTCTATTACTCCAGGCTCCACTCAAAATCGGCAGACTTATTTATCACTTGATAATTGGGTTGAAACAATATACCCATGGCGTAACACATGCTGCCTTCTAAATCTGAAGAAGCCATAAAAATACCTTTTTTATTTATTGGTATTAGGGCATAGAGGTACAATAACTTGTACTTTGTTTTAGTGTAGATATTCTTTAAGATATCATGAAACAGATTTCAAGATATCATGAAACAGGTATCATGAAAAGATTTTCATGTGGTTTAACTCTAACTCTCCCTAAGTAGAGTAGTACACCCTTATCTGTGGGGATAGATTTTAAGACCACTAGGGGATGCCTAAATTCACAGATGATACTGAACCCTGCATATGCTGTGTTTTTTACTATACATGCATATGTAGAATAAAATTTAATTTATAAATTAAGCAGAGTAAGAGTTTAACAGTAATACAAAAATAACAATTATAACAATATATGTGGGGTGGAGGAGGCAAGATGGCTGAATAGGAACAGCTCCGGTCTACAGCTCCCAGCGTGAGCGACGCAGAAGACGGGTGATTTCTGCATTTCCATCTGAGGTACCGGGTTCATCTCACTAGGGAGTGCCAGACAGTGGGTGCAGGTCAGTGGGTGCGCGCACCGTGCGCGAGCCACAGCAGGGCGAGGCATTGCCTCACTTGGGAAGCGCAAGGGGTCAGGGAGTTCCCTTTCGGAGTCAAAGAAAGGGGTGACGGACGCACCTGGATAATCGGGTCACTCCCACCAGAATACTGCGCTTTTCCGACCGGCTTAAAAAACGGCGCACCACGAGAGTATATCCCGCACCTGGCTCGGAGGGTCCTATGCCTAAGGAGTCTCGCTGATTGCTAGCACAGCAGTCTGAGATCAAACTGCAAGGCGGCAGCGAGGCTGGGGGAGGGGCGCCCGCCATTGCCCAGGCTTGCTTAGGTAAACAAAGCAGCCAGGAACCTCCAACTGGGTGGAGCCCACCACAGCTCAAGGAGGCCTGCCTGCCTCTGTAGGCTCCACCTCTGGGGGCAGGGCACAGACAAACAAAAAGACAGCAGTAACCTCTGCAGACTTAAATGTCCCTGTCTGACAGCTTTGAAGAGAGCAGTGGTTCTCCCAGCACTCAGCTGGAGATCTGAGAATGGGCAGACTGCCTCCTCAAGTGGGTCCCTGACCCCTGACCCCCGAGCAGCCTAACTGGGAGGCACCCCCCAGCAGGGGCACACTGACACCTCACAAGGCAGGGTATTCCAACAGACCTGCAGCTGAGGGTCCTGTCTGTTAGAAGGAAAACTAACAAACAGAAAGGACATCCACACCAAAAACCCATCTGTACATCACCATCATCAAAGACCAAAAGTAGATAAAACCACAAAGATGGGGAAAAAACAGAGCAGAAAAACTGGAAACTCTAAAAAGCAGAGCGCCTCTCCTCCTCCAAAGGAACGCAGTTCCTCACCAGCAACGGAACAAAGCTGGATGGAGAATGTCTTTGAGGAGCTGAGAGAAGGCTTCAGATGATCAAATTACTCTGAGCTATGGGAGGACATTCAAACCAAAGGCAAAGAAGTTGAAAACTTTGAAAAAAATTCAGAAGAATGTATAACTAGAATAACCAATACAGAGAAGTGCTTAAAGGAGCTGATGGAGCTGAAAACCAAGGCTCGAGAACTACGTGAAGAATGCAGAAGCCTCAAGAGCCAATGTGATCAACTGGAAGAAAGGGTATCAGCAATGGAAGATGAAATGAATGAAATGAAGCGAGAAGGGAAGTTTAGAGAAAAAAGAATACAAAGAAATGAGCAAAGCCTCCAAGAAATATGGGACTATGTGAAAAGACCAAATCTACGTCTGATTGGTGTACCTGAAAGTGATGGGGAGAATGGAACCAAGTTGGAAAACACTCTGCAGGATATTATCCAGGAGAACTTCCCCAATCTAGCAAGGCAGGCCAACGTTCAGATTCAGGAAATGCAGAGAATGCCACAAAGATACTCCTCGAGAAGAGCAACTCCAAGACACATAATTGTCAGATTCACCAAAGTTGAAATGAAGGAAAAAATGTTAAGGGCAGCCAGAGAGAAAGGTCGGGTTACCCTCAAAGGGAAGCCCATCAGACTAACAGCGGATCTCTCAGCAGAAACCCTACAAGCCAGAAGAGAGTGGGGGCCAATATTCGACATTCTTAAAGAAAAGAATTTTCAACCCAGAATTTCATGTCCAGCCAAACTAAGCTTCATAAGTGAAGGAGAAATAAAATACTTTACAGACAAGCAAATGCTGAGAGATTTTGTCACCACCAGGCCTGCCCTAAAAGAGCTCCTGAAGGAAGTGCTAAACATGGAAAGGAACAACCGGTACCAGCCACTGCAAAATCATGCCAAAATGTAAAGACCATCGAGACTAGGAAGAAACTGCATCAACTAACGAGCAAAATAACCAGCTAACATCATAATGACAGGATCAAATTCACACATAACAATATTAACTTTAAATGTAAATGGACTAAATGCTCCAATTAAAAGACACTGACTGGCAAATTGGATAAAGAGTCAAGACCCATCAGTGTGCTGTATTCAGGAAACCCATCTCACGTGCAGAGACACACATAGGCTCAAAATAAAAGGATGGAGGAAGATCTACCAAGCAAATGGAAAACAAAAAAAGGCAGGGGTTGCAATCCTAGTCTCTGATAAAACAGACTTTAAACCAACAAAGCTCAAAAGAGACAAAGAAGGCCATTACATAATGGTAAAGGGATCAATTCAACAAGAAGAGCTAAGTATCCTGAATATATATGCACCCAATACAGGAGCACCCAGATTCATAAAGCAAGTCCTGAGTGACCTACAAAGAGACTTAGACTCCCACACATTAATAATGGGAGACTTTAACGCCCCACTGTCAACATTAGACAGATCAACGAGACAGAAAGTCAACAAGGATACCCAGGAATTGAACTCAGCTCTGCACCAAGTGGACCTAATAGACATCTACAGAACTCTCCACCCCAAATCAACAGAATATACATTTTTTTCAGCACCACACCACACCTATTCCAAAATTGACCACATACTTGGAAGTAAAGCTCTCCTCAGCAAAAGTAAAAGAACAGAGATTATAACAAACTATCTCTCAGACCACAGTGCAATCAAACTAGAACTCAGGATTAAGAATCTCACTCAAAACCGCTCAACTACATGGAAACTGAACAACCTGCTCCTGAATGACTACTGGGTACATAACGAAATGAAGGCAGAAATAAAGATGTTCTTTGAAACCAATGAGAACAAAGACACAACATACCAGAATCTCTGGGACACATTCAAAGCAGTGTGTAGAGGGAAATTTATAGCACTAAATGCCCACAAGAGAAAGCAGGAAAGATCCAAAATTGACACCCTAACATCACAATTAAAAGAACTAGAAGAGCAAGAGCAAACACATTCAAAAGCTAGCAGAAGGCAAGAAACTAAAATCAGAGCAGAACTGAAGGAAATAGCGACACAAAAAACCCTTCAAAAAATTAATGAATCCAGGAGCTGGTTTTTTGAAAGGATCAACAAAATTGATAGAACGCTAGCAATCCTCAAAGAAAAAAAGAGAGAAGAATCAAATAGACACAATAAAAAATGATAAAGGGGATATCACCACCGATCCCACAGAAATACAAACTACCATCAGAGAATACTACAAACACCTCTACACAAATAAACTAGAAAATCTAGAAGAAATGGATAAATTCCTCGACACATACACTCTCCCAAGACTAAACCAGGGAGAAGTTGAATCTCTGAATAGACCAATAACAGGATCTGAAATTGTGGCAATAATCAATAGTTTACCAACCAAAAAGAGTCCAGGACCAGATGGATTCACAGCCGAATTCTACCCGAGGTACAAGGAGGAACTGGTACCGTTCCTTCTGAAACTATTCCAATCAATAGAAAAAGAGGGAATCCTCCCTAACTCATTTTATGACCCCAGCATCATTCTGATACCAAAGCCGGGCAGAGACGCAAACAAAAAAGAGAATTTTAGACCAATATCCTTGATGAACATTGATGCAAAAATCCTCAATAAAATACTGGCAAACCGAATCCAGCAGCACATCAAAAATCTTCTCCACCATGATCAAGTGGGCTTCATCCCTGGGATGCAAGGCTGGTTCAATATATGCAAATCAGTAAATGTAATCCAGCATATAAACAGAGCCAAAGACAAAAACCACATGATTATTTCAATAGATGCAGAAAAAGCCTTTGACAAAATTCAACAACCCTTCATGCTAAAAACTCTCAATAAAGTAGGTATTGATGGGACGTATTTCAAAATAATAAGAGCTATCTATGACAAACCCACAGCCAATATCATACTGAATGGGCAAAAACTGGAAGCATTCCCTTTGAAAACTGGCACAAGACAGGGATGCCCTCTCTCACCACTCCTATTCAACATAGTGTTGGAAGTTCTGGCCAGGGCAATTAGGCAGGAGAAGGAAATAAAGGGTATTCAATTAGGAAAAGAGGAAGTCAAATTGGCCCTGTTTGCAGATGACATGATTGTATATCTAGAAAACCCCATTGTCTCAGCCCAAAATCTCCTTAAGCTGATAAGCAACTTCAGCAAAGTCTCAGGATGCAAAATCAATGTACAAAAATCACAAGCATTCTTATACACCAACAACAGACAAACAGAGAGCCAAATCATGAGTGAACTCCCATTCACAGTTGCTTCAAAGAGAATAAAATACCTAGGAATCCAACTTACAAGGGATGTGAAGGACCTCTTCAAGGAGAACTACAAACCACTGCTCTATTAAATAAAAGAGGATGCAAACAAATGGAAGAACATTCCATGCTCATGGGTAGGAAGAATCAATATCATAAAAATGGCCATACTGCCCAAGGTAATTTACAGATTCAATGCCATCCCCATCAAGCTACTAATGCCTTTCTTCACAGAATTGGAAAAAACTACTTTAAAGTTCATGTGGAACCAAAAAAGAGCCCGCATTGCCAAGTCAATCCTAAGCGAAAAGAACAAAGCTGGAGGCATCACACTACCTGACTTCAAACTATACTACAAGGCTACAGTAACCAAAACAGCATGGTACTGGTACCAAAACAGAGATATAGATTAATGGAACAGAGCAGAGACCTCAGAAATAATGCCGCATATCTACAACTATCTGATCTTTGACAAACCTGAGAAAAACAAGCAATGGGGAAAGGGTTCCCTATTTAATAAATGGTGCTGGTAAAACTGGCTAGCCATATGTAGAAAGCTGAAACTGGATCCCTTCCTTACACCTTATACAAAAATCAATTCAAGATGGATTAAAGACTGAAACGTTAGACCTAAAACCATAAAAACCCTAGAAGAAAACCTAGGCATTACCATTCAGGACATAGGCATGGGCAAGGACTTCATGTCTAAAACACCAAAAGCAATGGCAACAAAAGCCAAAATTGACAAATGGGATTTAATTAAACTAAAGAGCTTCTGCACAGCAAAAGAAACTACCATCAGAGTGAAGAGGCAACCTACAAAATGGGAGAAAATTTTTGCAAGCTACTCATCTGACAAAGGGCTAATATCCAGAATCTACAATGAACTCAAACAAATTTACAAGAAAAAAAACAAACAACCCCATCAAAAAGTGGGCGAAGGACATGAACAGACACTTCTCAAAAGAAGAACATTTATGCAGCCAAAAAACACATGAAAAAATGCTCATCATCACTGGCCATCAGAGAAATGCAAATCAAAACCACAATGAGATACCATCTCACACCAGTTAGAATGGCAATCATTAAAAAGTCAGGAAACAACAGGTGCTGGAGAGGATGTGGAGAAACAGGAACACTTTTACACTGTTGGTGGGACTGTAAACTAGTTCAACCATTGTGGAAGTCAGTGTGGCAATTCCTCAGGGATCTAGAACTGGAAATACCATTTGATCCAGCCATCCCATTACTGGGTATCTACCGAAAGGACTATAAATCATGCTGGTATAAAGACACATGCACACGTATGTTTATTGCAGCATTATTCACAATAGCAAAGACTTGGAACCAACCCAAATGTCCAACAATGATAGACTGGATTAAGAAAATGTGGCACATATACACCATGGAATACTATGAAGCCATAAAAAATGATGAGTTCATGTCCTTTGTAGGGACATGGATGAAATTGGAAATCATTCTCAGTAAACTATCGCAAGAACAGAAAACCAAACACCACATATTCTCAGTCATAGGTGGGAATTGAGCAATGAGATCACATGGACACAGGAAGGGGAATATCACACTCTGGGGACTGTGGTGGGGTGGGGGGAGGGGGGAGGGATAGCATTGGGAGATATACCTAATGCTAGATGACGAGTTAGTGGGTGCAGCGCACCAGCATGGCACATGTATACATATGTAACTAACCTGTACAATGGGCACATGTACCCTAAAACTTAAAGTATAAGAATAAATAAATAAATAAATAAATAAATAAATAAAAAACAATATATGTGGGGAAAAGAGAGATCAGACTGTTACTGTGTCTGTGTAGAAAGAAGTAGACATAAGAGACTCCATTTTGTTCTGTACTAAGAAAAATTCTTCTGCCTTGAGATGCTGTTAATCTGTAACCCTACCCTCAACCCTGTGCTCCCTGAAACACGTGCTGTGTCAACTCAGGGTTAAATGGATTAAGGGCTGTGCAGGATGTGCTTTGTTAAACAAATGCTTGAAGGCAGCATGCTTGTTAAGAGTCATCACCACTGCCTAATCTCAAGTACCCAGAGAGACAGTACACTGCGGATGGCTGCATGGACCTCTGCCTAGGAAAGCCAGGTATTGTCCAAGGTTTCTCCCCATGTGATAGTCTGAAATATGGCCTCGTGGGAAGGGAAAGACCTGACCATTCCCCAGCCCGACACCCACACCCGTAAAGGGTCTGTGCTGAGGCCTCTTTGCAGTTGAGATAAGAGGAAGGCATCTGTCTCCTCCTCATCCCTGGGCAATGGAATGTCTCCCTGTAAAGCCCGATTGTATATTCCATCTACTGAGATAGGGGTAAACCGCCTTAGGGCTGGAGGTGGCACATGCTGGCAGCAATACTGCTCTTTAAGGCATTGAGATGTTTATGTATATGCACATCAAAAGCACAGCACTTTTTTCTTTACCTTGTTTATGATGCAGAGACATTTGTTCACATGTTTTCCTGCTGACCTTCTCTCCACTATTACCCTATTGTCCTGCCACATCCCTCTCTCCAGGCACATCCCTCTCTCAGGTAAATGCCTGATAATGATCAATAAGTACTAAAAGGAAACTCAGAGGCCTGTGCCGGCGCAGGTCCTCCATATGCTGAGTGCCGGTCCCCTGGGCCCATTTTTGTTTCTCTATGTCTTGTCTCTGTGTCTCTTTCTTTTCCAAGTCTCTCGTTCCACCTGACGAGAAACGCCCACAGGTGTGGAGGGGCAACCCATCCCTTCAAATATACTGTAATAACAGTTAGGTGTATATGATCTTTCCTTCTCTCTTTCTTTCTCTCAAAATGTATTATTGTACTGTACTCACCTTATGTATTAATCCATTCTCCCACTACTATAAAGTCATTTCTTGAGACTGGGTAATTTATGAAAAAAAAAAAAAAAAGATTTAATTGACTCAGTTCCACAGGCTACACAAGAGGCATGGCTGGGGAGGCCTTAGGAAAATTACAATCATGGAGGAAGGCAAAGGGGAAGCAGGCATGGTTTTCACATGGCCAGAGCAGTAGAAAAAGGGAGAGGAGGGGGAAGTGCTACACACTTTTATCTAACCAGATCTTATGAGAACTCTTTCATGAGACAACACTAGCGTGATGGTACTAAACCATTAGAAACTACTCCCTTCCACTAAACTCCACCTCCAACACTCAGGATCACAAATCAACATGATATTTGGGTGGGGACATGGAGCCAAACCATATCATTCTGCCCCTGGCCCCTCCAAATCTCATGTCCTTCTCATATTGTAAAATACAATCATCCTTTCTCAACAGTACACTAAGTCTTAACTCATCTCAGCACTAACTCAAAAGTCCATAGTCCAAATTTTCATCTGAGACAAGACACATTCCCTTTCACCTATGAGCCTATAAAATTAAAACAAGTTAGTTACTTCCAAGATACAATAAGGGTACAGGCATTGGGTAAATGCTCACACTCCAAAAGGGAGGAATGAGCCAAAGCAGAGAGGTTACAAGCCCCTTACATGTCTGAAACCCAGAGAAGCAGTCGTTAAATCCTAAAGCTCCAAAATAATTTCCTTTGACTTCATGTCTCATATCCAAGCCACACTGATGAAAGGGGTGGCCACCCAAGGTCTTGGACAGGTCTGCCCCTGTGACTGCAGTGTACAGCCCCCATAGCTGTTTTCATGGGTTGGCATTGCGTGTCTGTGGCTTTTCCTGGTGCATGGTGCAAGCTGTTGATGGATCTACCATTCTGGAGTCTTGAGGATGATAGCCTTCTTCTCATAGCTCCACTAGGCAGTGCCCCAGTGGGGACTCTATGTGGGAGCTCCAACTCTACATTTCCATTCTTCACTGCCCTAGGATAGGTTCTCCATGAGAGCTCCGCCCCTACAGCAGACTTCTGCCTAGACATCCAGGTGTTTCTATACATTCTCAGAAATCTAGGTGGAAGCCCCCAAACCTAAACTCTTGCTTTCCATGCACCTGCAGGCCTGAAGTTCTATATATATTTTTACTACTCAATGCTCTTGTTGTACCCAAGCGAGTTAGAGAAATGCCATACTTTGAGACAAATTAAGAATCCTTTATTAAGTTGGTGGCCAAAGAGACGGCTAACACTCAGAATTCTCTCGGCCCCGAGGAAGGGGCTTGATTAACTTTTATACCTAGGTTTAGAAAGGGGAGGGGGACTCAAATGCAATAATTCTACAGAAGTAAAAACATGCAAGATTCAAAAGAAGCAAAATGGTTACAGAGAGATAAACAATTTAAAAGACAAATGGTTACAAAAAGAGCAATAGTACCAGGTGCAAGCTTCTAAATCTTTCATTATAATTAGATACAGGGTCTATGCCGGACAGGAACTCAAGGTTTTATGTTGTTATCTCCTTGAGAAAAATCCTGGGAACTTCATACATTGTTGGTGTTAGTACCTTATCAGTTAATTGGGCTCCTTTGAAATGCTGAGGATCATTTACACAGGCCAACTCCTTACGGAAGGGGGTTGGGTAAGGAGCCTTAGTGTCTTGTAAATTAAGGGGTCAATTGGAGTTTGTCCGGCTTTCCCAGCTAGAGGAAGTCTTATTTACATGAGAAGCAAGGCTAGGTGATTAAAGAGACAAGCAGGATAAAATTCAAAGTAAGGAGTTAGAGTAAAAACAAGGTTAGGCATTTCACTCTGGGAAGTAGCACTTTTGCTGTCAAGTTTGATGTAGTATAGATGTACATATAAGGATTTTTCCTGGCAGTGTACTTCTTTGAAGAATTTCCTAAAGTATCTGTATAGTAATTTTCATCTTAATATTCAGCATTTAATCTTTAGTTTCTGCTTTGTGAACTCATGACTTAATTGGTCAGACACTTTTTAGTATCTTTGTAAAATTTTGTGTTATACTGTGTATTGTTATACTGTATTTGAATGAATGGTGAAAAACATTGCAATTAGAATTATGTGCACTGACAAGAATGTTATAAAGAAAATGCCTTTAATAAATATTTTTAGCTTAAAACATTTTGGCAGTCCAATATTTAAATTGTTTGGCAGTTCAATATTTAAATTGTTTTCACACCTTGTCTTAAACTATGTCTTGTTAAGCATGTTTAGTTATTTGGATGATCTCTGTGTGACATGGATTTCTCATCTCTTAATATTTGCATTATTAACTTCTGAATTGTCTTTAGAACAGAAGCTTACAAACATCAGTGGAAGCAGCTAAGGCCTGGAGCTTGTACTTTCTGAAACAATGGACTGAGCTGTACCTTCTACCCTTTTAGCCAGGACTGGACTGGAGCAGCTAGAATGCAGGGCACCATGTCTCAAGACTGCACAAAGCAGTGGAGCCCTGGGTCTGGAACACGAAACCATTTTTGTCTCCTAGGCCTCTAGGCTTGTGATGGGAAGGGTTGCCAGAAAGTCCTCTGAAATACCTTGGAGGCATTTTCCCTATTGATTTGGCTGTTAACATTTGGGTGTTCTTTACTTATGCAAATTTCTCCAGCCTTGAATTCCTCTTCATAAAATGGGTTTTGTTCTTTTCTTCCACATGGCCAGGATGCAAATTTTCCAAACTTTTGTGCTCTTTTTTCCTTTTAAATATAAGTTCTAGTTACAGGCCATTTCTTTGTTTTTGCAAATGAGTGCAAACTTTTAGAAACAGCCAGATCACCTCCTGAATGCTTTGCTGCTTAGAAATTTTTTCTGTTAGATAAACTAAATCATCTCTCTCAAGTTCAAAGTTCCACAGATCTCTAGAGTAGGGCCACAGTGCTGCCATCTCTTTGCTAAAGCATAGCAAGGGTGACCTTTGCTCCAGTTCCCAATGAGTTCCTCATCTACATCTGAGACCGCATCAGCCTGGACTTCACTGTCTCTATCACTACCAGCATTTTGGTCACAACCACTCAACAGTTCTCCAGGAAGTTGCAACTTTCCCTCATCTCCCTATCTTCTTCTGAGCCCTCCAAACTGTTTAAACCTCCATCCATTACCCAGTTTGAAAGTCACATCCACATTTTTCAGGTATCTTTATTGCAATGCCCAACTCCCAGTACCAATTGTCTGTATTAATAGCTTGTTCTCACACTGCTATAAAGACATATCTGAGACGGGGAAATTTATGAAGAAAAGAGGTTTAATTGACTCACAGTTCCACAGGTGTACAGAAAGCATGGCTGGAGAGGCCTCAGGAAAACCCAGCAGAAGGTGAAGGGGAAGCAGTCAGTCTTCAAAAGCCCAGAGCAGATGAGAGAGAGAGCGCAAAGGGGAAAGTGCTACACATTTTTAAACAACCAGATCTTGTGAAAACTCTATCACCAGACAGCACTAGGGGGATGGTGCTAAACTGTTATTAACCACCCCAATGATCCAATCACCTCCCACAAGCCTCACCTCCAATACTCCGACAACTAAATGTGGGATTTGGGCGGGGACACAGAGCCAAACCATATCACCTGTTTTGTGATTAAAAGGGAACAGAGCAGGAGGGCACAAGATTTCATCATGCTACTAAGAAGAGCATGCAATTTAAAACTTATGAATTGCTGATTTCTGGAATATTGTAGTTTAACATTTTTGGAACACACTTGACAATGGGTAGCTGAAACCGCAGAAAGCAAAATGACAATTAAAGACAAACTACTGTAATCAAACTTCTAACAGCCTATTTCTAGCCTACAAACCCTGCCTGCCACTCACTCCTCAAAAATAAGCCTGCAAAAGTCTTTCTGCTTATTCCTACATAGTAATTTCCGGGGTCATTCAGACAAAAATATGCATTTAAAATACTACATTTTAATTGTGAAAAAATGTAGGCTACGAAGTGGAAAATACATGTGCCATAAAATGGAGATCATAAAATTAATAGTGAGACCTTTATTTTCATTTTTGAGATTCAAGAAAAAAGATGAAAGTAGTAGTATTTTAAATAAACTAAAAAAGACTAAGAGAGTACATTTTAGAATAGTTCTACACCTGTCAAGAAGTAATTATGGAAAACAATAAGAAAAGCATATAAAATAATGCCAAGAATTTTTAATGTTAGATAATTGAGTGTTGGGTAAGCCATGGAATTAACACATAATTATGCCTGGAAATGCAACTAGTGACGAAAGTTTTACCAAACTATATAATGTTAACATAAGGTTATATACAGGTCCATTAAGTCCCACAACAAACATCTTCAACTGACTTATAGTACAGCAAAAGGGCATTCAGTGTTTACATAAACATTTGAAATTCAGGAGAGACAAAGCCGCTAAATCTATTATTATTAGTTCTACCTCATGTATGAATAAAACCTGTCAAAGCTTTGCAATTTGAAACAACATAGAGTTAATTTACTCTCTCATGGGTTATGTTGATCACCATGCTTGTTATTAAGGCAATAACTAGTGAATATTTTTAAAGGAAGAGATGGCTGTTCAATATTTAAATTGTTTTTACACTTTGTCTTGAACCTTCTCTTTTTAAGCATGTCTAATTATTCTGAATGATGTCTGTGTGACATGGATTTCTCACCTCTTACCATTTGCATTATTAACTTCTGAATGCTTTTCAGGACAGAAGTTCACAAACATTAGTGGAATATTTACTCGAGGCTCTGAACTATGTTAAGTTTAGTGCTTTAATGATGAATAGCATGCTTCTTATTAATGAATATAATCCTCCTGGGGTTGTCTTATTTAACACTGATTGCTGTTGGATGATTATTTTCTGTGATGTTGTTTACACTACATTAATGCAAACAAGATTATGTCTGCTATTTTACCATCTGCATTAAATGATTCACTCATTAAACTTTTCAACAATTGGTACCACCAGATCCTGAAATCATTTTCTTCTCTTTTGTTAATCATATCATTAATATATTACTCATGCAATCTCTTATTTTAAAACATATATTAAAGAATTTGTGTAATCTTTAATAAATTTCAAATATTGTATTTTATTCATTACATATTTGAAGTATTTTTAATGGTAATCCTGTAAACCTAATAACCTAATAGTGACATTTAATAATGATTTAGAGATTATTTATATTATTTAATATTTGTGTATTTTCAGACTTCTATAACCCTCCATTATGCATGCATTAAATGCCTTCATCAAAATGTCATTTTTATTAGTTTCATATCAGGCAAAAATATAAACCTTTGAAATGTCATTAAATATCCACATTTATTTTGAGCCATGTGCCAACATAGATTGAGGGGGTAATGTTAATGTTTGCATAATGTGCAATCTGCGTAACAACAATATATAGGCATACATGTTAACATGTTTCAAAATTAGACTTGTTAAATAATTCTTAAGAGCACACGTGAAGAGTTTGGCACAATTTTTGAGCTTTATGACCTTTAAAATTTATGTAATTTTGAGTAGTTTTCGCTTTCACCCAAAGTTTGTTACTTTTAATTTTTCAAAGGCCAAAGATTTTTCATCTTTGTTAATGATGTTTTTGATAACTGCTTCTGAATTTTGCCAGGAATTGATAAACTCTTTATTATTATTTTTGAAAAATAGCATTTCTTCCACAATGCAGCTTTTTGGAGCACTTTCCTTGCCAAAGTTTTCCCAAGACATTCACAAAAAACATTGCCAGCAGATCTAATTTCCTGAGTGATATTTTATTTACTTTTTCTGCATCTGGACATTTTTAAAGATTAAAAGATATAGGTGCTAAGCTACATCTTATGATGATTACATAATTGGTTTCTGCCTTCTAAGTGGGAGAAAATGTTCGTAATGATGAAAACGTAAGAAAATGTAAAAATTGAAGATTGTGGCATTTGCCCTTGAGTAGGCTGACTAGAAGTATAAAACAAACAAACAAACAAAAAAACTTGCTTAATTATAGGTTTTTCTGAAAGCCTGAATAATTTGGCCGTGGAATGCATGGTATTAACTGTCTTAGTTTAATGTCTGCCACTGTCCAACTCCACTTTATTCAGGTCAGTTCTTCACGAATTTCCTCAACAGAATTTATCACTAGCCAGAGGATGTCCTAATTGCAAAGTGCTGCTTCAAGTATTATACACTTTTAAGTTAAGTTGTCTTTTTTTCTCATTGTTTTTTTCTCATTGATTTGAGAATTTTATATATTCTGTTTACAGGTAATTCATTAATTATGCATTTGCTGGTATTAAATTTCTCAGATTTACTCTGAATAAAAATAGCTTCATTTCACTTATAATTTGAAGAATACTTGTACTGCAGTAGTATCCAATATTGCCAGTAATTTTCTTTTCTCTTTTTTTTTTTTTTTTGAGACAGACTCGCTCCATTGCCCAGTCTGGAGTGCAGTGGTGCTATCTCGGCTCACTGCAAGCTCCGCCTCCCAGGTTCACATCATCCTCCTGCCTCAGCCTCCCAAGTAGCTGGGACTACAGGCGTCCACCATCATGCCAGGCTAATTTTTTTGTATTTTCAGTAGAGACAGGGTTTCACCGTGTTAGCTAGGATGGTCTCAATCTCCTGACCTCGTGATCCGCCTGCCTAGGCCTCCTGTTGCCAGTAATTTTCTTTTGGTGATTTGAAAATAGCATTTTATATTCAGCTGGTTTCCTGTAACCTTAATAGGTCAACTTGTAGACCTCTTAAAGCTTCCCTTTACTTGGACTGTTGTTCAGATTTTCTGTTCTATTTTGTTGTTATTATTAGAGTAGCTTTTCTCTCAAAATTTCAGTCTAGATTTTCTTCTCATTTATTCTCCAGTTTAGAAATTCTTTATTCACCTTTGTCTAATGTGTTTTTACTTCCATCCCTTGAGTTCTTAAATTGTTATTTGTTTTGTCAGTTTCAGATTTTTCATTTGGTTCTGCTATATGGATTCCAGTCATCTGCCATGATTCTTTACATGTTTTGTTTTTCTTGATATATTAAATGCAGTTATTTTGACGTATTTGAAAACTCATTTACCTGGTTTCCTATTGGTTTTTTATTAATGTAAATTTCTTCTCTTGGATTTATTTTCATATCTGCTTTTGTGCATACATGTTTGTTTGTTTTAAATTTAATCTATGACATTGTGTATAAAAAAATTGAGATAACTTGAGCCTAGGAGTACTTGAGTCTAGAATGATGTTGCATTTCTTCAAAGATGATACAAAATTCATAATTTCCTCAGTTTACTTATAAATTTGCATGTTTTGGATTTAACTTCAGCCCATTTGTGAACTGGTCTTTTTGTTTTTCCTTTAATGCAAGCTTTTTTTTTCTGTGCAATTTTATGACTGTCTAAATCAGAGCAAACATTTTGAACCCAGGAATAATGTCTGGTCACATCCTGCTATTTCCTTGACCATCTGATGTAAATCTAAATATCATGTGTAGGAGTCTTCCTATCCTGTGATTCTTTCAGTATCTAGAAGATGTACACAGTTCTCAGGTGGGGAATCTTTAGTAAACTTTCCATTCAATGTCTTCTATACAGACACTGCTAAAGCACTGTACAGAAAATGTGGACTCATCTGCCTAAAATCTATCATCAACTGATTAACCTTTGCCAGTGACAATAATACAGATGTTATAGAAATGGAGAATGGTGAACAGGCGAAAATTGACTGCATATGATACTTTTTGCAAGAAGTCCTTCATGGAATAAACTACTTGAAACTCCAGGCCCATGTTCTAAAGGAATATTTGAACTGATAGTTTTATGGAAGCCATTCCACAGCCAGTGATGTAGCATTTTCATATTACCTATAAGAAAGGTAAACCTTCCAAATACTGCATGTTCTCATTTAGACTGGGAGCTAAGTGATGAGAATTCGTGAGCACAAAGAAGGAAACAACAGACACTGCAGTCTACTTGAGGGTGGAGGTTGGGAGGAGGGAGAGGAGCAGGAAAGATAACTATTGGGTACTAGGCTTAATACCTGAGTGATGAAATAATCTGTAAAAAACACTGATATAAGGTTACCTACCTGAAGTAAGTTTACCTATCTAGCAAGCTTTCACATGTACCCCAAATCTAAAGTAAAAGTTAAAAAAAGAATGGAACATCTTAAAATTAGGGTTGAAATTTTTTTATGGATATGGGAGAAGTTGAGTGCCCTAATGCAAGTCACAACAGTAATGTTGCTATTTTCATTTATTTTGTTTGCAAATCTCACACAATGTATTTCGATTTCCCTCTTCCTCTTGCATTTGTGGTGTCCAAATAGTCTTCTAAATTTGTTGTAAAACCCATTCCAACTAGACTTTATTGTTCCTTGACTAGGATGGCATGCAGTTTTATGTTTCAGAGCAAGTTGCTTCAAATTCTGATTTTGAAATTTGCCACTAAACATTCATCCAAAATGTTAATTTTATTTCTATTTTTTTTGTTTTTAATTATTTTGGATACATAATAGCTGTTATATTTATGGACTGCATGTGACCTTTTGATTCAAGTGTAACATGTGTAATGATCAAATCAGGTAATAGAGGTATACATCACCTCAAAGGTTTATTATTTCATTGTGTTAGGAAATTTCAATTTCACTTATAGTTATTTTGAAATGTACAATAAATTATTAACTACAGACACCAGATTGAGCCACCTAACACTAGTCATTCTATCTAACTGTATTTTTGTACCCACTGACAATCTCCTCCATTTAACTGCTTCCCTTCTTTTTCAGCCTCTGGTAACCATCATTCTACTGTCTACCTCCATGAGTTCTATTTTTTGTTTTTAGTTCCACTGTTTTGCTTTAGGTCCTACATGTAAATGAGAACATGCAATATTCATCTTTCTGTGCCAAGCTTGCTTTACTTATAATGCTTTCCAGTAGTGCCCATGTTCTTGTAAATAACAGAATTTCATTCCTTTTTATTATTGAATAATATTCCATTGTGTATATGTAACACATTTTATTTTTCCATTTCTTCATCAATGGATATATAAGTAGATTCCATATCTTAGCTATTGCTAATAGTCCCACAGTAAACATGGGAGTGCACCTTTCTCTTTAATATACTGATATCCTTTCTTTTATACACATAGCCAGCAGTAGAATTGCTGAAATTATATAATACTTACATTTTCAGTTCTGTTAAGGAACCTTCATACTGTTCTTCATAGTAGCTGTACTAATTTGCATTATCACCAACAACATAAGAGGGTTTACCTTTCTTCAAATCCTCTCCACAATTCATTATCTGTCTTTTGGATAAAAGTCATTTGAACTGGGGTGAGATGATATGTCATTGTAGTTTTAATTTTCATTGTTTTGATAATTAATGATGTGAAACATTTTTCCATGTACCTTTTGGTCATTTGTATTTCAACTTTTGAGAAATGTCTCTTCAGATCCTTTGCTTATTTTTCTTTTTTTTGAGACCGAGTCTCTCTCTGTCACCCAGACTGGAGTACACTGGCGCCATCTTGGCTCACTGCAACCTCCGCCTCCCAGGTTCAAGCAATTCTCCTCCCTCAGCCTCCCAAGTGGATTACAAGCGTGTGCCACCATGCCTGGCTAATTTTTCTGTATTTTTAGTAGGGTCAGTGTTTCACCATATTGGCCAGGCTGGTCTCGAACTCCTGACTTTGTGATCTACCTGTCTTGACCTCCCAAAGTGCTGAGATTAGAGGCGTGAGCCACCGTGCCCAGCCCAATAATATTATTTTAGGCAGATAAAGTTTTTAAATATGTATTTTAATTTGTAAGTGATTAAATAGCTAAAATGCATGTGTGGAAGAAATTTGAGGATTTTTCATTGGTATTTTATATAGTATGACAATTTTCTAACCTTTATTATGAAACTCAGATTCTACTTTAAAATTCTTGTTCAAAAAATACCAGCATCTGATTCATCATGGTGTTAACATCAGTTGATTATCTTTACTTATGCAAGTTGTGATTTGCTTATTTCTTTTTAAGACGTGTGAGCTTATTTTTTAAAAATATATCTTAGACATCTGGTCTATTGTGTTAGGACACCCAGAATTTGATTTAAATATTTTATTTCATCAGGCAGTCACCCTGTTTAGGTTCAGCATGTGAGTCTTGGCCTAGTTTGTGGGCTGAGGGTCCAATGATAGTTTAATTTTCAGAATCTTTGCCGTGTCATTTTGGTTTACTTGGCTTACGTGGACACTGAAATGTCCATAAGCAGTAGATAGAATAAACAAATTGTATTATACTCAAATAATGGAATAACTTACAATTAAAAATAGGTTGATCTATGTAAACTCATGAATAAATTTCACAAGCATAATATTGAACAAAAGAAGCCAGGTATAAAACAATATATAATTCAATTTATGTGATTTTTTTAAAAAAAGAAACAGTGTAATCTAGAGTGATAGAAGTCAGAAAACTAGTTAATTCTGATTCATGGATTTTGACTAAGAAGTGGACATTGAAGACTTCTTGTATCTTGGAAGGTTTCAATATTCTATGTACTCATCTGGTAGTCTTTAATAAGAAAAATAATATGTGTATATATGTATATAATACATAATCAATTAGTACACATGTACAATTTGTACCCTTTTAATGTGGACTTTATGATATATATGCTATAAGTCAATAATTATGTAAATTTTTAAAGATATTTAACCTTTTTGTCAACTTTGTTTTAGTTTTTTTTTTTTAACTCTTTTATTGCATACATTTGAGGTTTCCAACATAATGTTATGGGATTCATACAGTTATAAAGATACATATAGATAGTACAATGATTACTGTGATTAAGCAGAATAACATACCTATCATCTTACAAAATTATTTTTGTATGTCACAAGAGACACTACAACCTTATTATGTATTATGTATTATATAACAAAATCCCTAAATTGGTTCAAAGATCTCTTAAAAATATCAGACATCCATGGATGCTCAAGTCTCTGATATAAAATGGCATAGGATTTGTACATAACTTATGCACATCCTCTCTTAAATTTTAAATCATTTCTAGGTTGTGCATAATACCTAACACATGTAAATGCTGTGCAAGTAGTTGTTTTATTGTATTGTTTGGAGAATTATGACAAGAAAAAAGTCTGTATATGTTCAGAGAAGATACAATTTTCTTTTGAATATTTTCAATTCATGGTTGGTTGGTTGAATTCATGGATGTGGAACCCATGGATATGGAAAGCTGACCATATTTCAAATTCTATGCTAGTGTGCCTATGAGTATGTAAAATTTTACTAATATGAGATTAAAATTAGCATATACTATCACTATATAGTTAATTTGAACTTTTAGAGTCATTTTGATCTCTTTATGTTCAATTCAATTGATCTTAAGGGAATAGAAAACGACAGGAAAACATAAGTAGTTCAGTCTTTTTCTTTATACTCTAACCATAAAAACAATGTTAATGTTAATTTTGAAACAATTCCTTATCATACATTTTAAATTAAATGTCAATTATATGAATGATGTGTGTACTTGTTTATTCATTTATTATATACATCAATTAAAAGTTCAAAAATATTCTTGACAGGGCCTTTTCACCAGATATTCTGATTTAATTGGTCTGGCATAGAGCACAAACATTGATATATTAAAATATATTATTCTTCTTTTTAATGTGTAGACAAGGTTGAGAACCACACAAAAGAATAATCAGCACAAAATTTTTGGTTTAAAAATGCTGATATAGATCAGCAAATAAATAAGTGTATGAAGTGTATGTACTATAGAGATACAAAAGTTCGGTTCCCACATCTTGCTGTTCTATTACAGCCTCGACATTGATTCCATTGATTCTAGTTTTCCATAGCATGGGGAATAAAATTATCTGTTTTACTGGTTACAACTGTGTAACTCTAATAGAGCTAAAGAAGAGTGTGGAAACATCCCTTGATGAAAATGTAAGCATCTTCCTTCCTTCTCTGTATTCATCTATCTATTTAGTGAGCGAGCACTCTAATCTATCTGATTACCTTCCTTTTTCTTTTTTCTCCTTCCTTCCTTTTTCATTTCTGCTTGTATATAGTTTATATAAAAATGTATATGTAACTTGGACGGTTTTAATTTTTTCCTTTCCCATTGATATTGGTTGTATTTTGTTCAGTCATGCTATATAAATCTGAAATGAAAGTGAGTTCTTACTGGATATTCTTTGGCTTATTATCAAGAGGTAAGCCCACACTAGAAATATGTTGGTAACTAGCCTATACTGTAAACCGAATTATCTTACACTACTGATGGGTTTTATTTGAATTACACACCTATGCATTTGATATATAAAATGTGAGTGGGTAGCGGTATACATTAGTTAGTATGAGAGATCTTTTAAAATGGCTCTTTTCTAGCTTAATATATTTTGTTAACTTTAAAGAAAAGAAGATATAGTTACTCTGTTTTTAGATGGCCGTAGTCATTGCTGAGATTACATTAATCCTGTGTTGATTGTAACTTTTATTTATTTATTTATTTATTTTTACTGCAG
This sequence comes from Homo sapiens, assembly GCF_000001405.40. Classification (NCBI taxonomy): domain Eukaryota; kingdom Metazoa; phylum Chordata; class Mammalia; order Primates; family Hominidae; genus Homo; species Homo sapiens. Next base: position 188,738,602 of record NC_000001.11, on the reverse strand, counting down.
TTGACCCTTGAACAATGTGGGTTTGAAATGCACAGGTCCACTTACACACATTTTTTTTCAGTAAATATATTGGAAAAATTTTTGGAGATGTGCAACAATTTGAAAAAAGCTCACAAATTGTGTAGCCTAGTAATATCAAAAATAAGAAAAAATAGGTATGCCATAAGGCATAAGACATATGGAGGTACAAGTCCATTTTGTCTTATTCTACCATAAAACCATGCATTTATGATAAAAAGTTAAAATTTGTCAAAACCTACCCGCAAATACTTACAGACTCTTCATGGGCACCATTCAGAATGGAGAGAAATGTAAACAACAGTAAAGATTCAGTATTAAATCATAACTGCATAAAATTAACTGTAGTACATAATGTGCTACTGTTGAAATTTCATAGCTGCCTATTGTTGCTATTGCAGTGAGCTCAAGTGTTGTAGATATCTACTTCAAATGCCAATTACCTCTGCCTAAGAAGTTCCTCTCTCAGGTAAATTGCTTATAGCAGCAAAAGGTGGTACCTCACAGTTCTCCTCAGCCTACTCAACACGAAGACAATGAGGATGAAGACCTTTATGATGATTCACTTCCATTTAACAAATAGAAAATATATTTTCTCTTCCTTGCAATTTTCTTAAAAACATTTCCTTTTCTTTAGCTTACTTTATTGTAAGAATACAGTATATAATATATATAACATAAAATATGTACTAATTAGCTGTGTTATCAATAAGACTTTCAGTCAAGAATAGGGCACTCATAGTTAAGTTTTTAGAGAGTCAAAACTTACATGTGGATCTTTAACTGCACCAAGTGTTACCCCCTCTAACTGCAGCTTCATCCAAGGGTCAACTGTATTTTAAATAGTATTTTTTTTAAATGAACAAACGATGTAATTGCATCTAAAAAAAGTTCTTAGGCTGGATAAGTCAGGGTTTTCCAGAGAAACAACAAAAAATATATATCTCTATCTATATTTAGATGTAGAAATACACAGGCTGGAAAGCTGATGATGTAATTACAGTCTGAATCTGAATGAACTCCAGGATAGCTGATTATGTAATTTCCAAAGCCTGAGTTCAAAGGCAGGAAAAGACCAGTGTCCCAGCTTGAACACAGTCAGGTTGATGTAGTACATTCTACCTTATTATATATTTTTTGCTCTATACAGTCCTTCAATGATTTAGATGAGACTTACCAACATCAGGGAGGGCAGTCTACTTTACTCAGACTACAAATTCAAAAGTTAATCTCATCCATTAACACTCTCACAGGCATACTCAGAATAATATTTAACTAAATATCTGGGCACCTGGTGGCTCAGTTAAGTAAATGTATAAAATTAACCATCACACAGGATTTTTGTTCAAACAGCTATTTAATTTTTTACATAATCATTTTAATTTACAAATGTTAAGATACTTTTGTTACTTAGTAAATTTATAGGGAATTATGCATTACATTCCTATGTATTCCTGAGTCTGGTTTGAATTTCTTTTTAATTCGATTTGTCATTCTATTTCTGCAAGTGTGTAACGTGATGGATATTGAGTATGAATATCTGTTAAAGAAAATGACATTTTGTCACATCAAAGTATTTGTCTAACCTCTTCTTACTTTTTCGTTGTCTGAATGAATTGTGGCCATATTTTACTCAACTTTAAAACATCCTATAACAGTTTTAATAAAAATATTTTGTATTTATGAGTTAATTTAGAGAGATAAAATCTTTACAACATTGAGTGTTCCAATCCTAAACAACATTGCATTTCCTTTATGTATTTTTAAATCCTGAAACAGGTTTTATATTTGTTCAAACATAGGTCCTGAACACTTAGATATTTTATATTTATTTCAGGGTTATTCATTTTTACTGACTTCTGATTCTTATTTTCTGAAGTGTTAGTTCCTTCTGTTAAGACTTGCAATTAAGAAACTGAAAATGTAGTTAAATTTAGTAGAGATTTGTGAGTGAAATCATTGAAATTTGAAAGCTGATATAACTTTCCTTAAGTTTCTCAACTGACACTGATATAAATTTTTTTTCAGACTTCAGCACTCTTTCTGTTTAAGTCCCCAAAATGTTTTTGAAGTAGAATTATAATTTAATGCTTAAATAATAGCTTTTATGGATGCTGCCCTTGGAGTCCCTATTTAATCCGATTGAAAAATACCAACTAAAAGAGCAGTTCATAGCCAAATCCTTCATTCTCTTTGCCATCATTGTAACACCTTTTTTGTTTCCTGTTTTATTATTTCTGCCTATTTGTTCACAGTTTTGTTTAGGCAGTAGATAATCTATAAGCTTGCAGCATTAAAGTGAAATTATATTTAAAAACTAAGATTAGTTTTACAGAATTATTTCCAGGTTCATACATCAAGGTAATTATTTCACATGCTTTAACAACAGTTGCAGATATTTTATTTAAATAATTAGTTTGTTAAAAATCATAATGTTGAGGCTAATCTTGACCAAGACTAATGCTGCTCTAAAAACCAACATACACAAAATTTTTCTTTGTTTTTCATTTGCAATATGCAGAATAATTTTTTTTGAAGATAGTAGGCTGAATAATGCTCTCCCTCCCCACAAAGATGTCCATGTCCTAATCACTGGTTCTATGAACGCTGCTTTGTATTTGTTGTTATGTTAAAGCTCTTTGGATGGGTTACCTGGAATAGTCTTGATTATCAAAGTTTACCTGATGTAATCAAAATATGAGACATAAAAGGAGTCAGAAGAGGTGATGTGATAATGGAAGCAGAGATTGGAGTTATATAATCGGAAGACGAAGGAAAGGGACACAAGCCAAGGAATACAGATGGCCTCCAGAAGGTGGCGAAAGCATGGAAACATGCTGCCTCTAGTGCTCCAGAAGGAACCAGCATGCCAACACCTTGACTTTAGCCCAGTGGAACTAATTTCAGGCTTCTGGCCTCTGAAACTGTAGAAGAATAAGTTTGTGTTGCTTTAAGCCATGAAATTCGTGACAATTTGTTAACAGCAGCAGTAAAAGTTAATAACAGACTGAAAAAGAAAATGTGGCCTCTGATCAGGTGAAGATAGTATAAACATTATTGAAGTCATCAAGAATTTTGGTTCAAGATATTACAAAACTATAGTCGGAATTACTAAAATGCAATATTTTTTTCTTCTGACTTCATCGCTAAACTCTCCTTTTCGTAGATGCATTTAATATTGTTACATAATATACTTTTATTTATGTAAGACTTAAGTTGAGGCTTGTTGAAATTCCTTTACAATTTTCTGCTCTGACATAATATTCCATCCAACTCTCCACACACTATTATTTAGTAACTATGAGAAATGACTAAATACTAGTAAGAAGCTAACAGAAAATCTACTCAGGTACACTCAAACAAAATAAAGCAAATTTATATAAATTAAACATTAAAAATAACTGAAAGAGAAAATACAAATTAAAATGATCATAAAATATACCTATCTGAAGGTCATGAAAATATTATTTTTGTCTTAGCAACACTATTTTATTTTAATATCCATATTAACAATTTTACCAGAGTTTGTCTTGCATGTGATTTGAACTATGGGTAAAGAATCAAACTTTTCAATGTGGCTCCCCATTTGACTCAGTAACATGTATTGTAAACAAAATCAATGTCTTATTATACCGCAATACTGCAATGTTATATTTTACCATAAAACACACAATGGGCTCTCAGGTACTGACTGTCCAGCTTAAGCAACAAATTATTATCATTAATTTGGAGTCCCTTTGGGTCTATCCCTGATTTGAACCTTTCATTCCACTTTTTATAACTAATGAATAGGCTTAATTTTGTTTATCATTTTTTATTTTCATTTAGTTTATTATATATGTTTATTTAAGAATTAGTATGCTTTTCAGAATATGTAATCTGACCAAATTTTGACAACAGAATGTAATATATATTTTAAAAAATTATTTTAATTGAAAGTTTTGTAAAATACATATGTAAACATTTCCTCATTTAAAATAATATTACATTAACAATATGGTATTCATCTATCCTTATGGAGTTTTAACTAGCTTACAAGCCTATGTTATTCTTTCAAGATCATTACGTGACTAATAATTATTATTTTAATAATTTTAAAGAGTGGCATAAATGTCAAGTAAAGAGAAATGTTACCTTTAAATCAATAATAAAGAAATTTCATTTTGGAGGCAAATTGCAAATCTAGCAATGATTTCTTCCCCTATCTGTATGGAGGCATTTTTTCAATGATAGTTTAGCTCCTCCTAAAGGGGATGGAGTCTTTTTAATTAACTGTAGACTCTGTACTTAACTATGTTAATTACCGTGACCAGTGGGATAATAGGCAACATGATGGGATCGATAGCTTAAAAAATTCTTTTTCAATAGCCTTGCTATTGAAACCAACTGTCCCATTTAACTGATGTTTATGGTTTATTTGAATAAACATAGAAATTTATCTTCTCAATCTTAAAGTTTGAGAAAGTCACAGTTTTTTTATCTGGGTTCCCTTCTCAGGAAACCAACCATCAGGCCTCCACAGACAGTATCAAGGAATTGAAACTTACCAGATCATCACATCTGGACAATAAGACACCAGACCCCTCATCCATCACGATTGCCTGACTACCTCCTTCCTATTGACCAAGTCCTCTTCCTTTCTCCTCCCTAATTTCTGTTTTGCTGCATGTAGTCACATTTCTTCCTTGCTATAGAAGCCCCTGATTTTAGTTGACCAAGGAGATGGATTTGAGACTGATCTCTCATTTCCTTGGCTGCAACACACAATTAAAGCCTTCTTCCCTGACAATACTCATTGTGTCAGAGATTGGCTTTTTGTGTAGTGAGCAGAAGGACCTAGAATGAACACCTAGAATTTTAAGAACACTCCCTCTTGCTGCTATTGAGTTTAGCTGATACATCAAAAGAACCCTCCAGAACTTCCTAGGTAAGCTCACCTGTCAGGTAGTTAGATAGACATTAGCAGCAAGGAAAGGGTGAGAAAGGAGAGCAGAAAAGCTGTCATGAAGAGCCCCCAGCCCACCTAAATTCAGCTGCCAAACAGCCCTAACTCCACTCTAACGGATGGAGTTTGTGGAAAAGTCTGTGGCCAGCACATCCTGTAGAAGGAGAAACTAGGGCACAGGTGGAAATTCCCTAAAGTAACAAATGCCCAATAACATAAAATTGTATCCTCAAGGCCACCCCAAACTCATCATACATCATTATAGAAAAACTTACAGATGGTTTTACCTCCTAGCCCCTGAGTGGGCTTTTCTGTATGAATTATGGATAGGAACACACACAGTTTAGCTTTAGTTATATAATCATAAACTGCCAATCAAATAACATGATCCTGTCACTCAGACACAGCCCAAAACTCAACTCCTCCTCAAAAATGCCATAAAAGCGCCTGAGCTCTGTAAAGAGGAGCTGATTTTGCTTCGCAGAAATCCGCCCACTCTCCTTTGAGAGTGTATTGCTATGCTTCAGTAAACTTTGCTTTGAGCTTGCATTGTGGTATTAATTTGCAATGCTGACTATCACAAGAGCCAAGATTGCTGGTCCAGAGCTCTGGCTCTGTTAATCTCCTTTGTTAAAGGATCCATCCCAAAACAGAATTTTCAATATCACACCCAACTTTGTGGGTGGGTCCCAGCTCACAATGCTCACTCAAAGCATCCTGAGATTTATAATTGACTATTTTTAAAGCCATTAAATTAAACATGTTTTTGTTTCTTATGTAAAGTGCAGTTGACACATTTTCCCCTATCTTATAGACTATCCAGTAAACCTACTGATATAGTTTGGCTGTGTCCCCACCCAAATCTCAAAATCTCATCTTGAATTGTAGCTCTCATAATTCCCACCTGTTGTGGGAGTGACCTGATGGCAGATAATTGAATCATGGGGGCAGATTTCCCCATACTGTTCTCATGGTAGTGAATAAGTCTCACGAGATCTGATGGTTTTATAAGGGGAAACCCCTTCCACTTGGTTCTCATTTCTCTCCTGTCTTCTGCCATGTAAGACCTGCCTTTCACCTTCTGCTGTGATTGTGAGGCTTCCCCAGCCACGCAGAACTGTAAGTCCATTAAACCTCTTTTTCTTTATAAATCACTCAGTCTCAGGTACATGTTTATCAGCAGCCCAAAAACAGACTAATACAGTAAATAGCAGCATTCCATCATCAAATGGAAGCGGTATATATGTGATCGGGCTCAGGCAGGTCCTGAGGGCACAAGTAAGTTACATGAGGAAGTGGCTCAAATGCCCATGGTCCCCACTCCTGCCGCCTTGCCGTCTGTCCCCCAGCCTGCACTGATCGCCTCACAGGGAGTTGCCTATGACATAGGAGTTCCCTATGACAGAGGAAGAGGAGACAAGGGCCTGGTTTACAGATGGCTCTGCACAATATGCAGGTACCACCCAAAAGTGGACAGCTGCAGCACTGTAGCCCCTTTCTAGGACATCTCTGAAGGACAGTGGTGAAGTGAAATCTTCCCAGTGGGCAGAACTTCGAGCAGTGCTCCCCTTTGTGCACTTTCCTTGGAAAAAGAAATGGCCAGATGCGTGATTATATACTGATTCATGGGCTGTCGCCAGTGGTTTGGTCAGATGGTAAGGGACTTGGAAGAAGCGTGATTGGAAAATTGGTGACAAAGAAATTTGGGGAAGACTTATGAGGATGGATCACTCTGATTGATCACAAAGTGTGAAGATATTGTATCTCATGTGAGTGCCCACCAAAGGTTGACCTCAGCAGAGGAGGATTTTAATAATCAAGTGGAAGGATAGGATGACCTGTTCTGTGGAAACCACTCAACCTCTTTCCTCAGCCATCCTTGTCATCATTCAATGGGCCCACGAACAAAGTGGTCATGGTAGCAGGGATGAAAGTTACACATGGGCTCAGCAACATAGACTTCTACTCACCAAGGCTGACCTGGCTACAGCCATTGCTCAGTGCCCAATTTGCAAGCAGCAGAGACCAACACTGTGCCCTCCATATGATACCATCCTTCAGGGTGATGGTATCCACTAGGTATCCACTAGGTAGCCAGCTACCTAGTGGCAGGTTGATTATATTGGACCTCGTCCAACATGGAAAAGGCAGCAGTTTGTCCTCACCAGAATAGATGCTCCGGATATGGGTTTGCTTATCCTACACCCAATGCTTCTGTCAAGACTGCCATCTGTGGCCACATGGAATGCCTTATCCACCATCACGGTGTTCTACATGGCATTGCCTCTGACCAAAGCGCTCACTTTACAGCTAAAGAAGTGCAGCAGGGGGCTCATGCTCATGGAATTCACTGGTCTTACCATGTTCCCTGTCATCCTATCAATCCAGAAGCAGCTGGATTGATACAAGAGTAATGGCCTTTTAAAGTCACAATTACAATACCAACTATGCAACAATACTTTGCAGGGCTGGGGCAGAGTTCCCCAGAAGGCTGTGTATGCTTTGAATCAGCATACAGTATATGGTACTGTTTCTCCCATAGCCAGGATTCATGGGTCCAGGAAGCAAGGGGTGGAAGTGGAAGTGGCACCACTCACCATCACTCCTAGTGATCCATTAGCACAATTTTTGCTTCCTGTTTCCATGACATTAGTTCTGCCGGCTTAGAGGTCTTAGTTCCAGAGGGATGAACACTGTTACCGGGAGACACAACAAATCTGGAAGTCAAGATTGCCACCTGGCCACTTTGGGCTCCTCCTACCTCTAAGTAAAACGGCTAAAAAGGGAGTTACAGTGTTAGCTGGGGTGATTGACCTGGATTATCAAGATGAAATCAATCTACTGTTTCACAATAGAGGTAAGGAAGAATATTTGTGGAATACAGGAGATTCATTAGGGCATCTCTTACCATTACCCTGCCATGTGATTAAGGTCAATGAGAGACTACAACAGCCCAATCCAAGCAGGACTACAAATGGCCCAGACACTTCCAGAATGGAAGTTTGGGTCACTTCAGCAGGTAAAAAACCACCACCTGCTGAGTTGCTTGCTGAAGGCAAAGGGAATATAGCATGCACAGTAGAGGAAGGTAGTCATCCATACCAGATACTACCACATGACCAGTTGCAGAAACAAGAAATATAATTGTCATGAGTATCTCCTCCTTATTTTGTTAAGAACATATTTGTGCATGTATACAGTTGTACCAAGAAAATACCTTCATTTTGTTTCCTTCTTTTTCTTTTGTCATGTGACATAAGATTTATTGACTTCATATCAGCATTTCAATGTTAACATTATGGAATTGCAATTGGGTTGGGGGTTGGCTCATTTCCAATTGCACAAGGAATAGCTGTATTATGTTAGCCATAATTATGACCTTATTATTGTCTTTATTTGAAGATTAGGCATGATATCAGGAGATGTGTGTGGGTTCAAGTTGACAAAGGGTGGACTTGTGACAGTTAATATTGAGTGTCAACTTGATTGGATTGAAGGATCCAAAGTATTGTTCTTGGGTGTGTCTGTTAAGGTGTTGCCAAATATTAACATTTGAATCAGTTGACTGGGAAAAGCAGACTTTTCCCAGACCTTCAATCTGGGTGAGCACAAATTAATCAGCTGGCAACACAGCCAGAATAAAAGCAGGGAGAAAACTGCAGAAAGACTAGACTGGTTTTGTCTTCTAGCCTACATCTTTCTCCCATGCTTGATGCTTCCTGCTGTCAAACATCAAACTCCAGGTTCTTCAGCTTTGAGACTCAGACTGGCTTCCTTGCTCCTCAGCTTGCAGCCAGCCTATTATGGCAACTCACCTTGTGATCCTGTGATTCAGTACTCCTTAATAAACTCCCCTTTATATATACACCTATCCTATTGGTTTTGTCCCTCTGTAGAATCCTGACTAATACACCTTCTTCCTATAAAGTACCTAAATATATGATAAAACATGGTGATACATATATTTTAAAATATGGGAGTAAATTTGAAAGACAGAAAAGGAAATTACAAACAACAAATGAGCAAGATGAAGACAAATATAGAACGGAAGTAAGTCAAAGCCAGTAGCAACTATGAGGTTCTTGAATATCTCAGGACATTTCAGAGGTTGTTTGTTTCCTTCTTTTAAAAAAAAATTCATCAGCGGACAATATACAAACACATGAGCGTACAATATGGAAAACTGCAGTAGTGCAGAGTGACCTCAGTATAAAACTGAGATCCTCAAAGATCCCTACCTCCAGTGAAAGGATAAACTAGACTAAAATCTTCCTTTGAAAGACAAGATATCCTTGCAAATTTATAACAACCAGATTTTACATAGGATGTGGGTTGGATTCCATATCACAATCCAAATAACTATAAATTTAGATATGAATTTAAGGTAGTGCCAAATGGCTTAGTGCCCTCTGTGTCTGACTGAAGCAAGCAGAGTTCTCTGTCAATAATTCAAGCCTCAAACTAAATCTTATGGTATTCAACATGCAAAGCAGCAATGAATACAAATTCTTCAATAAATTCTATGAAAAATGAGAAAGTCAATGTGACTGAGAGTCTGAACAACAACTAAACAACAGAATCAGAGCAATGAGCAATTCTTTTATTGGAAATATCAGCTGTGTATTTATGTTTATCATAACTAAAAAATAAAGAAGAGAATGAATCAAGGCATTAAAAACTATAAAATATGGCATGGATATTTGGAAAAAATGGAAATAAAATAGAAATTTTAGAAATAAAATATTGAAGTTAAAAAACACGAAAAAAAGTAACAAAAATAAAAATTTCTGGAGATGAGATTAGCATACTAGACTCAGCTGAAGAGAGATTTGGTGACTAGAGGTAAAGCCTAATACACTGTCTAAAATTCATTCCGAAAAATAAATAAAAACTATGCAATGAAAGGTAAAAAGCATCGAGTGAATAGTGATAAGACATATGTGAAAGGAGTTTTTTGTTTGTTTGTTTGTTTTGTTTTGTTTTTCTGAGACGGAGTCTCATTCTGTCGCCCAGGCTGGAATGCAGTGGTGCCATCTTGGCCCACTGCAACCTCTGCCTCCCGGGTTCAAGTTATTCTCCTGCCTCAGCCTCCGGAGTAGCTGGGATTACAGGCATGCACCACCACATTCAGCTATTTTTTATTTTCGTTTATTTATTTTTTTGATAGAGACAGGGTTTCACCATGTTGGTCAGGCTGGTCTCGAACTCCTGACCTTGTGATCCACCCATCTCAGCCACCCAAAGTGCTGGGATTACAGGCATGAGCCACTGTGCCCAGCCGTGAAAGGAGTTCTTAAATGAATAGAGAGAAAGGAAAGATCAACTACTTAGGCCAGTAATTGCTAACATATACCTGATAAAAGACATGATTCCTGAGATCCATCAAAGTCACCAAATTTGAAGTAGAAAAAAATAAATAAATCTATTCTTGGTATATCATTGAGAAATATTGTTCAACCAAGGACAGAGCAAATATCTTAAAATTAGACATAAGAAAAATCTATCTTATTTCCAAATAAACAACTGAAACTTGTGTAGGATAGCAAAACAACACAATTAAAGGTTGAAAACTGTGTATTGGTTATTATTATGGTCCTAAGAATGAAATAACTGTCAGTTTAAAACTCTATACCTAAAGACATTCTCTTTCAATTATAGGGTTAATAATCAAGATATTTCAAAGAACCACCACGGAGAAATTAACTTCCAAAATGCCATCTCTAAAAAAAAAATTAATATGTATTTCAAGAATAAATTATTATAGAGGGAAAATTCAAGATGCAAGCAGAAATGTCAATATAGAATATAATAAACAGGCAATTCTACAGAGAGATTGACCTGCATAAAATCTTAACATGACACCTGTACTCCCAGCACTTTGGGAGGTGGAGGCGGGTGGATCACCTAAAGTCAGGTGTTCGAGACCAACCTGGCCACCATGGTGAAACTCTGTCTCTACCAAAAATAGAAAAATTAGCCGGGTGTGGTGGTGAGTGCCTGTAGTTCCAGCTACTCAGGAAGCTAAGGTAGGAGAATCACTTGAACCCAGGAGGAGGAGGTTGCAGTGAGCCAAGATCACACCACTGTCTTCTAGCCTTGGCAGCAGAGTGAGATTTTGTCTCAAAATAATAATAATAATAATAAAAGAGAAGATCATACGAAATGAAAAGGAGACTTCTGCATTATAGAGATTTAAGAGTCCTATATGGATCAGAACAATACTATTAAGATCAATTTTAAATTAAATACTATAAGTAATTAAAAACATTGAGATTTATAACATAAAGGAAAATACAATCTCAGTAAAAACAGAAAAAATAGCAAATGAATATTATAGAAAAGAATAACTTGAGAGAAATAAATAAGACATATTATCACCAAAAATATATTAATGGTAAATTTTTCCAATCACAGAGAAAGCATGAAAGAAAAAATGACACTTTAGGAGGCCAAGGAGGGCAGATCACGAGGTCAGGAGTTTGAGACCAGCCTGGCTAATAGATAAAACCCTGTCTCTAAGAAAAATACAAAAATTAGCCAGGCGTGGTGTTGCACACCTGTAGTCCCAGCTACTCGGGAGGCTGAGGCAGGAGAATCGCTTGAACCCAGGAGGTGAAGGTTGCAGTGAGCCAAGATTGCACCATTGCACCCCAGTCTGGGCGACAGAGCAAGACTCCTTCTAAAAAAAAAAAAATGAAAACATGATTTTATTTTAGCTACAAGAGACACATTTAAAACATAAAAAAGAAATATAAATTAAAAAGTTGTAAATAAATAGGAGAAAAAAGGTTTGCTATATTGAAAATAAATTTTTAATTAAGAAGAACACAAAAATAATTACAAATGTCTATACAAATAAGCCTTTCAAAAATATACAGAGAATATGGACAGAACAAGGAATATTGATTAGAAGATATTAATACATGTTTTTCAGGAAGTGGTAGATAAGCATATGAATATCAATAGGATTTAGTTTTAAAAATACATCTTATGCTTTTAAACATTGAGATATTTAAACGTTTTAATAATGAGATATACTTTAAAACTGCTAGTCTATTGAATATATCTACAACACAAGACTTAACAATGACAGTTGTCATCCCTGAAAGTTCTAATAATATACAAAACTTACAATTCATTGCACCATAAGTTGTCTCAACAAGTTTCCAATTACTTTTACTCTGAAATTTATATTATCTATGATGCAAATTACATTAGAAAGCAAAACAACAACCACAAAAACAACAACACTGACAACAAAACTGTCTAAAAGTGGTTGATATTTTAAAATACAACAGAATTATTATTGAACCTAAGAGAAATATCATGTTAATAAGAAGATATTTATAGATGAATATAAAAATAATGGTATAAAAATGTTATATACTGGGAATACATATATATTTTTAAATTATTAACTAGTAAAGAAAGAAAAGAAATTTAATACATTTAATACTTCAAAAGTGAGGAAAATATATCAGAATAACTCCTGGGAAATTACTAAGTAGGATATGATAAACATAAAAGCAGATATTAATAAATAATAAACACAAAAATTAGACAAGACTAACACACCCAAATGTTTATCTGAAGCAAAATGGATTCAGTAGAGACAAATAAGGAACAAATAAATAATATTGGGAGAGAAAATCATTTCATAGCTAGAGATACATCAGAAATTAAATACAACAAGGGAAATTGTGAACAAATTTATTCAAAATAATTATAATCTTACCTGACATTGACAATTTTCTAGGAAATATAACTTCCTACAACTGACACAAAAATACAAGAAAATATGAATAAAACTATAAACAAAAAATGGGAGGACTGTTATTAAAAATGTGTGATATAAACTTTTTAAAAAGCTTTGTTAAACTTTTTTTCAAAATTAAACACCAGTGCCAAATTATTTCAGGGGTGAATTTACTAATCTTTCAAAAAGAAGGAATAACTATAGTCAACAAACTATTACAAATTATGGTGAATGATGGTGTTTATTTTAGTATATTGTTATATACCTGTGTTATTTACATATTTATATATTATATTTAGTATGCATGAAGTCTTCTATAATTACATGTTTTAAAATGCTTCTGACTATTATTTTGGTGTAGTTCATAAGATAATATTATAAACATAAAACCTGTTGCTAGGTGAATGGATAAATAAATTTGAGTATAATAACACTAGTAGGATAACATAAAACAATACAAACAAAAAAACTATTGCTATTTTCAGTCACACAGACAAACTTTTACACAAGCATGCAAATAATTTTTTGAGTGGCAAAGCAAATACCTACAGGCTAAATACAGAGCAGCATACTTTAAAACATTTTGATAGCAACTAAAATTTGAAGGTTATATTGCATAGGGCAGTATAAAAATGAAGAGCGATATTAAAAATATATATCACCTATATTTATATCTAGATAAAGAGAAGATGATAGATATGGAGATAGAGATGTATTTGATATATGTGTCTAAGGGAATACAAATAATGGGAACATAAATATGAATATAAATAAAAATGCAGACACATAAATTTAATGAAGAGTTAAGGGTAGTTGTTCCTGTAGAGGAAGCTAAGGAAATAGGAAGAAAAAAAATACATAGTTTAGAATTAGTGATACATGAAATTGTTTGGTTTATGGTGGGTTCATGGTGTTTGATTACATTATTTATATTATGCATTGAATTAGTAAAAGATAGACATGGACAAATGACTTTAATTATGAACCAAATTAGCATGGCCAGTCCTATTGTCACATCTCATCACTATGACACTGACTGTTGCACCTCTCTCTTTCACTCGTAAGGATACCTGTGCTTATTATATTGGTCCAATCATAATAATTTCCCACATCTTCATCTAATTTGCAAATTTAATTCCATCTGCACACTTAATTACTCCACGGCATATAACATAACACATTTAGAAGTTTCAGTGATAAGACCTAGACATTTGGGTGTGGCGTATTATTCTGCCTACAGCAGAAAGAATGGAAGTCATAGTGATTTTCAGTTAGAGTCATCCATGTTAGGTAATAAAATTTTGAAATAATTTAAAGAAATAAATAATAAAATAAAATTTCAAAATAAATAATGAACCTAGTCTTTCTGAGGTACAAAATTACGACTCTTATTTGTTGATTTTTGTCTATATTTTGTGTACTATGTCTCAAAATTACCAATCCAAGTTTAAATTCTCATACCGCACATAAAGGAATTAAGACATCATTTTAAATGGTAGATTGACTGGTAAAAAAAATTTCCAGTTTAGCATAGCAAAGATCTATTATCTAATCTAAAAATACACATTTAATTGTCTAAAACTACCTTCAAGAAATCAATTTTACATCAAATGAAGGAGCCTATGGTGAAAATATGTTGTGAAAGACAAAGGGAAAACTTGAGACATGCAGGCAGCTGCTGAGCGATCTCTTTTTGTTGCTGCTCTCTTTTCAAATAGGTTTATCTTACAAGTGTCAGGGGATGTCAATTTTAACAATTTTATCCTCTTAGGTGGGTTCTATTAAGGAACTATCATCATGATCAGTGATATTTTATGAACATTTTATTCATGGTAGTTTGCCACTTCATTCCTCATGTTGTTTAGACTCCTTCAAAAGTAATAGAAATTCACTTTTTTTTTTTTTTTGGAAAAATGACACTTGATATTTTATTCAAGCATGTCAAATCTGATTACCAGGACCTTGTCCTGTTAAAATAAGAAAAATGGTATGCTAGGATATGATTCATACTTCATATGCCAGGGAGCCCCCCAGAATAGAATATGATTCAGTTTAATAATTTATTGCATGTGTTATGTGAATTTCATTGAAGATAGGCCATTTGGAAGTGACTTCAGTTACTTAAACACTGTATAATTATCATTTTCAGGATCTTCACATCTAGTGAGCCACAACACCTTTTTTCTTTTCTTCTTACTAAAGTGGTCAGGCTTTAACTCTGGGGATTCAGAGAAAAATGAACACGAGTGAATGCCCAGCCAGTTTTGATAATTAATGGAAATAGTGTGATGATTCAGAAAGAAATAATCCAGTGTATTTGGGGATGGAAGGATAGATATGTGTTAGGTTGAAATAATAGAGTACTGAATAGGAAAACAAAACATAAAAAAAAAAACAAAGGATGTTGGGTATGATGGCTCAGCCTGTAATCCCAGCACTTTGGGAGGATGAGGTGGACAGGCACATCATTTGAGGGCCAGCAGTTCGAGACCAGCCTGGCTAACTTGGTGAAACCCCATCTCTACTAAAAATACAAAAGATTAGCTGGGTGTGTTAGCACGCACCTGTAGTTCCAGCTACTTGGGAGGCTAAGGCACAAGAATTGTTTGAACCTGGCGGATGGGGGTTGAGGGCAGTGGGGAATGTTGCAATGAGCCAAGATCATGCCACTGCACTCCAGCCTGGGCGACAGAGTAGGACTGTCTCCAGGAAAAGTTTTAGGATCAGAGGAAAGGTGCAACATGTAAAAGGAAATATCCTTTTGTTTTGGATGTAGGCAAAGGAAAAGACAGAGTGATAAATACAGGACCTAAAACGTGAAAATATTATGATACAAACAGAAATTAAACCTATATTTTGCAAAATGAGAAAAGAACAAAATAGGAAAAATATCCTCATATTAGAAATTTTAGTAAATATAAAACAATGTACATATAAATTAGAAGAGGTGGTTTTAATGTAAGATATTTTAAGATAGATGTTATTAAAGATAACTATAATATCCTGATAAATTAACAAATTATAAAGAGATAATGCTCCACGTAAAAACTATCTTGCAAGTTGGAAATTTCCTACTTAATGAAAATTACTTGACTACAAAACTTTTGAATATTCAGCTTCCTTGGATTCTGAGATAGGAAGACAGGTTATTATTACTGATAAGTATAGTATGTGATTCTTCTATTATATATATCTATATAAATCAACTCTTGTATATTATGGCCTTTAATATTTCATAGATTTAGATTTATTAACTTGCTTATAATATAGACAGGCTTAATTATTCATGTAACTCACTTTTGAGACTAATGTTATCAATTCTAGAAGTTATGGTTAAATATTATAATCATTAAAAAATAATGAGCCATAACACATATTTCCTACTATTGTTGAATGATAACTCCAGTTATTGGTAATATTTCTAATTGGTGTAATTCATTGTATATTGAAATAACTTTAGGAAATTTATGTTTCAGTATTTTTATCTTGGTAATTTTTTAAAATATCAATATGATTTTTGAATAGTTCTCTAGTGGAAACACTGCTAATGAATTCTAAAATAAGTATAATGAAGAATGAGGCACAAAGAAAAGCAATCCATAGCTTGAAAATTACTACCTCATTTTATTTTACAAGTTCTGATATATTTATAAATTGCTGAAAATATTATGCATTATACCCATTGAAACCAATTAAAGGTTTCCAATGATATATAAAACAGCCATATGCCTGATAGTTTTTACTGTTACAGGATATATTTTCAACTAATATTATGTAGTACAATTCATATAATTTTCCCATTTTTAATACTTGAACTTAATATTAAGCCACTTAGACAAAAATTAATACAAACAGGTTTATCAGTTTAATTCACCCTTAAACTCAAATTTCCTGGTTAGTGGAAAAGATACTTGTTTTACTAAATAAAGATGTAGTGTAAAGAATTTTTATCATAGACATGCTGCTTAATAAATTGACTTTGGTTTTCTAAAACTTATTTAAAAAAATATTTGCATGAATGCCGAATTCAAATATCTAAGTAGTCATATATAGAATTAAGTAGAAAAGTTACTATGATTTCAGGGACACTGATGATTTAGGGACAAATTTCTCAAATATCCTGTGAGAATGCATCAAGATGTGTAATTTTTAACTCCTTTGAATCAGGGAAATGAGAACCTGATGATCATTTATTAGAAAAGAAAATCATTTTTCAAAATGTGATGAGCATAAATGATATAATATTAATTCATTTAACTATAACTTTTAGTAAAAATAAAATTTAAAACACAGAAAGGCTAAATTTGATGGCAAATGAGATACATACCCCCTCCCAACACACACACACCTGTATGCATGTGGACATAAACACATATACACACACACACACACACACACACACACACACACACACAGAAACACAGAGAGACATGATGAAGCATTAACAGAGTAAAGAATCCTGGATGAGAATCTATAGTGAGTACCTCTTGGTGGCCATAAAACATTTTTAAAAGACCTCAGTTTTTGGAGACGAGAGAAAAAAGTAGAGTGAATACAGTCTTGCCTTCATTAAAAAAAGTTTTCAAAAGGAAAAAACATTAAATTATTTTCAAGCCTCACTCTTTACATTGGTATTCATTCATTAACATGAAATGAGATAGATATGAACATAAGTTAGGCATACAACTATGTATTTATCTAACATACTTGTTCAAAGTGTTAATAAAAATTAGGAATAAATAAATAAATATACCTGGAAGGATGACACTCCTGGATATGATCTTGTATTTGATATTGAATTAAAGCAACATTATGCATAAATAAAACAAAATTTTTAAAAAAATATTAAAGTCAAGTAGAATTCATCTATGGATCCATCTGGTGCTGGACTTTTTTTTATTGGCAAGTTTTTTGATTACCATTTCAATCTCACTGCTGGTATTGGTGTATTCAGAGTTTCGATTTCTTCCTGGTTTTATCTAGGAGGACTGTATATTTCCAGGAATTTATCCATGTCCTTGAGGTTTTCTAGTTTGTGTGTAAAGGTATTTATTGTAGCCTTGAATAATCTTTCTTATTTCTGTGTTATCGGTTGTAATATCTCCCATTTTAGTTCTAGCAGAGCTTATTTGAATCTTCTTTCTTCTTTTCTTGGTTAATCTCACTAATGTTCTATCAATTTTATTTGTCTTTTCAAGGAACCAGCTTTTTGTTTCATTTATCTTTTGTATTTTTGTTGTTGTTCCAATTTCATTTGGTTCTGAGCTGATCTTTGTTATTTATGTTCTTCTGTTGGGCTTCAGTTTGGTTTGTTTTTGTTTCTCTAGTTCCTTGACAGAATTGGTACCAATCCTACTGAATCTATTTCAAAAGATAGAATAAGTGGGAATCCTTTCTAAATCATTCATGAAGGCAGTATAAACCTAATACGAAAAATAAGAAAGGACATAACAAAAAAAAGGAAACTACAGACCAATATCCCTGACAAGCAGAGATGCAAAAATCCTGAACAAAATACTAGCTAACCGAAACCAACACCGTATCAAAAAAATAATCTAACATGATCAAATGGGTTTCATACCAGGGATGCAGGGATGCTTTTACATATGCAAGTCAATAAATATAATACACCACATAAACAGAATTAAAAACAAAAATCATATGTTTATCTCAATAGATGCAGAAAAAGCATTTGAAAAATCCAGCATTGGTTTTTAACACCCTCGCCAAAATCGGCATACAAGCGAACATATCTAAAGGTAATAAGAGCCATCTATGACAAATCCACAGCCAACATTATACTGAACACAGAAATGTTGAAAGCATTACCCTTGAGAACTGCAAGAAGACGAGGATGCCCACTTTCATCACTTCTGTTCAACATAGTACCAGAAGTCCTAGCCAGAGCAATCAAACAAGAGAAAGGAATAAAGGGCATCCAAGTCAGTAAAGAGGAAGTGAAACTGTGGCTGTTCGTTCATGATATGTTCACATACCTAGAAAACTCTAAAGACTCTTCCAAAAAGCTCCTAGATCTGATAAATGAATTCTTAAAATTTCAGGATACAAAATTAATGTAAACAAACCAGCAGCAGAATACAAAATTAATGTACACAAATAAGTAGCACTGCTATACACCAACAGCGACCAAACTGAGAATCAAATAAATAATTCAATCCCTTTTACAATAGCTGCAAACAAATAAAAATAAAATACTTAGGAATATGTGTAACCAAGGAGGAGAAAGACCTCTAGAGTGAAAACTACAAAACACGGCTGAAAGAAATCACAATGACACAAACAAATTGAAACACATCCCATGCTCATTGATGGGTAGAATCAATATTGTGAAAATGACCATACTGCCAAAAACAGTCTACAAATGCAATGCAATTCCCATCAAATTACCATCATCATTCTTCACAGAATTAAAAAAAAAATCCTAAAATTTATATGGAACCATAAAGTGCCGGCATAGCCAAAGCAAGACTAAGCAAAAAGAACAAATCTGAAGGCATCACATTCCCCGACTTCAAACTATACCACAAGACTGTAGTCTCCACAACACCAAGGTACTGGTAATAAAAATAGGTACATAGACCAATGGAACAGAATAAAGAACCCAGAAGTAAAGTCAAATACTTACAGCCAATTGATCTTCAAGAAAGCAGACAAAAACATAAAGTGTGAAAGGACACCGTATTCAACAAACGGTGCTGGGATAATTGGCAAGCCACATGTAGAAGAATGAAGCTGAATCCTAATTTCTCACCTTATATAAAAAGCCACTTAACATGGATCAAAGACTTAAATCTAAAACCTGAAACCATAAACATTCTGCAAGACAACATCAGAAAAAGTATTCTAGACATTGGCTTACGCAGAGTTTATGATCAAGAACCCAACAGCAAATACAACAAAAACCAAAATAAAGAGATGAGACTTAATTAAATCAAAAAGCTTTTATGTAGCAAAAGAAATTATCAGGAGAGTAAACAGACAACCCACAGATTGGGAGAAAATTTTCACCAACTATGCATTTAACGAATAACCAATATCCAGAATCTACAAGGAGCTCAAACAAATCAGCAATAAAATAATAAATAATTTCAACAAAAAGTGTGCTAAAGACACAAATAGACAATTCTCAAAAGAAGATATACAAATGGCCAACAAACATATGAAAAAATGCTCAACATCACTAATTATCAGGGAAATGCAAATCAAAACCACAATGCAATACTACCTTACTCCTGCAAGAATGGCTATTAATTAAAAAATAAAAATAAGTTAAGTGTTGGCATGAATGTGGTAAAAGGGGACACTTTTAGACTGTTAG
Organism: Homo sapiens; assembly: GCF_000001405.40. Lineage (NCBI taxonomy): Eukaryota > Metazoa > Chordata > Mammalia > Primates > Hominidae > Homo > Homo sapiens. The sequence goes on along the minus strand of NC_000001.11, from coordinate 188,718,544 downwards.
TAATCCCACTACTGTGTATCTACCCAGAGGAAAGAAGTCATTATATGAAAAAACACTTGCACATCCATGTTTAGAGCAGCACAATTTGCAATTGCAAAAATATGGAACCATCCCAAAAGTTCATCAATCAACAAGTGGATTAAGAAATTGTGATGTACACACACACACACACAAACACACAGCCTAGAATACTACTCAGCCATAAAAGGGAAAGAAATAATGGCAACCTGGATGGAATTGGAGACCATTTTTCTGCGTGAAGTAATTCAGGAATGGAAAACCAAACATCGTATGTTCTTATTATGAGTGGGAGCTAAGCTATGAGCACACAAAGGCAGTATAATCATACAATGGAGTTTGGGGACTTAAGAGGGAAGGGTGGGAGGAGGGTGAGGGGTAAATAACTATACATCCGGTACAGTGTATATTGCTTGGGTGATGGGTGCACTAAAATCTCAGAAATCACCACTAAAGAACTTATCCATGTAACCAAACACCACTTGTTACCCAAACACTATTGAAATAACAATATTTAAAAAAAATAAAATCAGTTAATAAATGGTTACTTTTGGTGTAGCATAATTATTTCTAACAGTTAATATGAATAATGAATTCAAGAGGGCAATATTCTATCTCAACACATTCCATCTCTTTAATATTTTCTCTCCATTCCCTCTGATTTTCAGATGCCTCAAAACACCTGTGTGATAAAAGCCAACCATCCCCTAAAAGAAGGACTGCAACATCAGAATCCTAATGTTAGAAATTAATCATTTGAGTAAATTAACCATGAGAATGGGGACATTCCTTGTCACCTAAGTTTCTAAAGAGCTATATCCGATATTTGGACTGTTTTTAAATTTTAGAATTGAATTGAATGTTGCGGCAATGTTCGATGTTGTTCTTGTAGAGTATTTGTATTTTCCATTGCCATGGTGAGAGAATAAGCTTAGTTTTAGTTTCTGTTTTTGTTTTCTCATTACAAATTTTCATGAGTAATATTGTTCATGAGCATCTCACTACTTCAAAATCACTTGGAAAGGAAATCAATTTCACCAGAAAAAGCCATTTTTTTCACTCTTCTTTGTAAAAGAATTGGTGGAGTCTGTTGTCAAAATCTTCAGAGCAAACTCTTTCACTGTAATAAATGTAATGCAAATCTCCTTTGCTGTCCTCCAAATTTTACATACCAAATATGGGAATCAATTCCTCAGTGTCTAAGATGTATTTCTAAATTGAATAAAAATCAACTGCTGTGGAAAAAAAGAAAAACAAATGTATGCACGCACACACACACATATACGTAATTTTATGTCACTATTTTTTAGAATAAAAGACTATATTCTTTCTGGAACAGAAATACTAATAATTTTTTTCCTAAATTCACATTAGTTTGGGAATTATGAATTGAAGGGCCTCCTATGATTAATGTGTCTATATCATTTCTAGATAAATTTAGCATTTTTCTAGGTTTTTGAAATAATATGTGTGACAGTTCTTTCTGAAAGGGAAATATGATTCAGTCTCAAAAATCACAGTCCATGTGCTCAATCTATGTGCTCAGTCTACGTGCTCAATTATTTACTAGTAATGCATTCTCTATGATTTAAAAACAGAGCAAATGCTATTTGATATCATGTTGCATAATATTAGAGTATAAGTTAGTTCATTATTTATAAATACCTTAATGTGTGGTGTACAAATATATTCATTATTCACTTTTATTTATTATAAATACATTGTTGCTTTGTGAAGCAATTACTGTTTGGGAGGATTCTATCTATCTATTATCCCTCTCTCTCTCTCTCTCTCTCTCTGTCTCTGTCCATCCAGAGCTATCTATCTACAGCTACCTTTCCATCTACCCCTAAAACAAATATGAATTATATTCAAGGCTTCGCTGTGCAAAGTATTTCCTGTTATCATGACATTCTAAAATGACCACATAACTGGTTCACATTAGGGAATCACCAAGTTATAATATCTGTTTATGACAAAACTAAGAATCACTATTGAGTGGCATCATTTACACTATGAAAGGAGATAACGTCAGAGGTTACAACTAGATGTGTAAAAACTGAAGTGAGAAATAATAGTACTTCAAAATTAAGGTATTTGACCCCAATATTTAGATCCATTTAGGTACCCAATCACATTTTTCTGCTTACTAATGGCCTTTGCTTTTTGCTCCAATAAATAAATAAAAACTATTACTTTAATTAAATTTTCAGTGAAAATTAATTAAAAATCTGTACTAACAGAAACTGGCAATATTCAAACCTGCCTTTAATGAATTGGCCATGATTTTTTTAATTGACCAAATTATTATGGCTTAGTGGTGGCTATACTATGAGGATTAATTCCAAATGACTTGGAATCAGCTTGACCTGTGCTAATAAAATAATGAAGCTTTGTGGCACTGACTCCTGGTCAAGGCACAAAACATACTGTGTAAATGTTTTGTGTATCTATAATTATAAAGAGTTGGGGGAGGTTTGTCCCAACTTATCAGAATTTTTATTGATGACTGTGAAAGTGACATTTTTTGCTTGTTTTTTGTGAGATAGTTTTTCCCTTTTTTCCCACCTCTCCCCCCATTCCTCCAGGTCCCTGCTGTTGAGGCTGATTGCAGAGAAGCAATAATAAGAAGGACTGTATAAAAACACCTGGAAGAAACTCCATTCTTTTATCTTCCTGGTTTCCAGGTGTTCCATGCACACATCTATTGTATTTGATCTCAGAGAGAAAATGCATTCTGCCAAGGCTCTTACAGAGGGAGGCCAGTAGGAGGCTACAGTTAATGTCACCAGATCCCTGGCTTAGTGATATCGTTTGACTGTGTTGCATATCTTTTATCTAATTATGATATAGTTTTTCTATAATAAACCTTTTAAAATTGTCACTGTTAGTGAAGTAGCATTTAAACAATAAATATTATCTCAAAAATTATTTAATATTAACATCAATATAAATTGACATGTTGAAACTCAATCTTTTAGTTGAATAAAGGATCAATTCTTTTGACAAAATTTGTTCACAAATTTAGACTTCATGGTAATAGCTCCTATAAAAATCATAATAAAGGAAGGCATAAATAAGATATAGATTGAATAAGAATCAATTCAAAAAATTGAATTTTAATTTATACAAAGTGATATGGTTTGATTCTGTGTCCCCACCAAATCACATGTAGAAATGTAATCCCCAGTGTTGAAAGTGGGGCCTGCTGGGAGGTGATTGGATCATGGAGGTGAAGTTTCCATGAATGATTTAGCACCATCCTTTTGATGCTGTCCTCATGATAGTGAATGAGTGAGTTATCATTTGATCTGGTTGTTTTAAAAGTGTGTAGCACCTCCCCACTTTCTCTCTTAGTCCTGCTCCTGCCATGTAAGACATCTGCTCTTGCTTTGCCTCCCACCATGAGTAAAAGCTCCCTGAGGCCTCCCCAGAAGCAGATGCTACCATCATACTTCATGTACAGCCTGCACAACCATGAGCCAATTACCAAGTCTCAGGTCTTTCTTTATGGCAGTGCAAGAACAGATTAATTTTCTTTATATAATAAATTACCAAGTCTCAGGTACTTCTTTAGCGTGTACAAGAATGGATTCATAGGGACAGGAAAATCTGTGTCAAAAATTAGTCCATAAAGTAAGAATTAATAAAGTTGCCTTAATGGAGTTTCTTCTAGAAAGGATTTTTCGACAAAAGTGTATAAAATGTTTATAAAATAATTTTAAAATGTTTATATTCTTAAAATATAAAATATTTATAAAAATTTGGTAAAAATGTTCTTATCCATAGCATGAATTTAACATCTTTTTGTCAATACAGTAGAGACAAATTATGTACCATTTCTAAATACTAGCTTCAAACACTGTTACAGTTAGGATAGCCTCCTATGTTACAGCAGATTAGTTTTTGTATGCTTCAAATAATTTTGATGTGCTTTTTTTTAATGTGTGAAGTTGCTTTGGCCTATGGGTCTCTAGTATTTTTATATCCAACAAGGTTATCTTTTTTTGTTTGCTTCTGAAATTATTCGATGTTTAACCATAAAACACTTATAATAGCATTTGAATAAAAATATGTCATTGTATTAACTGTGCAAAATATTTGCCACTACTTATTACTGGGGAAAGGCTACTACTTCTAATTACCTGATTTTTTTTTGTCCTATCTCTTTGTTTGTATTATGCAAATCTATATTACGATTTCTTGTGCTTAATGTTCTTTAAAACCCCATAGTCTCCAAAATGATGTTATCTCGTCAAGTCCTTGCAAGAAATATGATTAATATATTCTTTAGGATAAAAATGATGAAACCTATAAGAAAAAAATGGGAGAATTTTATACTTGGTGGAGTAGTATTTAAGACTGTTCTAAACCTCTAAGTATTTTAAGTATGTTAATTACAATTATTAGGTTATGGATTATTTTTTCCTAGATTACTTTACCTACACACACGTCATCCACTGTAGTAGTTACTAGATACTGAGAACTTAAAATGTGGCTTGTTTTAATTGTGATGTCATGTAAATATAAGACACATATCAGATCTTAAAGATTTTGTGTGAAAAAATGTAAAAGCTCAATTATGTTTTATAAATTGGTCGTGAAAGGACAATATTTTAGATACAGCATGCTAAATAAAATGTATAACTAAAATTAATCTTAGCCTCTTCTTTTTACTTTTTTTTTAAATGAGACTATTAGAAAAATTTGAATGACATATGTTGGTTATATTAACTTGTTACTCAGCAGTGCTGCACTAAACAATTTGACTTTGCCTGAAAACAAGTTTTATTTGAAAGAGCGAAATGCAAGAGAGAAAATGTTGCTATTATATTTGCATTAAGTTTCCATAGTTCCTACATATTTGTTTGAATGAGAAAATAATCAAAGTGGTTTTTCTGTTTCATAAAGACCTTATTTGCGTTATTGCTTCTACCTTCCCTAAAGAAAGCTTACTTTTTTGATCAATGAGTTTACAAATGTCAGATCCTAATCTAGAATTACACAAAGAAAACCACACTGCAATTAGGGTTATAAAAGTAATGTCTGTGTAATATTGAGCTGTATTCCTAAAGGAGAATATCCTGTTCTCTTATGCCTTTAACAAAACAAATCATCACTCAACAGAATAGCTCAAACATTCACTTGAGTAAACAGCAATTGAAAAAAGAATTGTAGAAAGGATACTTCAGCATAGTATAAGCATCCAGTGACCTCTTTCAGATCTCTAAAGGAAAGGCAAGATATTTGCTACAATGAAATCCTTTGAGACTAAAAACCCAATGACAACAGCATAGTAGAAAGCAAGTAACAAATAAATTTTAGCAAAGTAAAACCTCTCATAAAAATAAGAAAATCAAATGCACAAATACATAAGCTCAAATATTTTTATTATTAAGTCTTCCTGTTTTGATATAGCAATATAAGAAGAAAATCTATTTTTTTAGTTTGTCAAAATGATTTTGATCTACCTTATATTAGTTTCCTATTGCTAGTGTAATAAATTACTACAAACTCAGTAACTTAAACAAGTACAAGTGTATTGTCTTACAGCTCTGTGAATCAGATGTCCAAAATCAGTTTCACTAGGTTACAGTCATGGAGTTGATAATGCTGTATCCTGCAGATTCTAGAAGATAATCCATGTTTTAGCTTTTCCAGATTCTAAATGCTGTCCACCTTCCTATTATTGATGCTGATTCTCCTGACTCTGTCTTGTAAGGAGCCTCATAATTACATTAGGCCACCAGAATAATGCAAAATAATCTTTCCATCTCTAGATAATTAATTTTACCTGCAAAGTCCTTTTTGCCATATAAGTAAATATATTCATAGATTTATGCCGCCTACCAAACCACCTTATTACCAAAACAACATAGAATATTCTAGCAATTTTGATGATAAAATAATGTCATTGTGTCAATTAAAAATTCATTATCAGAAACATTACCATAAAGAAAACTCAACAGCCATATGCTTTCACAGCTGAGTTATCTTAAATATTTATAGAAAAATTAACAGCATTTATATACCATATATTTCACAAATTAGAATAAAAGAAAAATCCCCAATACATTTTATAAAGCCAGCATAACGCTAATACAAAAACAATATTGTAGGTAGAATATCTCCCAAAAAGACATACTGAGATAGTAATCTTTAGTACCTGTGCATGTGACTGTATGTGGATTCAGGATCTTTGCAGATGTAATCAAGTTAAAATGAGGTCACACCAAATTAGGATTGCCCATAATCCAGTAGAAGTGGTGTCCTTATAAAAACAGGAGACGCACATATGAAAAGATACTGATATGTGAATAGAGAAGCAGAGATAAAAATGCTGCGCCTGAGATCCAAAGTAATAAAAGATAGCAGCCAAACTACCAGAAGCTAGTAAGAGAAAAAGAAGGATTCTATCCCCAGTTTCAGAGAGAGCATGGTCCTGGTGACACCTTAATTTTGGACTTCTAGCTTACAGACCTGTGGGACAATAAATTTATGTTGTTGGATATCATTTTGTCTGTAGTATTTTGTTATGGCAGCCCTAAGAAACTGATATACAGACCAAAGTATTACAAGTAAACAAAGTAATGTATTATTACAATAGATTCAATATTCCTGAAAAAAGAGGCAAAATAATCCAAAGCAATCTATATAAATAAATATAACTTGCTACTAAGTGGGGTTTGTTTCAACAATGCACGATTGGCTTAGCATTAAAAAATCCATTAGTGTAATTTACTGTATTAAGAGTATAAAAGAGAAAAATAATATGATATCTTAATATATGCAGATAACTCATTTGGCAAAGTTCAACATCCATCTATTATTGAAAACACCCAGAAAAGTATGAATAAAAGGAAACTTCAATATGACAAAGGGCATCCTCAAAATGGCTTCTGTTAATGTAATATTTACAGATAAAACGTTAAATCCTTCCCAATAAGTTCAGGAAAAATGCTAGGGCATCCATTCTCAACACTTCTATTCAGCATTGCACTGAAAATCTTCATTTCTTCCTTCTCTGATGTGCTTCCTTTCTTCATGAAAAACTGACCTATATCATTTTCTTTCTCTCTGAAGAATACCTTTTGACACATTGCAAGTCGTATCTACTGCCAACAAATGCCTTCGGTTTGTCTGAAAAAGACTTTAACTTTTCTTCAATACTAAGGGTAATGTAACTTCATACAAAATTCTAGATTGCTTGGTTTTTCTTCAAACACTTTAAATATTTCACTACACTCTATTCTTGCTTGTATGGTTTCTGAAGGGACGTCTAATGTAATTCTTAGTTTCTCTAAATATAAGGTTTCACATGACCCCACTCCACACCACCGGCTTTTCACAAGGTTTTCTCTGTCTTTTGTTTTGTAATAAATATGATATGCCTAGGCATCAGTTTTTTGAGGTTTTTCATACTTGGTATTTTATGAAATTCCTAAATCTGTGGTTTTCAGTGTGTCATTAATTTTGAAAAATTATCAGCAATTAATATTTCAAATAATTCAATATTTGTCTTGCTCATTTGTCTTTTTCTGACCCATCTGATACTTCCATTTCATGTTTTACGTTTTATCAACATCCAACAATTCTTGACTATTTGGCTCAATTGCTTTATTCATTATTTTTTCTCTCTGCATTTCAGTACTGGAGGTTTCTATCAAGATATCTTTAAGCCCACTGATTCTTTCCTTGGCCATGTCTGATTTACAGGTGAGTCATCAAGGGAATTATTTATTTCTGTGCAATTCTTTTTTAATTTCTAACATTTTATTATATTTTTTATTTTTATTTTTGAGACAAAGTCTTGCTCTGTCACCCAGGTTGGAGTGCAGTGTCACAATCTTGGCTCACTGCAACCTCTGCCTCCCTGGTTCAAGTGATTTCCATGCCTCAGTCTCCCAGTTAGCTGAGGCTACAGGCCCCTGCCACCACACCGGCTAATTTTTGTGGGTTTTTTTGTTGTTGTTGTTTTGTTTTTTTGAGATGGAGTTTCCCTCTTGTTGCCAAAGCTGGAGTGCAATGGCACGATCTTGGCCCACTGCAACCTCCGCCTCCCAGGTTCAAGTGATTCTCCTATCTCAGCCTCCTGAGTAGCTGGGATTACAGGAACGCAACACCACGCCTGGCTAATTTTTTGTATTTTTAGCAGAAACAGGGTTTCACCATGTTAGCCAGGATGGTCTTGATCTCCTGACCTCAGTTGATCTGCCTGCCTTGGCCTCCACAGGTGTGAGCCACCTCATCTAGCCTCTAGGATTTTCTTTTTATTCTTTCTTAGAGTTTCAATCTCCTTGCTTACCTTACCTACCTGTTCTTTCATGCTGTTTTATTTTTCTTTAGAACCATCAACATATTAATTACGGTTATTTTAAATTCCTGGTTCTCTTTACCCTCATGTCTCTGCTGTATCTGAATCTGGTTCTGATGCTTGCTTCGCTTCCTCTCTTCAGATTGTATTTTTTTCTTGTCTTTTAGCATGCTTGTGTTTAATTTTTTATTGAAAGCCAGACATGTGACATCAGGTAGTAGGAACTGAGATAAACAGTCCTTTAGTGTGAAATTTTATGTTTATCTAACTAGGAGTTAGAAAGTGTTTAGTGTTTGTTATACCTGTAGATATCAGTCTTCAATAGTATCTAGTGTCCTTGCTTTTTCTCCACTGTTAACTTTGAGTTTCCCTGGAGATTTCATAAATGGATTTTGTGTCTTGCAGCTTGTTCAATTGTGGTTCACCGTTATTATCCTGGAGCTCTGTTGTTGTAGTGGTAAGATACTGGGGAGGAGAAGTGTTCTACAATAATACAACTAAGTCTTTAGAGGGGGTTCTCTCTCTCTCTCTCTCTCTCTCTCTCTCTCTCTTTCTCTGTGTGTGTGTGTGTGTGTACGTGTGTGTGTGTTTCCCAGTAGACCAAAGCCTCTGGTGGTACTTTTTTTTTTCTTCTACTCAAAGCATGACAAAGTTTTCCTCTGATCCTCACAATGAGAACCTGGTGAAGGTCCCAGAGGAAAAAACTTTAAAAAATATAGGATTCACTCCCACCCCAGACCAGGAATGGGTCCTGGGAGTTTTTAACTCTTCAGGCAGTCCTCACTTTGGTTCTAGCACTTATACTACTACAGCAGCAGGCTTCTCCTCCTCCTCTCCCCACAAACAATACAATGTATTTTCCGCTCTCTTCAGTTTTCTTGGCAGCTGTTTGCTCTGTGATGTCAATTCTCGTATGGATCTAAGAGCTATTTTAGGCTTTTGTCAAAGCCTCGATAATGAACAGAGAGAGCCTCTATAAAAGAAATTATTTTTATTTGAGAGTGAATATTGCAATGGGAATATACATGTCATAGTAAATAATGAGCATATTCAGGGAGGTAAAGGAAGACAAAGGTTCTTAAAGAGAAAGTGGGAAGGGTTATATAATTATTTTGAGATAATTATAGGGTTAATAGCAAGGATAGCACCAGGCTAAGGCTGCACAGGCAGTTGCCAAGCAGATATCCTCACAGAAGTATTATTTGTGTGTAAGCCTGTGATGGCCTTTGTGCAAGGTTGTGGTGTTTGCAGTCTTTTGTGATAGTTCTTGTTATTATGGATGCATGCACGAAAACCCTCCCCTTGCAGCCTTCTCCACCTCCATTTGTTAGGGTTTTTAACACAAGTGTGTCCATTTTTATTCTAATAACACATTCTATTTTTTTTCTCAGTTGGGTGAAGTGCATTTGTAGTTGCTCATTGAAGCATTTTATGATTTCTGCTTTAAAACTCTTTGTCAGATAGTTCTAATATCTCTGTCACTTTGGCATTTGCCATGCTTGTCTTTTTCCATTCAGTTTGAGATATTTCTAATTCTTTGTATAACACCAGATTTTTTATTAAAATCAAGACATTTTTGTGTTGTGTTATGAGACTCTCAATCTTATTTGCATATTTTCTTTTTAGCTGTATAATTTGACATGCCTTCAGCTGGGGAAGAGGAGCCACCTTATTATAACTAGGTGACGATAGCAACTCAGACTCTCCAATGGGTTTCCATTGAGACCAAAGGGGATGATGCCTTGTTACCTTAGACAGTGATGGGAGTTCCTGTTCCCCACCAGGTATCCAATGATGCTTTGCTGTTTAAGAGGGGTGGAAGTGTCTTGTCACTGCTCCCTAAGTAGTCTCCACTGATACTGCAGTGGGAATGGTGTTATTACCCTCTGGTGATGGTGAAAGTATTGACTCTATCCAATACGTCCTCTGACTCGACACTGGGGACGGAGAGGGAGTCCTTGTTAATGCTGGTGAGGGTGAAAGTCCAGGCTCTCTGCATGGTTTCCATTGCCATCATGGAAGACGTAGTACTGGAGCTGGCTATTACCTGGTGGAGATAGAGTTCCAGTTCCCTATGCAGCCCCCTTCAAAACCTCCCCAGCAGGGGAGTTGGGACATCTTTTTATAACCTGGCAAATGTGAAAGTCTAGGACACTAACTTGACAATTGTTGGTGGTGTCTGGTGGTAACAGAAAGGTTACTTTCTCAAACCTCTGTTTCCTTAGGCTTTCCCTTTCCTATTTGTTTGTGTCAAAGGAACAGGCTTTTGAGGGGCTTATTTTGTCTGCGTCCATTTGTCTGCTTCTAGGCTTCTCCAGCATCCTGCATGAAATATATGAGGCAAAAATAATACTCAGGAAGCTTACTGTGTTTCCAAATTTTTTGTTCTGAGACCCCTAACCAGTGTGACTTCTTTTTAGCTTTCAGGGTCTTCTTATATTTTATACATAATACCAAGAGTTTTCAGCAGCACATATCAGAAAGAACAGGGGAAAATATATCTAATGCATCTTCTTGGAAGTGTAGTTTTATCTAATTTTAAAAATGTAAAATATTTCAAATATTTAGACTATTATAGAGAATAATGTGAATGACATCCATAAACTATCCAATCATTTTACAACTGCTAATATTAAGCCTTATATACTTAAAATCCATGTTTTCTTTTGTTTTAATACATAAAACATTAAAGATACAGTTGAATTCTGTTCGGCACCTCTCTGTAATTTTTTTCCTTAATTTGCAGTGGCAGCACACTTAGTGTTTACCATTCCCATAAATAGCTAATATGTGTTTTTCTATATTTATATATACATATTTATTATACAGTAGTCCCCCTTTGTTCACCAAAGATATGTTCAAAGATCCCCAGTGGATGCCTGAAACTGCAAATAGTACTGAACCCTATATATATTATGCAGAAATTTATTTTACCTTTTTAAAAATTTCACAGATAGAAGGTTTGTTTTTTCCACAGATCTTAGCAACCTCAGCATATATTTTTTTATTTTCCTTATTAAGTCAAGAGCTTTCGCCTTTTCAGTTAAAGGAAATATACATTATGGCTTCTCTGTAGCATAGCAAAATTGTCAGCATCACTATTCTCGTGCTTTGGGGTCATTAGTAAGTAAAATAAAGGTTACCTGAACACAAGCACTGCAGTACTGCAACAATAAATCTGATAACCTGGATGATGACTAAGTGACTAAGGGGCTGGTAGCACGTAACATGGATAAGTTACACAAAGGGATGATTCACTTACAGGACATGATGCAGCAGTAACTGAGATTTTTATCAAGCTACTCAGAACAGTGCACGATTTAAAATTTATGGATTTACTTGGTGTGGTGGCGCATACCTATAATTCTGGCTCCTCTAGAGGCAGTGTGCTATGATTACCCTATATGACTGTACTGCAACCTGGGAAACATAGTGGGATCATGTCTCAAAAATAAAAAGATTTTAAACATTTATGAATAATATTAAGTTCTATTTGTTTCTAAACATAATTACTTAGGGTAAATTTTTTGATGAATTATATGTTTGTAAGATTTATTCATGCTGATAAGTGAAAAGTTTGTTGTTTAAATTTCATTTTTGATTGGCTAAATATTGAGTGATTTACTTATGATATTGTGTATAAGTGCCTTTTTCTTCATCTCTCTCTCTTTTATATTTTTATTAGTCTCAATGGAAGTTTGATTACGTTCAAATTTTTAATCCAAAGTCTCAGATTCATATACCTTCAGTCACTACTATGGTTTGAATGTTCTCTCTAAAACTCGGGTTTAAATTTAATGGACATTGTGACAGTATTAAGAGATGGGATCATTAAGAGGTGATTAGATCCTTTCTCCTTAATGGATTAATGCAGTTATCATGGGAGTGGGTCAGTGGTCTCAAGAATTCATCCCCTTTTTCCCACAGGTGATAGGTAATGAAGATCTTCACCGGAATTGGCCTCTTGATCTTGGACTTTCCAGCCTCCAGAACTGCAAGCCAAATAAACATATTGTGTATAAATCATCCAATCTGTGGTATTCTGTTATAACAGCAAAAAGTGAACTGAGACAGTTTATTCTTTAGGTAGGACTTTTGTTTTCTAATTGCCTAATGTCACTCAATCTCCAAAGTTTTAAATCCAAACTTTTAGATTTATAACTTATGGACTTAAAAATCCATTCCTATTAGGCTAGTCACTTTCTAGTCCTTTGAGATAAAGTGATGAACAATATGAATATGGCTTTTGCTCTTATCATATGTATAGTCTAATGCAACAAGAAGTTATTGAGAAACGTTAACACTGAAGAGTAATATGAAAGGAAGATTGCAGGATGCCAAGTCAACCTATACGAGAGAGGTATCTATGAAACAAAAAGAAATCCTTTCTGAAGAAATATTATTATATGAAACCTTCTGTTGGCCAGAATAAAGAGAAATCGGGTGGGAATATTCTAGGCAAAGTGAGAAAATGAGAAAATTCCCAGTGAAGTGTGGAGCACAGGATGTTCAAGGGACTGCAGAAAGGATGATCTTTTGATCATCCAAATCCTAATCAAATTATGGATGAAATGGCATGGAAAAGAGATAATAGGCAACCATAGGAAACATTTTGTTTTTTTTTTTTTCAAAACAGAAATAATGGGTGTAGATAGAGCAATACTGAAAAAAAACCCCAAATTCTATATTTTATATATTTGTCCCCTCCAAAACTCATGTTGAAATTTTACCCCCAGTGAGGCTGTATAGAGTTGTGGGGCTATTAAAAAGTAATCGGGTGATAAGAGAAGAGTTCTCATGAGTGAATTGATCCATTCATGGATTCGTGGCTTAGTTTACTAATGGATTATTACAGGAGTGGCCTGTAAGTGGTTTCATAAGAGGAGAAAGATACCTGAATTCACTGTATAAGTCCTCTCACCATGTGATGCACTGTACCACCTCAGGACTCTGCAGAAAGTTCCCACAACCCAGAAGAATCTTACCAGATGTGGTCTCTCAACTTCAGAGTTCTCACCCTATATAACTGTAAGAAACAAATTTAATTTCCTTATTGATTTCTTAGTTTCAGGTGCTCTGTTATAAGCAACAGTAAAATGGATTAAGACACAAAATTGGTGCTGATAATGGGGCTGTTGCTATTAAAGAATATCTGAAAATGTGGGATAGCTTTGGAATAGGATAATGGGTAGAGGTTGGAAGAGCTTAGAAGATAAGGCTAGAAAAACCCCGCATTGACTTAAATAGTATATTAAGGGTAACTCTGGTGAGGGATCAAAAAATAACAAAATGACTAGAGAAAGTTTGAAATTTCAAAAAGATTGGTTAATTAGTTGTGACCAAAAATCTGATAAAAATATAGGCACTATAGTCCATTCTAACCAGGTCTCAGATAGAACTGAGGAACCAAGGTATTGGAAGCTGGAGTAAAGACCAGCTTTATGTTGTTATAAATTGGCAAATAACTTGTCTGAACTATGTCCATAAGGGCTTTGTGGAAGGATGAACTTCAGAGAGATGAATACTAACATATCTAGCAGAGGAAATTACTAAGCAAAATTTAGAAGGAGCTGCACGTTTACTTTTGGCTGCTTGCACTGATTCAGCAGCAAAGAAACAATTTAAAGATAGATTTATAATCTGAAATGGAAGCAGAACAAAAAGTTTAGAAAACTCTCAGCTTGGTCATGTAAATAGTGAACACCTGTGTTCAGGAGAGGAAACCAAGGATGTGGCCCAGGGATCATTTGGTAATGGAATTAGCCCAGGGACACAAAAATGAAGAGTATAAACTATGGGGACTCCCTCCAAAAGAGGGGAGAGTAGGAAGGATGTGTGCACTGAAAATGCTTCTATTGGATACAGTGTTCAATATTTGGGTGATGGGTACACTAAAAGGCCAACCCCCACCATTACACATACAATACCCATGTAACTAAGAAGACTATGTGCTCCTTGAATCAATAATTTAAAAAAAAGAAGAGAGCCAGCTGCAATTTCTAGAGACAATGAAAGACCCCAAAAGCATTTCAGAAAACTCTGAGGCTTCCCCTCTCATCACAGTCTCAGAAGCCTAGGAGGGTAGGATGGTTTGGGGCATAGGTCCACAGCTTGCTCCATAGGCTTACTTTCCAGAGCCACTTTGAGATTCTGCTCCTTGAAATCCCATCCAGTGCTTCTTAGCCACACCTGCTGTTGCATAAATAGGTCCAGGTAGAGACTGATATTACCCTTCACTCAAGAAGATACAAGCCATAAGCCTTGGGACACCTACATGGTGTTAATTATTCAGGCTTACAGAAAGCAAGGGCTATGGCGGTCAGGCAACTTCCATGCAGATTTCAAAGGATGTCACTGAAAGTCTGGGAGCCAAGCCTGAGATTTGTCACAGGGGCAGAGCTACCATAGAGAGACCCAAATAAAGTGAAACAGAATGGAAAGGCAGGGTCAGAGACTTACCACTAGTGCAGTGCCTAGTGGAGCCATGACAGTAGGATTGCCACCAGGACCTCCGAACTGTAGAGTCACTGGCAATACGCAATACTTGCCTGGGAAATCTTCAGGTACTTGACTCTAGCCTGTTTGGGCAGCTGTGTTGGCTGCACCCAGTAAAGCCGTAGGGACAGGGTTGCTTGAGGCCTTGGGCACCTGACCTCCAGTCTGTCCAGGAAATGGCACATAGAGTCAAAAGAAATTGTTCTCCTCCTTTAAGATTGAATGTCTGTCTTTTGGAGTTTTGCACTTGCTTGGGGACTGTTCCTACTTTCTTTTGCCTATTTCCTACATTTGAAATAGGAATACCTATGCCAGGCTTGTACTATCATTGTGTCTTAGAAGTAACTAACTTATTTTGATTTTACAGGTTTACAGAAGGAGACTCTGAACTTTAAACTTTTGACTTGGTACTGGAACGCGTTAAGACTTTAGGGCAATGAGATTAGATGAATATGAAAAGCACATGAGTCTTGAGGGACTATGGGCAGAATGCTATGCTTTAAATATTTGTCCCTTCCAAAATGCATGTTGAAATTTAATCCTCAATATGGCAGTATTGAGAGGCGAGGTATTAAACAGATAACTGTGTCATGGGGTTCCTGCTGTCTTTAATGACTTAATTCACTCACAGATGAATAGATTCATGGGTTAATGAATTAATGGGTTATTATGGGATTGGCATTAGTGGCTTTATATAGGGTAAAAGAGAGACCTGAGCTGGCATCCCCAGGCCCCTCCTCATATAACACCTTGTACTGCCTTGGGACTCTGTGGAGTTCCCACCAGATGCACTCCCTTAACTCTGGATTTTCCAGCCTCCAGAACTGGAAGAAATACATTTTGTTTATTTATAAATTACCCAGTGACAGGTATTATTTTAAGAGCAACAATCATGGACTACAATTTAGGATTTTCAGTATGTCAATTAAGACCATGTTGCTTTTAACTCTAAACATGAGAAAGAAGTGGCAAAGAGAAGTGATATTTTAAAAAACACATAAGGAGGGGCTTCAAGATGGCTAGAAGAATTTCATGCTTGTCTCCTTTACTCAGAAGAACAAAAATAGTATGTAGACAATCACACTGAATGCATTATATAAGAAAGAACACTGGAATGCAACAGAAAAGTGACAGGAAACATTGAAATCAAGGAAGGAGAAGAGACAGAAAGAGCCAGTGTGCTTGGCTGGGATTGGCTGGGAGACAGGAGTGTCTTCCCCACATGGAGAGAGTGTAAGTGAGAAAATTGAGGTAGTCTGCATTCCCACCATGGAGTCTTGCCACAGAAGAGCCCTTTGACCCTGTGAAGCCTTGAAACTAACACGGGGAGCTTCCAGGAGACTGTGAGAAAGAATTGCTCCAGGATGGAGTTTGTGCTTTGTCCCACACCCTTTCTCTGACATAAGTAGTTATAGCCAAGTGCCAATTTAAATCCTAGCTTTCTGCCCTGGAGCTCAGTGGCACTGAGACTGAGGTGTTAGGAAAGCTTGGGATGTTGCTGCAGGAACTGGGGTGTGATCTGGGAACAAATTCCCACATTTGGAGCTGATAATTGAATGAGGCATAGACTGCAGCTGCTGGTTCTGGTAAGTGAGCTCCATAGTGACTGATACTAGGATGCAAATGGGGTAGAACTTGCTGCTAGGACTGAATTGCAAATTGGGCAGGCAGTTCCTACAGTTGGGCTGAGGTGTGAACTAGGCATGTGCTATTCTTGCCAGGACTGAGAGTTGAACCCCACTGGGGCTATGGCATGAGAGGGATGAATGTTTGCCCCATCATTGACCCAGGCTGTGTCCGATGAAACCTGCGCCATCCACTCCAGTGGCAGGGTCTCAGCACAGCCGCAACCACTCTTTACTTGAGCACTCTACTTGGAGCACTCTGCCCCCACCCATCATGACTGGTGCCTTCTCTCATCATTGGTTGGGCCTGAGCACAAGCCCTCCCACTTGGCTTTTACCCATCATTCCAAGACAGATCACATAGCCAGGGTTTTGGGAATTGCCCAATTTAATCCACCACTGCAGCATCTGAAAACTCCTCCAGAGGGCCTGAGATTAAATCTAAACATCTGGTTGCTACCAACACAGCTGGCACCTATCTGCAAGCACCATCTGCAAGCCTGAAGACTGGGCTGTCCAGACCATCACAGCCACCTCCACCACCAATGCACACCACTTGGGACTCAGAGACTTGTCTTGCCACTGCTACCACTATCTCCTCTACCACTCTGGCTGCTTAGGGACCTATAACCCACCCATCCACTCAGTCCATCTCTGCCACAACCACCATCCAAGCAAACAATCTGAAAGCCCAAGAATTGGCTCACTGATAGCTACCAACACAGATGCCAATGTATATTGCCCTGCGGCACAAAAATAGGCATGCTAAACCCACAGGTGCAATCACTAGTCTTTGAATATTGGCACTTCTGGCATTCTAGTCCCCAGCACGACTTTGCCATAATCTTCACTAATAAGTTTACCCCAAGCCACTGAGGAAATCACAAACATTATGAAAATTGTTTACAGTCAAAGAAATCATAAAGAGACTACACTACTGCAAGTATCCCGAATCATAGCTAAATGCCCTATTCAACCCACATTATAGATACATTTTCAGGAAAAAGTCTCCTAAATTTAAAAATAGGAAGAAGTGACTGTTACACCAGATGTGCAGATATCAATGTGAGGACACAAGACTCATGAAAAAAGGAAATATGACACTTCCAAAGGGACACAGTAATTATCCAACTATAAATCTTAGCCAAATGGAAATTCTCAAAATAATAGATAAAGAATTTAAAACATTATCTGTAAAGAAACTTAGTTAGATAAAGAGAATTCTATAAAATACAGATAAAATATTTAAAAAATCAGGATATAAATGAGAAACTTACCAAAGACATATTTTTTCAAAAATAGTATACATTTTTAGAATATATATTTAGAATATGTTTTTATAATAATCAAATAAAAATTCTGGAAATGAAGACTTTATTAAAGGAAATACAAATTACATTTACATTTGAAAGTTTCAATAATAGACTTGATTAAGCAGAAAAAAGAATCTCAGAACTTGAAGACAGGTCTTTTGATAGAACCCAGTGAGACAAAAATAAAGAAAATATAATATAAAAGAATGAGCAAAGCCTCTGTGATATTTAAGACAGCATAAAGCAATTGAATATTAAAATTATCAGAATCACCAAAGGCATAGAGATAACAAAAAAATAGAAAACTTATTGAATAAAATAATACATGAAAATGGCTCAGTGATCCCCAAGCAGATACAATGCAAAAATTTCTTCTCCATGGAACATTATAAGCAGTTGTATGAAGTCAAAGACAAAGAGCAAATACTAAAAACAGAAAGACAAAGATATTGAGTCACTTCCGTGAGACTAATATAAAATCTCTCAGCAGCAACTTTACAGGCTAGAAGAGAATGGAATTATATATTAAAAGTACCGAAAAAATACAAACAAACTTCCAATGAAGAAGGGTACATCCAGCAATATTATCCTTCATAAATGAAAGATAATAAAATATTTTCCAGACAAGCAAATGCTGAGGGAACTTGTTACCATTTTGACAGGTCTTAAAAGAAATATCTAAGGGGGTCTTAAACCTATAAGTTAAAGGATAACATTTACCATCATGAACAAACATGAAAGTATAAAACTCACTGATAAAGTAATCACACAGAAAGGAAGAGAAATGACTCATTACAGAAATCCACCAAACCAAAATGAGAAACAATAGAAGAAAAATAAATAAATAATATATAAAACAATCAGAAAATAATTAACAATATTACAGCAACAAAACCCCAGATACAAATAATGACCTTGAATGCAAATGAATTAAATTATTCACTTAAAGGAAATAATTGCTGAAAGGATAAAAAAATGATCCAACTATGGGCTACTTATAAGAAATGAACCTTATCAGTAAAGATACATGCAGACTAAAATTAAAGGGATAGAAAACAATATTCCATTCAAATATAAAACAAAAGCAAGCAGAAGTAGCTGTACTTATATCAGATAAAACACTCTTTAAATCAAAACAGTATCAAAAAGACAAAAAATGTCACTATATAATAATAAAGAGATATAGTTCTAAGATATAACAATTATATATGTCCCCAGAACCTTAGCATTCAGATTCATACAACAACGATTATGAGATCTATGGAAAGAGATACGCTGCAATCTAGTAATGGTGGGAGAATTTAACAGCCCACTCTCACCATTACATAGATCATCTAGATAGAAAATCAATGAAGAAATATTGACTCTATACTGAGCTATAGACTAAATGGACCTAACAGACATTTACAGAACACTCTATACAACAATTGAGAATGTATATTATTTTCATCAGAACATGGAACATTTTCCAGGATAGACCATATGTTAGATTCCAAAAAAGTCTCGACAAATTCAAAATCATATCAACTATGTTCTGAGTCCACAATGAAATAAAACTAGAAATCACAACCAAAAGGAATCTTGAAAATTATACAAATACATGGAAATTAAAAAACATACATCCAAATGACCACTGGGCTAACAAAGAAATTAAGAAGGAAACGTAAAAAATTTATTGAAACAAAGGAAAATGAAAACACAACATAGCAAAACCTATGTGATACAGCAACAGGAGTGCTAAGAGAAAAGTTTGAAACATTAAAAAAGTAGAAAGATTACAAATTAACAGACTAACAATGTACTTTAAGGAATGAGAAAAGAAAGGACAAACCAAACCTAAAATTAGCTGAAGAAAATAACAATAAAAATCAGAACAGAACTAAATGAAACAGACACTAAAAAATTACAACGGATCAACAAAATAGAAAATTGGTTCTTCAGAAAGGTGAACTAAACTTGATTAATCACTAGCTTGACTAACCAAGAAGAGAGAAGACATAAATAAAATCAGAAATGAAAATGGAGACATTGCAACTGATACCACAGAACTAGAAAAGGTCATAAGAGACAGCTATAAACAACTATACACTGATAAACTGAAAAACCTAGAGAAAATGGATAAATTACAGAAAATATAAGATCTACCAAGATTGAATTAGGAAGAAGTAGAAAACCTGAACAGACCAATAAATAGCAAGTTTGAATCTGTAATAAAATGTCTCCCAATAATAATTCTACCAAATGTACAAAGAACTAATACCAATCCTCTTGAAAGGAACAAACAACAACAACAACAAAAAAAAAAAAAAAAAAAGAGGATCTTTATTTCAAAAAAATTTAAAGAGGAGGAAATTCTTCCTAACTAATTCTGTGAGACCGGCATTACCCTGATACCAAAACCAGACAAGGACTCAACAAAGAACGAAATATAGGTCAATATTCCTGATGAAAATAGACTAAAAAAACACCAATAAAATACTAGCTAAATAAATCCAACCGCACATGAAAAAGATAATAAACCATAATGACATAGGATTTATGGGTAGGGATGCGAGGATGGTACAACATACACAAATCAATATTATGTCAACAGAATGAAGGAAAAAGTCCATATGATCATCTCAATAGATGCAGAAAAAGCATTTGACAAAATTCAGCATACCTTCATGACAAAACCTCTCAACAAACTATGCCTAGAAGGAAAAATACTTCAAAATAATAAAAGCCATGTATATCAAACCAACAGCTAACATCATATGAAATGGGGAAATGTCAAAAGCCTTTCGTCTAAGAACTAGAACAAGACAAGGATGGCCACTTTCAGCATTCGTATTCAGCAAAGCACTTAAAGTCCTAGCCAGAGAACTCAGGCAAAAGAAAAACAAAGGGTGGCCGGGCACAGTGGTTCACGCCTGTAATCCCAGAACTTTGGGAGGCTGAGGTGGGTGGATCACCTGAGGTCAGGAGTTCAATACCAGCCTGGCCAACATGGTGAAACCCCATCTCTACTAAAAATACAAAAATTAGCTGGCCATGGTTGTGCATGCCTGTAATCCCAGCTACTTGGGAGGCTGAGGCAGGAGAATTGCTTGAGCCTGGGAGGTGGAGGTTGCAGCCAGCCAAGATTGCGCCATCACACTCCAGCCTGGGCGACAGAGCAAGACTCCATCTCAAAAAAAAAAAAAAAAAAAGGAGAAGAATAAAGGATATCCAAATAGAAAAAGAGAAAGTCAGATTGTCCCTCTTTGCTGATGATATGATGTTATATCTAGAGAAACTTAAAGTCTCCACCAAAAATATCTTATATTAGATTAATGAATTCAGTAAAGTTGCAGGATAGAAAGTCAACCTACAAAAGCCAATAGCATTTTCTTTCTTTCTTTCTTTCTTTCTTTCTTTCTTTCTTTCTTTCTTTCTTTCTTTCTTTCTTTCTTTCTTTCTTTTTCTTTCTTTCCTTTTCTTTCTTTCTTTCTCTTTCTTTCTTCTCTTCTCTCTCTTCTCTTCTCTTCTCTTCCCTTCTCTTCCCTTCTCTTCTCTTTTCCCTTCCCCTTCCCCTTCCCTTCTCTTCTCTTCTCTTTTCCCTTCCCCTTCCCCTTCCCTTCCCTTCCCTTCTCTTACTTGCAAGCACACAATCTTAGCATCGCAGCTCACTGCAACCTCCGTCTCCTGGGTTCAAATTGTTCTCCTCCCTCAGCCTCCTGAGTAGGTGGTATCACAGGCACGTGCTACTACACCGGGCTGATTTTGCATTTTTATTTTAGTAGAGATGTGGTTTCACCATGTTGACCTCAAGTGATCTGCCCACCTCAGCCTCCCGAAGTGCTGGGATTACAGTTATGAGCCACCTCATCGGCTAGATCAGTAACATTTCTATACGTTAGTAATAATGTAGCTGAAAGAATCAATAAGCTAATCTCATTTATAAAAGCTGCCAAAAATATTCCTAGCAATAAAATTAACAAAGGAGGTAAAAATAGGTTTATTAGGAAAATAAACAAAATGCTGATTAAAGGAATTGAAGGGAACACCAAAAAAATAGAAAAGCATCTTATGGTCATGGAGCAGAATTAATGTCACTAAAATGGTCATATTTCGCAAAGCAATCTACAGATTTAATTCAATCTCTATAAAAATGCTCTCATTATTTTACACAAAGATAAAAAAAATCTAGAACTAATATAAAACAAAGCAAAACAAAAAAGAGCCCAAATAACCAAAGCATTCCTGAGCAAAATGGACAAATCTGGAAGCATCATATTACCTAACTTCAAAATATATTACAAGGCCATAGTAACCAAAGCAGCATAGTATTTGTATAATAATAGATACATAGACCAATGGAACAGTATAGAGAACCCTGAAATAAGGCCACATATTTACAGCCAACTAATCTTTGACAAATCTGACAAGAACTTACACTGGGGAAAATATACTCTCTTCAGTAAATGTGCTAAGAAAATTGGCTACAGAAGAATAAAACTGAACTCTTATCTCTCATCGTATAGACATTAACTCAAAATAAATTAAAGATTTAAATATAAGACCTGAAAGTATAAAAATACTAGTAGACAACTAAAGCAAAACTCTTCCGGACATTGATCTAGGCAAAGGATTTATTACTAAGACCTCAAAAGCACAGGCAACAAAAACAAAAACAGACAAATAGAAAGGACTTAATTAAACTAAATAGGTTCTGCAAAGCAAAATAAATAACCGAGAGTGAAAAAACTATATGTTGAATGTGAGAAAATATCTGCACACTATTAGTCTGACAGGGGGCTAATATTTATATTTGAGGAACTCAAACATCTCAATAAATTACAAAAAACAACCCCAATCCTGTTAAAAAGTGTGCAGAGGACATGAATAGACATTTCTGAAAAGAAGACATGCAAATGATCAACAGGTATACAAAAAAAAGCTTCACATCACTAATCATCAGAGAAATGCAAATGAAAAACAAAATGAGATATCCTTTTATCCCAGCCAGAATGTCTATTAGGCATCTAAAGAGACCAAAAAATAACAGATGATGGTGAGAGTATGGAGAAAAGGGAATTCTCAAACACCATCGGTGGGAATGTAAACCAGTACAGTCACTATGAAGAATAGTATGGAATTTTCTTGAATTCTAAACCTAGAATTACCATTTGATACAGCAATGCCACTACTAGGTATCAACCCAAAGGAAAATAAACTAATAAATCAAAGCGATGCCTGCACTCACATGTTTATTGCAGCACTACTCAAAATACCAGATACACAAGCAACCTGAGTGTCTATCAACAGACGAATGGATAAAGAAAATGTGGTACATATACACAATGAAATGCTACTTGGCCATAAAAAAGAGCAAATTCATGTCATTTGCAACAACATGGATGGAACTGGAGGTCATCATCCTAAGTGAAATAAGCCAGGCACAAAAAATAAAAATTGCATATTCTCACTTATGAGTTAAAAAAATGATCACATAGAGGTAAGGAGTGGAAAGATAGATAACAGAATAGATAACAGACTGAGAAGGGTGAGTTGAGGGTAGAAAGGGGGACTAAAGAGAAGTAGGTTAAAGGGTATAAGAACATACAGTTGGATAGAAAAATTAAGGTCCATGTGTTGTTTTTATCACAAATGGGACTTTTTATTTACAATATTAAAAGTCTGAACTTTAAACAGATTGTTGGAAGAGTTGTTCATACCCATAAACTTGTTAAACTTTACCAACTATCTCATCCCCAGTAGCTTTTTCAGAACTACTACCTTCACCATGAAACTCCATGAGTTTCCCAATTCAAACTTGGGCTCCCTCAGCATTTTTACTGTTCTAAAAAAGACATAATGACGAGGATAAATAGATTGACAAGGTTTTTTTTTTTTTATGTCGTTTCCAATTATGTATGAAATCAATTTACTGGCCACTTCTTTCAAGTCATTTGTTTGCACTTCTCAGGTCATGATTTCTATCACCTTTTTCTGGATTTGGTGGACCCATTGGTGCAGAGCATAAGACATCTCTATAACTAATTTTTGCATTTTTTAGTAAAACCAATACAAAACAGACAAAATAAATTAACATCAATAGTCTTCACATCGAAAGAAACTTTAATCATGGTCTGCCCTTTTTTACTGTGGAACACATTTTATCACGGGTAAGATTCATGCCATGGAAGTTAGGAAGTTTTTGACATGAACATCTTCAAGAATCAGCTTGAATTTTCCAAATTCAACTTCATTATTCTGCAGATCAGCAAGATTCACTTCAAACACATGACCCCTGATGCTGTCGGATGCAGTTTTATTTACTTGAGCCCTGGTGACTAGTGTCTTTCCAATATTTCTTATATTGAACATAGCAGGTGCTTTTACATCACACCATTTTTCTTAGCAAATGAATCAACCACTTCCTCCTTGGCTCCTTTTTGCCACCTTTTGTGAGGTGCTTGTTTTTGCCAACCACCATGATGCCACTCAGAGAGCCAGAAAGGCTAAAACCGATATTTGATAGTAAAGTGGGGTGAATATAGTTAACCAAAATATATTGTACACAGGGGATGAAAACCCTACATGTCCTGGCTTAATCATTACTCATTACATACATGTAACAAACTTTTACATGTTCCTCCTAAATTTGTAAAAAACTTAAAAAATTAAAAAGGAGTAAGAAAGAATAGGAAAGTAAAAAATTAAATATTTTCATTATGCCTATTATGTACACACTACCTGTGCTTTTTCAAAGCAACAGGCAGCAATGTGGTATGCTTAAGGAGTAAACACCATTACTGAGATGCAGAAATAAACTAGGGCTTTTAGGCATGGCCAAGTCTTCATCCCTTGATACTTTTCTACTGGTGCCAGAAAAACACAGGCCATCATTTTCAAGTGTATTTATGGCCAACTATATGATTTTACAATGTAGACAACATAGTTTAGTTAAATTTTAGAAAAGAAAGTAAATATCCTGAGATTATATCTACATATAATATTTAGTATTATCTCTCTATATCAATATTGCTGCTGTTATAAAAAAAAAAAAAAGAGAACAACCCTAATCACATTACTATGTGCTGAAGAAATTCTTTCCCACATTCTCAATTCATACTCTGGAACTGGCAAACGTTGTTATACAGATGATGACAGCATCTACTTAATGTGAGGCATCACAATGTACTCCATAGATATGTATAATTATTCTGTAATTATTCCATATCAATTAAAAACATAAAACCTAAAAAAAGTGAAAACACCCTCACACACACATAAACCATATATAGAACCTTTACTAAGTAGGATTTGATAATTGATGAAATGTGGGATGTGAATGAGAAGGATGCAATAGCAATGCCTATCATTTTGCTGTTGAGAGTGAAGGGGTGCGTGGTGGTGCTATGTTTTGATGTAGAGAAAAATAAGTACTAGAAGACAGTAAGATTGCAGGCAATAAACATCTCAAAATTCTGTTACGAATGCTTTTCTAAAATATGCCGATAATTTGGGTAAAAAATCTAAAAGAGGGCTGGGTGCGGTGGCTCATGCCTGTAATCCCAGCACTTTGGGAGGCCAAGGCGGGCGGATCACGAGGTCAGGAGATCGAGACCATCCTGGCTAACACGGTGAAACCCCGTCTCCACTAAAACTACAAAAAATTAGCCGGGCGTGGTGGCGGGCGCCTGTAGTCCCAGCTACTCGGGAGGCTGAGGCAGGAGAATGGTGTGAACCCGGGAGGCGGAGCTTGCAGTGAGCCGAGATCGCGCCACTGCACTCCAGCCTGGGTGACAGAGCGAGACTCCGTCTCAAAATAAATAAACAAACAAACAAACAAATAAATAAATAAATAAATAAAAATCATAAAAATAATCTACAAGAGATGTGTAGTGTGAAAGAAGACAGTTGATAATGACATATCTAGAGATAGTATTTGGAGATTCAGAATAAGAAGGTCATAAAGAGTGAACCATAAAAAGAGAAAAGTCTACAGTACAGAACCCTACAGGTAAAAGGCTGACAGGAAATAAACTGATCCAAGTTATAGAAGGAAAACCAGGGGGATGTGGTGTCAATGAAAAAAAGAAAATAGTGTTCTCCAAATACAGAAATTGTCAAGTAGATCAAACATAACTCAAAGGAAAAGCAAAGTAAAAGTCAAAGTGTATATATTGAATTTAGTGTCATGGAGATTCTTTTAGACTGGATTCCTCTTAAGGGCTGAGCCAGAAATAAGGAGGTGGGGGGCAAATAGTATATTTGAATAGGGATTCAAGCAACTTCTAGTTAGAAAAAAAGAAAGTATAATCTGAAAAGGAGAAATACCACTAATGTGTGGGTTAAGGTGTGGATTATCATTGTGGGCAATGAGGGCTTCATCCAGCAAGGGGGCCTCTGAGATATCATGGAGATCATGCCTCAAAATGGTCTGACTGAGGGAGAAGAAAGTTTGGACATTGATCTATGGGCTCTCTTCCCTCTGGTATTGAGAAGTCTCACGAATAGGGTAAATCCCTTGCACTTTCGAGCCATCCTAGAAATGAGCAAAGCAACTTTATGTGACATAGGAAAATGACACCAGGAAGGGCTGTGGGGAGTCACAAGCATTTGAGTTGGGAATGTGTCAATCATTTCATTGCAAAAATTGATCCTTAGTAAATACTAATATTAATGAAATGGAAGCAATAGAGAATAAGAAAATAAAAATATAAATAATGTTTTCTGAAAATGGAGGAGTGCATGAGATACAGAGCATTAGTGGAAGAAATAGATTAATATAGCAATGAATATAATAACTAACATTTATTTTAAAATTTCTATGTGCTAAGGATTATGTAAATGAGAAGCAAAATCCTTACAACTTTCTAGAAAGCTTTTATGCTTTATACAATATGAAAAATAATTTGGTTAGTAAACTAACAAAATTAACAAACAAATAGCATTTTTTTGCATGGTAAACTCAATCAAATTCATCTACTTTCCATCTTGTAAAAATGTATGAAATCAAGGTATTTCTAATACACTAAACAAAAGAAAGCATATTGAATGAGTTTATTCTTGTTTGTTCACATATTAAGAATAGTTTATCTAAAATTTTATTTGGTTAATAACAAAATCTATTTTCATTCAACCATGGGATCCATTAACATTTTACCTAGTATTATTATATACATAAAGCTATAAACAGCCATAAGGGAATAAAATGCATCCTGTATTTTAGTTGTTACAAATTTCACAGTAAGAGGTAGGAGAGTGGTAAAATGTATACGGTTGCAGTTAGTTAAATTTTTGAGGCTTTGTTTCTACTTGAAAGCAACACCTAGGTATTGTAAACTTCTTAAGATACCATTTTATAACAAGAAACTCTTGTATTTACCTATAAAAATCCAGTTTCAGATATGTAATCTCTCGTACTGAACATCAGAGAAACTAGATGTGCTGTCAGACAGTATTTGCGGTGGTAAGGATGAATGGGTAAAGTCTCTTGGGCCTCCTTTTTTGTCAGTTATTTTTAAGTTTTTCTTAGCTGTATCTGAGTGTTGTAAGTCCTTTCATCTTGTTGAAGGTTTCACAGAAACTAACTTGTTAAAACTACCTCACTCAACTCTGATAAGCAAAATAGTACTTTTGTTAATATAGCTTAATAATAGTCTTGTATTTCACTCCAGCCTGGGCGACAAGAGTGAAACTCCACCTCAAAAAAAGTCTTGTATTTAAAAATATGATACACTTTGTAATTTTTAAATAGTAATGACTTGCAGGCTTGAGCTTTTAACTGACTCTGCATATTCATTGACAGTTTACTGTTTTTAAGGTGCATAGATGCCCATAATATTTTGAGCTATTGTAAGTTATCAAAACTTATTAAAGGGGAAGAAAAAGATGCTTTGGATCAAATAGAGCATCAAAATGCTTAGCCCCCTGCCCACCACCATGGTGATGGGACCGACTGCGTGACCCCTTCCTTATTCTTTCCCTTGTTCCTGTGTTACATCGGAAATCCAGACCACAGATCTCACAGGTGGTCTCATTGCTGAAGTCCCTTTAAGAGTACCTGGAAATAACGAACCCAAATGGCCATCAATGATAGACTGGATTAAGAAAATGTGGCACATATACACCATGGAATACAATGCAGCCATATAAAAGGATGAGTTCATGTCCTTTATAGGGACATGGATGAAGCTGGAAACCATAATTCTGAGCAAACTATTGCAAGGACAGAAAACCGAACGCCACATGTTCTCACTCATAGGTGGGAATTGAACAATGAGAACACATGGACACAGGGTGGGGAACATCACACACTGGGGCCTGCCGGGGGGGTGGGGGGAGGGGGGAGGGATAGCATTAGGAGATATACCTAATGTAAATAACTAGTTAACGGGTGCAGCACACCAATATGGCACATGTATACATAGGTAATAAACATTCACATTGTGCACATGTACCCTAGAACTTAAAGTAAAATAAATTTTAAAAAAAGAGTACCTGGAAATGAGCAGCCAATAGTTGGGCTCAAGCAATAGGAAGTGAACGTACATTTTCAATGTGGTGACCTTGTCTAAAAGAATCTTCGCAGCAGGCAAAATGAATATTTTGTGGAAATGCAACTGAATAAAGACATAATTGAGAGGAAATGATAAAGTTAATGAAAATAAAAATGTTACAAGAATGGACTGAAACAAGGACTTTTTTGTAGCTAAAGAGCTTAATAAGCAATCTAGGAAATATCTGGCAAATCTCAAACCTGGAGGCTTTGGTCAAGATGCATTCTCCTTCCTTGCTCCTGTGGTTACCAATTTTAGGGGACAATTCTTTGTAAATATTTTTGTTTCTTCAAGGCCTGGGCTTTCTGACGAAAAAAGCACTGGCAAGCTTGATTAAAGAATGATTGCCTTAGCAATTGATAGAGTATTACTCCACAGAGACAAAAAAACTCACCTGCCCTAGAGCCATTTGCTCATATCCCAGGGCAGTAAAAATCTAGGCACCTTTCTTTCAGTTAAGGGGAGGTTGGGCCCACACACCAGCTGCCATCTGTGAGGTCTGACTCACATAACAGCAGGGTTCCTGTGACGTACGAACAACTGGGCATTTGGCTCTCACTGTGTCACTCCATGAGAGAATCAGGGTTTGAGGGGAAAAAGCACTCTGATTTTCCATGAGCGATAAACTGTTTGTTTTCTGATCCAGAGGTTGTGTGTTTCCTATAAACACACACACACACACACACACACACACACACTTTTAACAACCACTCACATAGGAGTTCTGTACTTGGTTTGTTACTCTGCATTGCCTTTCAATGTTGCCTGTGTCCTGATCCGCTGTTTCATCGCCTTTGCTCCAGATCCACTTCTTGACCTAGGTCCACTGCAACCCCTAGTTTTAAGCTCCATATGAATATGGTTCTTGACCATATTCAGCACAATTTTGTGCTTGGATTTAACAGCCCTTTTCATCCTGCTTCTATCACCCCGGGAACTCTGATTCTAAGCCCTGATTTCAGACGAACACCCAGTACTTGAAAGATCTTATTATGAAAATAGAGTATATTATTATTGGCTGTATGGCCAAGAAAGACATTTGGGCTTCCTGATCTTAATTGTATTAATTTGAAAAGGGGGATGATAATACTTACTTTTCTGTTAATAGTGTAAGGTACATGTGAAGAATAAATCAGATTTTTTGTGTAAAAATACATTGTAAACTATGAAACATTAAACAAAGATTTCTTATGATAATTAATATCATCATGCCAAACCTATGAATAGTTGCCCCAAAATTGACATTCCCATTTGCTAACTTTTCTTGTGCTCCATTACATAAATTCTAAGACTTATAGGTGAAAGTGAGTACCTATAGTGGAAATAAAAAATGTGGAAAAGATAGGGTCTAAGATAATAACAAAAATGTTTAGGAAAACACTAGGATTCTCATGTTAATTTTACATTAATGTCTTCATTTTTATGTACTATATTATGATTTATGCATTATGTTCATATGGTAATAAATGTATATAATTTTAACTATAGTTGATCAAAGCATCCTGCTTAACAGGTTATATATCAAAAAGGTTTGCAGCTCATCTGATATAAAGAAGTACAAAGATCTGTTATGTGTGTTTTAATAGACTGCTGTTAGAAGTACATTATGGAATCAAACTACCTTAAAATATGTGTATAACCATCTACATAATAATCCATACCTCTCATTTAGGAATATATTCAAGAGAATAAAGAGAGATAAGAATAAGGAATTATACTTAAGAATGTTTATTGTGATGCTATTTGTTAACACTTGGAAGAAAAATAAAACAAAATAGTCAACAAAAGGGAAAAGGATAAGTAAACACTATGATATCGTTAAGCTTATTAAAAGCAAATAAAATTCAATTTTGTAAAACACAGCTTATTAGAATTAAATAGTTTCAATTTTGCTTTTAATAATTATTATAAAGAATATTTATGAACACAGACGACTGTTCCAAAAATACTTCAATAGAAAAATAAAAACATGACTGCATATAATTAGGTAAATACATGTACTTACATATATATATATCTATATGTGTATATATGTGTATGTACATGTGTATATACATGCATTAAAATGTTATAAGTAGTTATCTTTAGAAAAGTTACACCCACTTGCTTGTTACTTCATTATCCATGTCATGAAATTATGAGTTCTCTAAATATCTCTAGATTTGATATAGCAAAATATTTATGTTAAAAAATTTCTCAAAATTTTATCCATTGGAGTTGTTGCATAAATACTGAATCTTCCAGAGTTCCTCTAGGCCAAGCTGCTGTTGGGAAGACTCCTCTGATAACACAACACTGGCTTCCCTCTCATGCTGCTACTTCACTGCTGGTGTAGTCTGGGCTCAGTCCGCAAATACACTCCTTGTTCTCAAATCCTTGTATCAGGCTTTACTGGAAAATTACAAATTCAGATATGTGATCAAAATTATAAGGTGGAAAGATAGATGCTATATCCAGGACTACTCCAGATTTTACTTGGATCCACCGTTCTTTCCTAATATGTATTATTCCTTGACAGTTTCACCAATAATCTATCATTTACATGAATATCAATACATATATCCATCAACTACATGAATATTTCTTTAAAATTAATATATTAAGATCTATTCGCTTTCTTGAGATTGAAACTTATATATTATTTCGTTGGACAACCTTTTATAATACTTTTACAAATCTTCTACATTGACCTGAAATGACATACCCAAAATGAAATTTTTAACTCCATTTTATCTCTAAGATGTGTTCCTCCTCTTGAATCCCCTACTTATCTTATAAGGTGTTACTTTTACTCATGTATGTACTATCTTTATTTTGCACTCATATTTGATAAGTCTTTTGCTTCTGCTTATTCAGGTATCTGTCCAAACAATAGCATATCCTTCTATATTTCCCAAGTGTGGAGTTAGATAATATGCCATGCTAAAGTAACCACAGGGGAGGTTACTTTAGTGAGTAATTACCTGGTTATTGAATTTCCCTGTATCTCCTTGCCTCCAGAGCACACATCTACTTCTCTATCCCACACAAAAACCTATGAATTACTGTGTCCTGTATAACAAGGATCCCCAACACCTAGGGCACAGACCTGTACTGGTCTGTGGCCCATTAGGAATCAGGCCACACAGCAGGAGGTGAGTGGTGGGTGAGTGAGCAAAGTTTGTCATCTTTATTTACAGCCATTCTCCAGTGCTTGCATTACCACCTGTCAGACCAGTGGCAACATTAGATATTCATAGGAGCATGATCCCTATTGCAAACTGTGCATGCAAGGGATCTCAGTTGCATGCTCCTAATGAGAATCTAATGCTTGATGATCTAAGGTGGAGCAGAGGCAGTGATGCTAATACAGATTAACATTAGCAGAGAGGTTTGACTGCACAGAGACAATGATAAATCAACTTCTTGCAGACTCATATCAAAACTCTTATCAGTGAGTGGCAAGTGACAAGCTGCATCTGGTGGCAGGCTTTATAGTGGCCAGTGAGTTGATGTACTTCAATTGTACAGCTGCATCTGGTGGCAGGCTTTAAGTCAGAATCCAACACTTATTTCAATCCATGTGTTGCCCACTCATTATTTTATTTACCACTTCCTTCTATGCCTCTTTCCCACACTATGCAATTGTCTCAGTCACAGTTTTGGTAAGCCCACAAGCTAACCTTATCCCAAATGAGTAAAAAACAAATATCACTGGAGAGCTTCTTTGAAAAGAGGAAAAGACCCAATAATGAGACAGCAGAAGACTCTAAGACTGCCAACAAAAAGAAAGTTGCATTTAAAAGAAAATACCAACATGCGATTCACATTCTCTGGGCCCTATCTCTATAATATGTGGTGACTGGCTATCCAATTAAGCCATGGAAGCTTCAAAACTGCTTCACCACCTGTTGCTCTGCAAGAAGACAGACACCTTGCAACAAAAGACAAGGCTTTGGAGTTTTTCAAAGAAAAGAAACTTGAACATGAAGAACAGAAGCAAGTATTGAAGGCCACCACTTCATTAAATGTGTCTGCATGGAGAGCATCATTCTTAGTGGCTAACTGCATTGCTAAAGGTAAGAAGCCCTTTACTATTGGTGAAGAGGTGATCCTGCCTGCTGCTAAGGACATTTGTCATGAATTTTTGGAGAGGCTGCACTTCAAAGGGTGGCACGTGTTTCTATTTTGGCTAGCACAAAAACTAAGTGAATTGATGAAATAGGAGAGGATGTTGAAGCACAATGGTGCTTAAGATTAAATGGGTTAATCTTAAGCACAATGGTGCTTAAGATTAAAAAGAGAAGATTAAATGAGTTACTGTAATACACAATTCAGATTGATGAGCCCACCAATGTTGACAACAAGGCAACAATGTTTGTTTTGTGTGATATATTTTTCTAAAGGATGTTCATGAAGATATGTTATGTGCACTTTTGTTGGCAACCAACACCACAGCTGCAGAACCATTCATGTCTTTGAATAATTACATATCAGGAAAACAGAACTGGTCATTTTCTGTCAGTATATGCACAGATGGAGCAGCTGCCATGACTGAACAGCTTTCTGCTTTCACTACTGGGGTTAAAGATGTCACTTCTGAATGTGGGTCTACACACTGTCATCTATAGAGAAGTGTTGGCTAGTCTAAAAATGTCACCAGAACTTAATAATGTTTGACAGGATATGATTACAATTATTAACCATATTAAAGTATTATACATGCCCTTAACTCGCATCTGTTTGTGCAGCTCCGTGAGGAGATGAATGCAGAGCACACACATTTCTCTTACACACAGGAGTGAGATGACTTTCTAAAGGTCGATCACTGGCATGGGTTTTCGAGTTACGAGGGCCACTCCAGAGATTTCTTTTAGAAAAAGAGTCACTACTAACAGCATATTTCAGTGACACAGAATGGTTGCAAAACTTGCTTGTTTGTGTGACACATTCAACCTGCTCAATGAACTCAATCTGTCACTATGGGAGAGAACAACTGTGTTCAAGTCGGCAGATAAAGTGGCTGCATTCCAATCCAAACTGGAATTATGGGGGTGATGCGTGAACATTGGGATTTTTGACATGATTCAAACATTAGCAGAGATTTTGAGAGACTGAACCAGGGCCTTCTTTCTCCTAGCAGGTGCATGATCACCTATCTCAGCTTTCGGAAGAATTTGAGCATTATTTTCTAACCACAAAAGACTCCCAAACTGGGGAGGAATGGATGCACTAATCATTTGTGAATAAGCCAGGTGAATGGACTTTGTCTTCTAGAAAAGGATCAATTGCTTGAGATCGCAGATGACAGCGACCTCAAAAGTATATTTGAGATTTTAAATCTCCATACATCCTGGATTAAAGTCAAGGAGAAATACTCTGTGATTGCCACAGAAGCACTGAAAAGTCTGCTTCTATTTCCAACTTTCTGTCTTTGTGAAGGAGGGGTTTCTGCGGTGACAGCAACCAAAACAAGATTATGGAGCAGACTGGACATAGCAACACAATTTGGGTGTCACTATTTCCCGTTGCCCTCAGATGGGACCTTCTAGTTGCTGGAAAACAAGCTCAGGGCTCCCACTCATTCTACATATGATGAGTTGTATAATTATTTCATTATGTGTTACAATGTAATAATAATAAAAATAAACTGTGCAATGAATATAATGAGCTTGAATCATTCCCAAACCGTCCCCCGACCCCTCCCTGCCCCAGTCCATGGAAAAATTATCTTCCACAAAACTGGGCCCTAGCATCAAAAAGTTTGGGGAATGTTGCTGTATAAGATGTAGAGGTTCAGGGTGACAGAAGAGGTCTTTATCTGGATTGAACTCTGTCACTGGAAATGAAGTGTGTACATCAACTAGTTAGTCTGGTGTTTGCCATATACACACATTCACCTCCCAGTTTCTTCTGTATATGTCCTTGGAACTTATCAATACTGTTCCCATCTCATAGAAGAAAACCTCCTCTACATATGTCTGGTTGTTGTTCTTTGCCTGCGGTTTACCTTTCAGAAGATTTCTCCACTTTTTATTTATGGATAGTTTGCCTAAATGTTTGAGTTTTGCTAGATTTATTTATTTACTTACTTAAATAAAAAAATTTTTCTTGAATTTCGTATGGGAAGAAGAGAGAAACATATGACTAATCCGCCAACTTAATCCCAGAAATTTGCCATTTGTCTTATTTAATTTAATGTAATGACTACCTACCCAATCACATGAGCCAGAAAACTAGCAGCCATTCTCAACCTTTTTCTCTTCATCTCTTAAATTGAAAAATGCAATCCTTATGTTTCATAAATATAAATTTCTCAATTATTTTAGAAATGATTTCTCCTGTTTGTTTCTGCCCTACTGCCATAATGTAATGCTTTATGTCTCATCGGAATTATTGTATTACATTGCAACTAATTTCTCTACTACAATTTTGTTTATCTCATATCCATTTTTCACATTACAATGAGAGCAATCTTTCTAAATGTCACTTCTCCTGTTTAAAATCCTTTGATGACCGATTGTCAAAACCGCATAATTAAGAATCATCTTGCTTACCAGATAGAGATAGAAATTTCTAAACTGCACCTCAGACTTACATTAAAACACATTAAAATGTCTGAGAGTAGATCATGGGACTCTATATTTTAATAGGTATCCCAGGTCACTCTTACCCATACTAAAGTTTCAGAACCACTGATAAATTCCTACAGAGTTAGCATGTCATAAAGGCTATCCATGAATCAGACTTAGCTCTTAACTTTCAGATCTCTAATTTATGTTAAAGTATTATTTTGTAGCTTATAGTAAGCCCCTACATCTATCTAAGTCACATTTTCATGTCTCTAGTCACTCTGGTCACTTTGCCTGGCATGCTCTTCAGCCCATCTTCACCCAACCGACCCCTACTCAGCCTCCATGAGTCAGTCCACACATTTGTCTAGGAGTCTTCTGAGGCCAGAGTAAGTGTTCTTCTCTCTGCATTCAAGACATTATTTTAATAATTACACAAATTTTATTGTGTACATTTGTTTTTGTATGCATACAAGAAATTTTACTGTATGCATATTTAAAAGTTTGTCTTGCTTATTAGAAATATTTATAAAATTTATTTTTTAGTTTATAATGCTTAACACATTTTCTAGAATAAGTTAGAATTTAATAAATATTTGTGAACTAGCCTTTTAAACTAAATAGTCTATTACTAGCATTTTAATAAATGTATACACATTAAAATTTAAATCCAAATGATATAATGTATTTATGCTACTTATTTATTTATTTACTTTTTACTTTGTAGTGGGTATGCAGAGCAAACTATTCACTACAAAATGTCTAACATGAAATAATGACTTCAGTTCCCAGAACTGCAGACTCATCACCTGAATTTGCTTATCTTTAGTTCAGTACACCTCTGAAAGACATATACTTACAGTTTAATTAGAAGTATTGGATCTCAAAGGAAGCAAGGAATATGTGAAATTCATTTGTAGGAACTGTTCAAACTGCAAAAACATATTTCATATATATTTGCTTTTAGATGACCCGTCAAATTCTAAATATATCCTATTTTCCTTATTAAATATATTCACACCTTGTACAAATATGATTATGAAAGTTTTAGTAAAATATTTACTCTTATTTTATCACAAACATCAAGAATGTTCTGAAGTATGTGTGTATTTACATATTATTGTAACAAAGCACACAATGTGATTTATAATAAATCTCAGGAAAAGCTTTGCTTCTGAAATAGGCTGATTATACTGTTGTGTTGAATATGACTTTAACATATTCTGATTGATTCCCTATTTTCTGTATTGTAAAATAGAAGATGAAAACTTGGATCTTAATATAAACCACAGAATCAAATATGGTTATAAAGAATGCCAGCTATCTTACTTTATTTTTATTATTTTTTTTAGATATTGGCAAATGATAATTGTATATATTTATGGGGAACAAATTAATGCAAATATATATATATATATGTACAATGTACAATGTAGAATGATTGAATCAAGCTAATAAACCTGTCCATCACTTTAAATACTTATCATTTATTCCTCCTGTCTAAGTGAAACATTCTACCTTCTGACCAACATCTCCCCATTTCCCCCACTTTCCAATCTCTGGTATACACCATTCTGATTTCTATTTCTATGTGTTTGATCATTTTAGATTCCACATATGAGTGAGATCATGCAGCTTTTGTTCTTCTATGCCTGGTTTGTTTCACTTAACATAATACCCTTCACGTTTATCCATGTTGCCAAAGATCGGTGTACAAGGATTCCCTTTTCTCCACATCCTTGCCACAGACACGTAGACCAATGGTACCGAACAAAGAGACTGGAAGTCCACTCACTCATTTATAGACAGTTGATTTTTGACAAAGGTGTCAAGAATGTACAAAGGCAAAAGAGTAGTCTTTTCAGGAAAGGATGTTAGGACAACTGGGATATCCATATGTAGAAGAATGAAATTAGACCCCTATCTCATACCACATGCTAGAATCAACTCAAAATGCATCAAATACTTAAATGTAAGACTTAACAAAATGAAATCACTGGAAGAAATCATAGGGAAAAACTACAACATTGGTCCAGGCAATAATTTTTATTTTTATTTGGATTTGATCCTAAAAGTTAAGGCAAGAAAATCAAATATAGAAAAGTGGGATTTCATAAAATATACAAGCAACCACAACAAAACAGAATGTGAGGCAATCTACAGAATGGAAGAAAACATTAGTAAGCTGAATATCTTGTAAAGGGTTAGTATCCCAAATATATAAGAAACTCAAACAATGCAATAGCACAAAAACAAAAACAAAAACAAAAAAACCTATTAAAAATGGGCAAAGGACCTGAATAGACATTTCGCAAAAGGAAACATGCAAATAGCAAACAATGCTGCTCTGTGTATGGAGTAGTCATTCTTTTATTCCTTTGCTTTCCTAATAAACTTGCTTTTACTTAAAAAAAAGGTGAACAGATATATGAAACAAATGGTCAATATCGCTCATTGTTAGTGAAATCCAAATTAAAACCACAATGAGACATAACCTCACAAAAGTTATTATCGAAATTATTATTATCAAAAATATGAAAGATAATAAGTGTTGGGGAGGTTGTGGAGAAAACAGATGCCTTAGTTTAAATCAATAATATTATATCAAGAGTTCTTAAAGAAATAACCAGTTGCCAATACTGTGGTCTAAAAGAGAGTTAGATGAGAGGCAAAAGTGAATATAAAAAGGAACCCACAATTTGTGGGAAAGAAAAATCTGAAAATAAACACAGTACTGCATGATTTAAATGGTCATTAATTTCTAGGAGAGGTGATTTGTGTGTGTGTGAGTGTGTGTGTGTGTGTGTGTGTATATGTGTGTGTGTAAGAGAAGAGCTATGAAAAAATATTTTGCCTGAAATTCACTTGAGCAAAACCTGATAAAGTCAAATTTATCCTTATAAACTTACTCAAAGTTTACTCTGCAAGAAAAGTTAAATTCTTTTTTGGCTGAATTAGATGCTAGGTAAAATAACTCTTCTTAATTTTTCCCCAAAGCTTTACTTTTCTCTTTTTAAAAAATAGTAATCCAAATGCTCTTAGTTTGTTTTCTAATGTTTTCTACCAAGCCAGCAATCAGAATGCAAATCCAGAGCTCAAAGATATCTTATAAATGTATGAGCCATTCTTATGGTTATACCATTTAGTTATTGCATCTATTCACTGCAAGGAGTTTATCTGGGGTTTTTAGTTTTCTTACCACCTGCATTTTCTGGGCACAACACAATGTAATTGTAAAATCATAAATATCTTACTAACATGAAATAGCCAATTCAAAATTATGTCAATCCAGTGGAGTAAAACTCTCCCAAACTGTTCTAAAAAATTGTGTCCCTTATCAGGTATATATATAGATTAGAATTAATTATGTTATCCAGAAAAATGTTGTCTATCTATGATTGAAAATCTAGAGTCATCACATATAACACATTTTTGCCTTTTAGGAACAGGAAAAATTACAGGTATAGATATATATAATATATATAATAGGTATATATAATATATAATAATATGTTATATATGATAAAATATATATTATAAAATATAACATATTTTATTTTGTAATAATATAGATTTTATTTCTATTTGTAATTTTTATGGGTACATAGTAGGTATATATATTTCTGGGACACATGAGATATTTTGATACAGGCTTGCGATGCATAATAATAACATCAGGGTAAAGGAGGTATCCATCACCTCAAATATTTCTCCTTCTTTGTGTTATAAACAATCC
This sequence comes from Homo sapiens, assembly GCF_000001405.40. Taxonomy (NCBI): domain Eukaryota; kingdom Metazoa; phylum Chordata; class Mammalia; order Primates; family Hominidae; genus Homo; species Homo sapiens. The sequence continues at coordinate 188,679,960 of NC_000001.11, read as the reverse complement.
CATTACATTATTTCAGTTATTTTAAAATCTACAATAAATTTTTGTTGACTATAGTCACCTTATCAGTTATAGCAAGCTATAGTAGTTTTGTAATGTGTTTTGTTTACATGTCTATCTCTTTCACTAAATAGTTGGCCAGGTAACATCAAAGTATTATATTATCTTCATGATGCACCTACATTATTTATTACTGTATTTAAGTTTCTTTTCCAGTTTTTGCCAAGCAATTTTAAATCTGTAGAAGTAAGCGATCAATACTGATTACTCAGGCTCTTAAAATATTCTCAAAATTATAGTTGCAAGAAATTATCGATTAATATAGAACACACAACATGGCACCAACTCTTGACTGTCTAAAGAGCAAACTATACTAAATATAGAATCAAAAACATATCCTACAATTAGCCAAAATCTATCAAAAACAAAATACTTACAGAGATTTCCATTGAATTTTCCACAGAAAAAATGCCAAAATCTAATATTATGTGATTAGACAAAAGTAAAAATAACACTTCTTAAACACAAATAGCTTATACCAACAAATTCTAAGAAAGATTAGAATAAATTATGCTATCAAGAAAAACGTTTTTTGTTAATGTTCCTATAATGTTTTCTATTTATAATTGAAAATCTAGAGTCATCACATATAATGTATTTTTGCCTTATAGAAACAGAAACAATTATAATAGTCCCTCCTTATCCATGGGGGATACATTCTGAGACTGTCAGTGGATGTCTGAAACTAGGGATGGTACTACATTCTCCATATACTTGTTTTTCTTATGTATACATGCCTGTGATAATGTTTAATTTATAAATTAGGCAGGGTAACAGATTAACAACACCAATAATAAAATAGAACGATTATAACAATATGCCAGCATCACTACTCTTGCACTTTGGAGATACTAGGTAAAATAAGGGTTATTTGAAGACTAGCACTCACTGCAATATTGCTACATTCTATCTGATAACCTCGGTGGAACTAAGGGGCTGGTAGCATATGTAGCATAGATATGCTTGACAAAGGGATGGTTCATGTTCCAGATGGGAGAGAGTGGGGCAGTGTGAGATTTAATCATGCTACTGAGAATGGCACAAAATTTCAAACTTACAATTGTTTATTTCTGGATTTTTCTATTTAATATTTTTAAACCATGGTTGACTGCAGGTAACGGCAATGGTGGAAGACAAAACCATAGGTAAGGGGTGACTGACTACTATAATAATGCCTAGGATTTCTAGGACAGCACATATAATTTACTTCCATTTGTCTCTTTTTATATCTATCCAAACCTTATCATAAATTGCTATAATATTGTGAAAATCACATTTGTTCATCTAAATATTGATGTGTTTTTTGTTAACGAATTCTCATTATCATATCATAATTCTCAGTCTTCTACTAATAATGCAAAAGTACTAATTCAATAATAATTTTAACAAATTTATTCACCTAAATGTGTACTGGAATTTTACTTTGAAGCTGAATGCTTTACTTCCATTTACCCAACATTTGCATATATAGTGCTTAAATCATATACACAAACTTTTATTAATTATACCTATACTTCTGAAGAATACTGCATGTGGATACACAAAAGCACATTGAAGAACACAGTGTAATATACAAATATATTGCCTTAATCAAATAAAACCTATCAGTTTCATATTGTTATATATATTATTAAATCCACATATTTACAGGGCAGTAAAAATAAACTTGACTGTTTTTAAGATCACTATGGAAGACAATAAAGCATTTTATACTTGATTTCAATTTTACAGAAATATAATTTATGTTAGAAAAACTTGCCTATTAATGGTCAGATTGTTTGGTACTCTTGAAAAACCTGTAACACTGATTTGTCAGGTAGATTCTTATTTTTCTATACCCAAGAATGTTTATAATTAAATTCTTAGAAACAAAAGCAAAAACTAGAAAGCAGAGCTATAGTAAAATGATTTTTAACTATACATAATATAAACAGCACTGAGGGATGCAAATTATTGTTGGTATATTCTAGTTAAATTAAAAATGAAATTGAATATCATAATATTTACAGTAGTTTCAGCCAGATTCATTACTTTTTTGTTTACACTACATGAGCATTCTGTGTATGCTCTGGGTATTTAAAGCTGCATATATTTGTGCATATGACAGAACCAATTTATATGTTTAGATCCTCAGCTGTGTTTTTGCAATGTAATTACAAGTAAGGTTTAATATTTTGTAAATGTTTAAATAAATGTAAAAATAGAAAAATCCTGAAGTCACATTACAGAATAGCAATTACATTTCTGAATGTTAGCTTGTCTTTTCTTAAATGGTGTATTAAATAAATGTATAATTTATTAGATTATTTGATATGTATGTCCTTATCTAGCAAAGGTTTCATATTGATAACAGGAACATGTGAAAAATTCTTAAAAGAACATTTTAAAAATGATGCTACAATCATTTATTGGGCAGTCCCATCTTGTCTGCTTATATTATTTTGTATACTGTTGTGTGGCTGCTGATGTGAAAGTAAGAATTACAGGACTTAAATTAAAAAAAAAACAAACTCTGTACTTATTTTTAGTACAAGTTCTGCCTGTTTTAACTTAGAAAAAAAATTCAACTTTTTGTTCTGGGGTAAAGTTATTCCTTTATGTATGCATATAGCATCATCATTGTGATTCTTAGTCAATATATCTTGACACTGATATAATTCCTGTGACCTTTCTAATACTTCTCATGTTTCTATCATGTTTCTATTTAGTGTTCAATAAAGTGACTGCGGTAACAGAAATCCTTTGCTTATATTGAAGTTGTTTGCTTCCCCCCTTCCCATAGGGAAAATCATTGTACGAATCTCAAAATACTATTAGATGAAATAAATTTTTAATGTACTCAATATCTGATAATTTATGCATGAATTACTTATTTTGTAAGTTACACATTAGTCTATCTGTACATCCCCTGGTCAATTTTTAGAAATATTCTTCATTTTTAGATCATTTGGAGTTCTTTATACTGTCGCTCTTAAGTGCTCCACAACTCCATTACATTTGTATTCTCACATTTTTATCCAATCTCTAATTTACTAATAGGATCTTCTTTTTAAAGGGAAAAACATTTTTTAAAAAATATATTTTTATGTCTTCTAAGTGCATTATCAATAATCACATCCTTGTCAAATAATGCACTCAAATTTGAATCTTTAGTTGACATCTTCAAGATAAGTTTCTATTGATTTCTCCTTCAGTCTCCAGTGCTCTCTTCCCTTGGCCTATGGCTCCAGATACCTGTTTTGTTTGTTTGTTTGTTTTTGCCAACCCTGGAATAGTCTTTCTTGGTCTTGCGTATTCCTCATTCCCTACCAAAGTCTATTTCTATTGTAATTGTTTCTATCTATTTTAAGTCATTATTATCCCTCTTTTGAATTGCTGCAGATTTTTTCATTACTATTCTCGTTGTCCCTGGCATTTTCTCCTTCTGAAATAATATTCTGTGAGAATCTTGCAATTGTTTATTTACCTTAGCTTACCCCTTGTGTCATGGTATTAAAATTGCCAATTCACTTGTCTTTTACACATGTCGACAAGGAATTCATAGGAGGTGATACCGTGTCTTTCTCATCATTATATTACTAGCACAAAGTAAAATGTGTGAAACATAGTATAAGCAAAAAATATCTTTTCAATGAATACCTTCCTTGGTCTTCTATTCAAATTGCTATCTTGGTTTTGTCTATGCTTTCATCATCATATTTCTCAAAATAACATAATTACCAATTGCTTTCATTGCTTTATGAATCACACACTTTAACACCATGCAACATGGATTTTGCTGTTATTATATTTAATCTGCTCTTCCACAAACTGTCAATGTTGCAATGCTATTATTAACTAACAATTCTCTGTATTTTATTGCTAAAATGAAGAAGGCAAAACAAATTGCCATCTTCCCCAAACTGAATTCAACAAACATCAAGTTAGTATGCATATTGGATTCTATTTCCTCCTAGGCTCTTATGTAAAAGGTGATTAACAAGTTTTTAATTAATTAATTCAATATATATCATTGAATTCCTGCTATGGGATATGGACTTGAAAGAGAACGAGGCTAGAGAAGTGGCTAAAGTGGATACTGAATCCACATTAAGTTTATGTTAAAGTTAGAATATATAGTTATAGGTTAAATAAGTGAAAAATAATATACCTTATAAAGAGGGAAGAACCAGAGGCTTTCTGGGATATAACATAGGAGACCTAAACCTTTGTAGGGGTTAGGAGGAAAGTACAAAATCCTGAAAGTGTGGAAGTTAGTGAAGACATGATTTATTTAAAAAAAATACAAGATTGAGAGCTTATAAACCTGAATGAAAGAATGGCTGCATAAAATTAGAACAAAGAGTTTCATTTGGTACAACTTCTATTTGAGGTGCTAGTGACCACTTAAGTGTCAAGTTCTGAGACATAGTTAAATATAAGGGTGTGTGTCTCAAGAACTAGATCTGGACTATAGAAGTAGATCTGGGTGACTTCGGTATGAGATGACAATAGGTTACTTGAGAGTAGGTGCCTTCATCTGTGGAAGCTTTAATGAGTGAAAATCAGAAGGCCTTAATCGTAGTTCTAATCATTCCTCAACATTAACCAGTAAGCAAATGAAGAGTGTGTGATATGCAGCCAGAGAGACAGATGGAAAACCAGGTTAAGGTATTTCACGGGACACAAATAAATAAATGTTTTCAGAAGAAAGATGTCAACAGTTCTAACATTTTGAGGGGGTGAAATTTGTAATAATTGAAAATTGTCCATTGAATTCCTTGTCATGGATTTAATAAAACTACTTTTGTTTAAATAAAGAGAATGAATGTGAGGATGTAATGAGATGCTTTGAGGTAGCTGAGGACAGGGTAAAAAAGTAAATGTAAACACTTTTCAAAGAAATTTGGTTGTTAGAAGGAGAATAGAAGAGCCTGGTGTCTGCAGGGATACTGAGGGAAAAAAGTCAATAAAGGGAAATGTGTGTAACCATAAGTGGAAAAGAAGCTCATTGAAATGTTTAGGTGGCTGAAAAAGACGGGATATGAATAAAAGCACAGATGGTTACATTGAATTTAGGAGAAGAGAATCTTGTTACACCATAATCAAAAAGAATTAGGAAAGAATGGCTTCAAGTACTTACTGTACCTGTGTTTTGGGTATTTAGTAGCAGGAAACTGAATAAAATAAAATAAAATAAAACCAATAAAAACTCTGCCCTCAAAGAACCTTTCCTTTTTTAAAACTTTTTCTTTGAAAATATGAAAGCTTTATTAATTACTATTCATATTTATGTAAAAAATGAAATTGAGGTGGAGGGACTTGGATCTATGACGGGAGATAGTTGATAAGCTTAGCGAAATTAAATTGCTGGAGAGTGTGGAGGCAATATTGGAGAGTAAATGTACAGATGCTGTGAAAATGTCTTAATTAGCACTGAATAGGTCAGTGATGAAGACACACAGTTGGTTCTGTCCAACATTTTGTTTTGTTCATCTTTTTTGATAGAAGACAGTTGATAAACTGAAATTAGTATTTGGGTAAATTAGTCATTGCTTGGTTGTAGTGCAAATTCTAAGTTGAGCATTTTCTTTCATTACACTGAATTCTAACAGTAACACTTCACTTTTTATTAAGTACTAATTACACCTGTACTTGTATTTTAATTTTTTATTGATAAATATTTTACATAAAGTAAAAATATACATGTATTTGATGTCCTCTGTAATGCTTTTAAATACATTCTTACAACTATGTAAACCATACTGCTATCAAAATAAAGAAAACACCCATTGGCCTGGAAAGATTCTTCATGAACATTCCTTCCATTTCCTCACTTATAAAGACTTCTACTATATTGATTTCTATCAAAATGGATTGGTTTGACACATTCTAGTATTTTACAAGGATGGAATTCTACAGCGTGTACTCATTTGTATTTGCTTCTTTCATTCCTCATAATAATCAGGATATTCACTCACATTGCTTCATGAATCAGTAATGCATTTATTTATTCTTACATCATATATCACAATTTGATTATCCTCTTTTGGTGAATCAATATTAAGATAGTTTTCAATTTAAGGCTATTACATTAAAAAGTGCTTTAAATGTACATGCCTTAGGATTTCTGTTTTCATTTGTCCTGTGTACATACTTAGGAGTGGAAATGCTGTCATAGGGTTATTTTGTTAAAAGTACATAAGGCACTGAATGTCAGTTTTTTTCTAAAGTAATTTTTCTACTTTATACTTCTGTTAGCAATGTTTGGAGATTTCTTCTTCCACATCTTTTCTTTTCTTTTTTCTTTTTTTTTTTTTTGAGACACAGTTTCACTCTTGTCACCCAGGCTGGAGTGCAATGACAGGATTTCGGCTCACTGCAACCTCTGCTTCCAGTTTCAAGCAATTCTCCTGCCTCAGCCTCCCGAGGTAGCTGGGATTACAGGCACCTGCCACTGCACCCAGGTAATTTTTTTTTTTTTTGTATACTCACGTGACATGCAGTTTCACCATGTTGGCTAGGCTGGTCTTGAAATCCTGAACTCCGGTGATCCACCTGCTTCTGCCTCCCAAAGTGCCGGGATTATAGCCATGAGCAACCACACCTGGCCTCTTGTTCCACATTCTCATCAAAAATTTTTGTCAGTGCTTATTCCATTTTATTGGGATTGTTTGTCTTATTTTTCATTTCTAGGATATCTAAATATATTTGTATGCTTTGGAAAAAAGTATATATATATATATACAAAGTAATTCTATATATATATATAGAGAGAGAGAGAGATCTCAATATCTAGAAAGTGTATATTTAGAGAAAGAAAGGCTTCTATATAAAAATATATGTTATATAGAGAGAGGTTTATCTCTGTGTATAGAGATAAACATATATGTAGTTGGCTATGGTAAAATGCCACAGTCTAGGTGATTTTAAAAAAACATAAATTTATTTCTTAGACTTCTGAAGGCTACAGGTCCAAGATGATGGTGTTAACAGATATATATATATAATACATATACTCCCTTATATGTGTTTTGCCTATGTCTTTTAAAAATATCCTTTGGTGAACATAATATTTTAATTTTCGTGGAAAATTTATGCTATCTATATTTTTTGCTTTCGGGTCCAATTTAAGAAAATTGGCCACCAAAAGTTTTGGAAGCTATTGTTCTCTATTTTCTTCTGAAAGCTTTATAATACTTATATTTATATTTAGCTCAATAATTCATCTCACGTTAGTTTTTGTTATATGGTGTGGAGTAAAGAATGAGGTTCAATTTTTTTTTCTATATGTAATACATTTTTCTAGTAATTTTGTTACTGGAAGTTCTGCATTGGAATGGATCCTTTAACCAAGGAGATCAAGAGCCAGAGCTGTGGATTGGCAATCTCAGTTCTTTTTAAAGTGAGCAAAGAACTGCAAACTGACACCAAAATGCAAGCTCAAAACAAAGTTTATTGAAGCACAGCAATAAACTCTCAGTAGGAGAGCAGGCTGAAGTGAAATCAGCCCCTCTTTATAGAGCTCAGGGTGCTTTTATGGGCTTTGAGGAGAGGAGTTGAGGCTTGGACTGTGTTTGAGTGACAGAATGAAGTCATTTGATTGGAAGTTTATGATTATATAACTGAAGTTAAACTGTGCATGTTTTTGTCCATAATTCCTTAAGAAAAGCCTATTCAGGGGGCAAAAATTGCATATAAATTGCATATAATGACTGTATAATGAGGATGGGGTTACCTGAGGTTACAGCCTAGATGGACTGGACATGTGCCATTTTAGTGGATTTTCATCTTTGCCCCAGGTTTTCATTGCCCAAGATGTGCTGGCCACAGATGTTCCCACAAACTCCATCCATTAGGTTGGGGTTAAGGTGGTCTTGTGGCTGAATTTAGGTGGTGCTGGGCCTGTCTTAGTGACAGCCCCTCTGCTTTCTTCTCTCACACCTTCCCAGCTGCTGATGTCTGTCTAACTACTTAATATTTCCCCCTCAAGAGAAAAGAGACCCAATTCTTTGTGTATATGGATGATGACTACTCTGGCTACTTCAACTTGGCAGGGAGGCAGTGGTTTGACAGGGTCCCTCCTCTTGCTTTCTTTCTGCTGGAAGGTTGGGCAGAGGAGTGTGATGATGGTCCAAGGGGCCATGAGACATGATTGGAACTTCATGGTAACCTTGTAGGAGTATTTGGAGTTTTTTGGATTCTAGACTGGAAGAAACAAAACAAATTCATAAATTAAATAAGTATGGCCTAAAAACTACAAGTAGTAAAAAGACTACTATAGGACTGAGAAAGGGGGTTAACTAGCAAAATGAGGACCAGATGTTGAAGTTTCATCAGTCAAAGCTTCCCAAAAATCCTTCCTCCATAAATTTTTGACCTTGTCTGTAATGGTTTTTAAGTTGGTTTGTACTTTACCTGATTGGTTGCCAAAAAACCAGTAGTCTTCATTAAGCATTATGCAAATTACCTCTTGATTGGTCATGAAAGAATCTAAAGCTCATTGGTTTTGTAAGACTATGCCTGCTAATGAAGTGATCTGTTCTTGAATGGTATTGATTTGGTCAGCTAGATAAATGATTCATTGAATAATTTCTACAGAGAGTTTGGGGCAGTAAAAATGGAGTTGAGGACTCCAGCTCCTGTTCCCATACCATCCAGAATGCCAATTGCAGTCAGTGCTGTTAAAATGTCCCTTTTGGCTCTAGCTATTGAGTGTGTACAGGGAAGGGAATGCTATTGTTGATGACAGTGAATTTGGGTAAACTAGGGCGCAGATTCCTGTCCAGCGAGCATGTAAGCAGAGATATGCCCTGTCTCCACACAGAAAGTAAATGGGATTTGCCAGGTTAAGACAATGTCAATAGTGATATTGAAGTGTGACTCACACACCATGCTGTGTGAGTCAGCTTCAATACCCTCATAAGTGGAAGCCAAGGCCATGCCAGGTAATGGGGAAAAACAGGCAGGGCTTGATGGAATGAGAGAGGACTTGAAGACCCAACTAAAAGAAGGAATGGTGGCATCCCAGCCAATAACATGGAATTTTGGGGAGCTGAGTTTTTTGCAATTATTATTTCACCTGGAATTATGTGGCTGAAATCAGAAGTTGTGATGTCTAAAAGGACATTCTGGTTAGGGTTTGGGGCAAATAGTAGTACCAAAGTAGCTGGCTTGTTTCTCTATGGTTGGTTATGTTAGGGGGATTGGGGAAATGAATAAAATAGAAAGCAGATTCAGAATAGTAAGTATGTCCATATTCTTTTTTGTCAGTGATTAAGTTGACCCATAGTCCGGTGGAGGATAGGGCAAAAGTATGATCACAAGCCTGAGAAATATTAGGAAAAGATCCAAGTAATGGATCGACGAAGATATGAGACAAAAAAGTGCTTGTCCTGCAAGCATTACAGATGAGAATACAGGTCCTTGGAGGTAGTAATGGTTTTGTTGGTAGACTATTGAGGAGTATGTGATTGACTGTGGCCTTGTCCTTGGGATTGATAGCCCATCCTGGTGGGTCAAAATAAGTGGGGGCTGGGAAGGTTTCTAACTGACTCCATTCAGAAGCAGGAATGGGAATGGTTAATAAACTTCACTAGGGGAGGTGTTAGTGCAGACTCCAGAATATTTGTGAGGTTTTGTAGTCTATTTAAAACCTCTTGGATGGTAGGTCAATACGAGTGTTGGGAAAAGATGTTAGAATGATTGTAAGGGTTAATATAGTTAAGAGAGCAGAAGTATTCATTACTGATTTTAAAAGAGCCATTTTAGCATTAAAAAAATGATTCCACCCACTTGAAAGGAGGCAATTGAATTGCAAATATGTGAAAATAATCATAACAATCCAGCTCAGAGCCTTTATGCAAAAAGGCACCAGAGAAATTCAGAGGGCATTACTTATCTTTTGGCTGTCTTTCTATAGATGCTTAAGATCCTCTAAAGGCTCACAAGTGTATTCGTCTGTGGAGGCATCATCAGTTTTGGCAGCCATCCATGGTTTTACGCAGGAGTGATGGATCCAGCTGGCAATCTCTGGCACTTTAATAGCTGTGGGAGAAGAAAGTAAAACAGGATATGGTCTTTTCCAAGCATGTTGGAATTGGGAAGCAGGAGAACCATACTTCCAGGTTTTGGGAAGTACTGAAGTTCCTGGGCATAAAGATTAAGAGCAGGCCTTGGGGAAGGAAGATTTTTTTTCTTCTGTATTCCTGTAAGGCCTGCTGAAACTGTTCAAGGGAAGTGACATATGTGACAATGGAGGAAGTATCAATGTCAACAAGATGATATCCTTGCAGGAATAGCCTGCCATAAAGCATTTCATAGTGGCCAAGGTTGAGAGTGGCCTTTGGAGCCATCCTGACTCTAAGGAGGGCTATGGGGAGAGCTTCCTTCCAATTTTGGGAAGTTTCCTGAGTTATGTTTCTTAGGGTATTTTTAAAGTATTGATTGGCTTTCTCTACTTTTCTGAGGATTGAGGCCTCCAAGCAAAATGGAGGTGGTATTTAATCCCCAAGGTTTTGGAGATTTGTTGAACAACACAGGAAACAAAAGCAGGTGTGTTGTCACTTTCAAGGAACAATAAAAGTCCAAACCTGAGAATAATCTCTGATAGAAGTTTTTTTTTTTGTGTGTGTGTGTGTGTGTGTGTGTTAGGTGTATAACTCGGTGTACTATCTTTATTTATTTATTTATTTATTTATTTATTTATTTTTTATTATTATACTTTAAGTTTTAGGGTACATGTGCACATTGTGCAGGTTAGTTACATACGTATACATGTGCCATGCTGGTGTGCTGCACCCACTAACTCGTCATCTAGCATTAGGTATATCTCCCAATGCTATCCCTCCCCCCTCCCCCCACCCCACAACAGTCCCCAGAGTGTGATGTTCCCCTTCCTGTGTCCATGTGATCTCATTGTTCAATTCCCACCTATGAGTGAGAATATGCGGTGTTTGGTTTTTTGTTCTTGCGATAGTTTACTGAGAATGATGGTTTCCAGTTTCATCCATGTCCCTACAAAGGACATGAACTTTGTAGGGACATGGATGAAATTGGAAACCATAGAAGTTTTTGAGCAATCTCTGAGGCCCTCTCAGTTCATGAAGGGAAGGCCTCAACCCAGCCAGTAAAAGTATCCACAAACATTAAGATATATTTATGTCCTTGGTATGGAGGTACCATAGTAAAATCCATTTGCCAGTCTTCCCCAGGGTAGGACCCATGTTTTTGAGTGGAACTAGTTAAAGAAGGTGTTTTGTTTCCGTGGGGATTGTTGGTTATACACACAGGACACAAGAAAACTACCCTACTGACAACACGGTTTAGTCCTTTTCCAAGAAGATTGGTGTAACCATTTGAAATAAGGCATCTCTCCCCTTGCGGCTGGCTTCCTGAGGAGACTTGATAAATTTCCATTAACAGGACTGTGCCAGGTGAGTTAAAGAATTGTTGTGGTACCATCCATCTGGATCTGGGTGAAACCCATGGGCAATAGCTCATTTGATTTCATCTGGAAAGTAGACAGGTGGAGGAAGGGGCTGGAGAGAGGAGACCAGGGTACTGTGGAGAACCAGAGACTGCAAGGACACTTGGCGAGCAGTCTGCTCCACAAACTGGTTTCTCTTAGCCACCTCATTCATTCCCCTCTGGTGGCCTTGGTAGTGTACTACAGTCACTAGGGAGGGCTTAAGAATTGCCTCTTAAAAGAGAGAGAATTTGAGGCCCATACTTGATGGGGCTGTTGTAGGCATTTAGGTAGCCATGTTCCTTCCAAATGGCAGCACGGGCATGAAAAAAAAAGGAAACTTGGAGTCAGTTTAAACATTAAGCAACTTGTTTTCAGCCGCAGTTAGGGATTGGGCTAGAGCAATTATTTTAGCTAACTGGGCTGAAGTTCCTGGAGGAAGAGCTAGGGCATCAATGACCTGTGTTAGAGAGACCACAACATAGCCAGTCTTTCTAGTGCCCTCATAAACAAAACTGCTCCTATCTGAAAACCAGATTTCTTCAAGGTTCTGTAAAGGTATGTCAGTTAAGTCTGGTTGAGGCATCGTAAACTGTGATACTATGTCCTCAGACAAGTGGACAGTCTAGTCTTCCTCAGGGAGGGGGAGCAGAGTAGAGGGATTTAAGGAAGGGAAAACTGAAACTTTTAGATCTGGATTTTCTAAGAGCAGAGCTTGGTATTTAAGGGTTCTGCTGCCCGTTAGCCATAAATGGCCTTTTCCTTCTAGAAGGGAAGTGACCTGATCAGAAAGGTATACAGTGAGAAGCTATGTTAAAATAAGCTTAGAGGCTTCTTCTATTAGCAGGGAGAGAGCCACAATAGCCCTTAGACAACTAGGCCTTCATTGTGGCACTAGGTCCAGCCTCTTTGACAGGTATCCAACAAGTCTTTGGAGGAGTCTTAGTTCTTGCAAGTATGCCCCAAGAGCAATTCCTTGCTTTCCTGCTATGTGGAGTTGAAAAGGCCAATTGACCTTAGGGATTCCTAAGGCTGGAGCCTGGGATAGTAGAGCCATTAGCTGTTGAAAGGCTTGTATTTGATTTGGACCCCAAATTAAAGGCTCAGAGTCAAAATGACCTTTTAAAGCTTTGTAAAAATGGCTGAGTCCTTAAGCTGTAATTGGGGATCCAAAGTCTATAATACCCAGTGAGACTTAAAAAAGCTTGAAGTTTCTTCTGGGTAGTTGGCTCAGGCAGGTCTAGAATTCCCTGGACCCTGTCAGGGGAAATTCTTCATTCTCCAGGGGAGCAAACAACTCCAAGGTTATTGACTTCTTGCTGAGCTAGTTGAACCATTGATGTGGAGACTTTATATTCCCTTCGGCCAGGAAGTTTAGGGTCTCTGTGGCATGGGTTAGTGCCTTTTCCTGGGTGAGTGAACAGATAAGGAAATCATCTATATATTAGAGAATAGTCCTTTCCTCTGGATGTAACTCTTGGCCTAGTGCTGGGCCAAAATGGTGGGGGTTGTTCTGGAACCCTTGGGGCAGGACAGTCCAAGTAAGATGTTGTCCTTCACCCCCTTCCTCATGCCATTCAAAGGCAACGAGAAGTAGGACTGAGGATTCAAGAAATGTTAAAGAATGCATCTTTTAAGTCTAAAACAGTAAACCAGGAGGGTGTACTAGGGTTGTTTCCCAGTAGGCTATGATTTGGAACTACTGGGTGGAGAGGTACTATGGCCTCATTAGTAATTGTCCAATTTTATGCTAACCTATATTCCCTGTTAGGCTTTTAAACAGGCAGAATGGGAGTTTACAAGGGAAATATAGGGAATGAGAAGCCTATGTTTTAAAAACTTAGAGAAATTAGGGGGTGAAGTTCCCTTTTAACTTCTGAAGGGATCAAGCAGTGCCTTTTATTAGGGAAGGAAGTTGGGTCATTTAAAGAGAACAGTGCAGGGGTGGCCGTAATGGCCTTGCTTGGCATTCCATAAGCCCAGGCCTGGGGATTAACAGGCAACTTGATTAAGGCATGATTATCTGATATGGGAGGAGTTTCTAGTATTAAAAGCTAGAGCGGGGAGACAGCTTGATTCCCAAGACTAGGCAAGTTCCCAACTTATTCATGTCCCTTCCCAGGAGTGGGCGGGGGCATTCTGGTGTGACCAAAAAAGGAATGAGTAAAGGTCTAACCTTCCCAGTAGCAATATAGAGGAGGAATAAAAGACTTGGTGTTTCATTTACCTGAGACTCCCATACACTGCCAGGAGTTAGGCAAGAAGGGTCTGGAGAGGGGAATTTGGATTGGGGCAGAAATAGGTGCCCATCTGGGGACAGAAATAGTTGTGGTGAAGTGTTCCTGCATTGGCATAAAAACAACCACCTTTTATTTGGCATGCTAAACAATGGTGGAAGAATTGTAAGAGGAACTCAATAAAGCCAGACAGAGAGGTGGCAATGCAGCAGTCAAAAACAGAAGGGGAAGTAGGTAAAGAAGCTTGTAATTCCAAATAATGAGACATACCTGAAAGCATCCGAGTCAAGGCCCCAAAGATGTTAATAGGAGTCCTGTGTTGCAATGGATCCTTTAACTGAGATCAACAGAGCCAGAGCTCTGGACCGGCAATCTCAGTTCTTGTGACAGTGAGCAAAGAATTGCAAACTAACACCAAAATGCAAGCTCAAAGCAAAGTTTATTGAAGCACAGCAATACACTCTCAGCAGGAGAGCGGGTTGATTTCTGAGAAGTGAAATCAGCTCCCCTTAACAGAGCACAAGGTGCTTTTATGGGGTTGGTGGGGAGGAGTTGAGGCTTAGGCTGTGTTTGAGTGACAGGATAATGTCAGTTGATTGGCAGTTTATGGTTTTATAACTGAAGTTAAACTCCGCATGTATTTTACCCATAATTCATTAAAAAGCCTATTCAGGAGGCAAAACTGCATGTAAATTTTATTATAATGCCTGTATAAGGAAGATGGGGTTACCCGAGGTTACAGCCTGGATGGACTGGGCATGTGCCACTTCAGTGGATTTTCATCTGTGCCCCAAGTTTTCATATTCCAGGATGTGCTGGGCACAGACTTTACCACAAACTCCATCCATTAGTAGACAGGTGGAGGAAGGGGCTGGAGAGAGGAGACCAGGGTACTGTGGAGAACCAGAGACTGCAAGGACACTGGAGGATGGTGGCCTTCTTCTCACACTCCACTAGGCAGTGCCCCATTAGGGACTCTGTGTGTGGACTCCAACTCCACATTTCCCTTCCACACTGCCCCAGCAGAGGTTCTACATGAAAGCCCTGCCCCTGAAGCAAACTTCTGCCTGCGCATGCAGGCATTTCCATACAACTTCTGAAATCTAAGCAGAGGTTCCCAAACCCCAATTCTTGACTTCTGTGCACTTGCAGGTTCAACACCATGTGGAAGCTCCAAAGGCTTGGTGCTTACACCCTCTGCCAAGGTTGGGGCTTGCACCTTTTCTTTTGTAAATTGCCCAGCCTCAGGTACGTATTTATCAGCAGTGTCAAAACGGACTAATACAGATCCCATTCCCAGAGAAAATATATTTAAATGCTAACACAATATAAAGACATTTTGCAAATATAAGAACTCTGAAAGCATAACAATGTAAGAAATGCTCAAGAAACCCCTGTAAATAAATGAATATGTAAACAGAAACAAAATTTACAAAGTTATGATGTAAGAAATTAGTGTGGAACTTCAAGTAGGGAGGTAGATAGAAGTGAAGGTTGTATTAATACACTGAGTTGCAGATTATTGTGTCCCTTTTCAATTTTCTATAGTTTTCATAATGGAATGCAAAGCAATTTATTGATACACAAGTAAACAATGGTTTGCTTTAATAGGGAATATTTTAATATTGGAATGCTTACCAAAAGTATTTTTGAAATGCCAGATAATATAGAACTTCTGGAGCATCTTAGTTATGTGCTAAGACTAAACTTTCTTTCTCTACCTTTATCATTGATATATTTTTCCCTAATGAATGGTTTTTCTGTAGGCTTTTAAATTCATGCCAAAGGGGAAAGCTGTTGTAGGCAAATCTATCTTTTAATGTGCATCATAACTCAAGTAACTGTAAGTATTTTGAAGATTAATGTAATATGTAGTTACTTATGAAACTGATCCAAATTATGCATCTAGCTATAAGAAATCAGATGAAGTACTTTCTAGTACTAAGTTCTAGGAGAACAGGTACACATAAGATGAAGTCCGTCGTTATGTTTGTTAAGAAATGGAAAAACATTTAAAAATTCTGTTGAATATGAAAGCATAATGAGTGAGTATATTCTAACTTTAAACTATATACCCTTTGACATAGTGGTTTGAGGAAACAAAAAATGTAGACTTTTATATAATATGGTCCATTATTTCATCAAATAATCTTTCAAGTAAATGTTAACATTCAGGGACATTAAACGATATTAAGAATCTATATGATATTAGGTAACAGTTTATAATTTTAAAGTTTGCATTTTATTTATTTTGGTACATGACAAACACTTTCTGGGTTTAATATTACAGATTAATAATAGAGACATAAGGCAAAAAATCAATGATTATATTCAAATTTTAAAACTATTAACCTTAATATTAAGTTGTCTATAAAGATAAAATATAATTAATATAGAATTTCCAATGTGTTATGTAATGAAGGCATATATGATGAAAACCTACCCATTCCTGTCTTTGAGAACTTTGAGAATGAGATTCCTTTGAGGAACTATTACTCCACAGTGATGGGCACAAGAGATCAATGAGTGCCAGAAAGACAATTCAAACCAGCAAAACTGAGACTGTGATGTACCATGGGTTCAAGGAAGATATTTCATTCTATTTATGTATCCAATCTGACTTTCTCAATCAAACCATCCCATTCTCCCACTTTCATAAGATTTACTTTTATTATATTTCTCAAGCTAAAAATGAAAAAAATTCAGACTGATTTTTTATAACACTGCTATTAGAAAAACAGCATTAGATGCTAATATCAAATATGTATACAATTTCATAAAGAGATATCTAAAATATATAGAAAACATGTCTGTTATTTATGTAACATAGAAGACATGTTTTTTTATAAAATGTCATATTACAGCTGATACTGTTTTGCAATATTGCTATATCATGTCACAAACTCGACTTCTGAGATACAAGAGCAAAAGCTTAAAACCTGTTATTTAAAGTAAACTGTTCAATAAACCCTATTATAATTTTAAAAATCTTACAGTGTAAAAGTATTTCTGTTGAAAGAAAAAGAAAGGACAAACAAAAATGTTGCTGATAACTCATAGAACTAACATATTTTAACTAATGCCTATCATTGATCATTTATTTTACTTTTTACATTTCCTGACCTATCTACCATTGTTATGTAGAGAATTGTAGCTACATAATCTTAGATCAAATCAAATAATTAAAATTTAAGGATATGATAAATATGTAAATACATTTTACATGCATAGTTTGTAAGACTCTTTATCATAAATAATATTACACAAATAATATGTTTATAGATGTGTGTATAAACTATACAAAATATGGAAAGATCTATGTGACTCAGATATTATCACCCAGTTTTGTGAGTGAAAAGCCGAATAAAAGCTAGAAAATTGGATTAAAATAAGAGAAATATAAATTAAATTAAAATACATACATTAAATAATTGCCTTTTAGTTATTGTACATGATCGTGGATAATAGCCAAAAGTAGGTCAATTGTGTAGTAGACTTGTATTTTTCAAGGAGAACTTAAATACATTCTAACATGTTATTTTTTTCTTAGGTAGACACATTTTTAAAATTCTTCTTTCAATGTATTCTTTGTCTAAGTTTTAGGCGTTTGCAGTACACCAAATAAAATAGAGGCATGTATACATAGTTAATATACTGACAAACAAATGAAGTGCAGTATCAAGAAAATTCGGATAATCCTGTCTGATGTAGGCTAGGTAGTAAGTTCCATTTGTCATGTGATAATGCGTTTTTATTTTGCGGATAAATATCTTATTAAGGCAATCATTTAATAGATGACCATTTGTCCCATAAATATATACACCTACTATGTACCCCAAAAAATTAAAAATTGAAAAAAATGTAAAAGAAAAAAATTAAGTGACTTTGCTGAAAAATCTTTCTGACAGATGCTTGCGTCTATGAATTTTGAATTTGTTCCTTATTGCTTTATAAAATTAACTTTTTAATTTGAAGACAGAAAATAAAAGGGAAACTTCTTCATATTTATCTGTATTTCTTCTTAATACAGGCTTTTTATCCACTTAATAATCATTTCAGTTGAGAATGTGGTTTTTTTTCTTCAGAAATTGTTTTTTAAAAGCAAATTGACCTGCCAAAAAACATTTTTTAAAGTGTGGAGATTTAATTTACTAAGGGAATCCAATGAGAAAGATTCATCAAAAAAGGCAAAAGAGAATTATATTATATTTATCATAAATATTAACACTATGTATGAAGATATATATTCATTAATGATACTTATCATTAGACTTATTTTAAGCTCCATAATATTTTTTCTCAAAATTATCTGTGAAAACTCAAGAACTTTTAAAAAATATTTCCATAGCTTCATTCAGAAATGTATTACACGTTTTCAGAAGCTAATTTTTAGTATCTTAACCAACTAGCTTCTTGGAATATTATGAAAGAATTTTCTACTTCCTACCTTTAAAAATCACATGTCATGATAAGTATGGCAACAGTTAACATGACTGTGGTAATTATTGCTATAATTTAATACTTACTATTTCACAGCTACAGGAAGTCTGTGGAACATTAATAATTCTGTTATTTAAAATCTTGTTGATTATCAATACTTAATATGTCATTGAGTTTATAATTATAATACAGAAATAATCCCTATCTTAACATTCTTTAAGAATAAATGAAAATATATCATTCTGATTCCATGATTTTATCTAGCACATTAACTCAAATTCATACATCCTGCTCTTTTATGCTACCTATCTTTTATTCCCAGATTGCCAATTTCCTAATGCAGTTTTGCTTTTCTCATTTGAAATTCCAAAGAATATTGCTTACCTCTCCATAGAGTTCATCAGTTTATGCCATTTGTTTTATCTTACAGGCTCCCATGAGATATATATGGCTATACAACAATGTCACAACTATCTATTATATGTTTTAAAATGTTGATTTATGATTAAATAAGCTTAGAACATATATAACAGTTGAAGTATTTAAAATTATAATAAGACATTAGACTGTTAATGAAAATATAGAAAGAAACATATTATAGGTTTATTATTTCTACTTCAGGTGGTATTTATGATATTACTAGTAGTTGAGAAATACGTACATTTAAATGAAGGGTAAAATTGGAAACATAAATTAGTCATGTACTAAAGGACTGTTTTACTTGTTGAC
This sequence comes from Homo sapiens, assembly GCF_000001405.40. NCBI lineage: Eukaryota > Metazoa > Chordata > Mammalia > Primates > Hominidae > Homo > Homo sapiens. The sequence goes on along the minus strand of NC_000001.11, from coordinate 188,661,051 downwards.
TTTCCAGATAATTCAGAAGTCTATTGCAGCAAACCCCAAGAGCAAGATGAGTGCAAAACAGTGCATATATATTTTTTTTTTTTATTAAAGCAGTAGTCTTGGCTTCTTAATAATGGTGAGAATGGTATCTTACAAGCTGACCAGTCAGGCATTGAAGAAAAATGACTCAATACATTTTAAAAATCTGTGCAGTTTCTCTCCAATTATTTTTAATGTGTCTTTTGACAAATTGTCAGGAGTGAAAGTTAGCAGACTTTACTTTTATGACCATTACATTTTGTATCCTGTCAAGTGATGAGTAGCATGGTTCTGAATAGGAAGACTGCAGTAAAGAAAAAAGTTTGCAGGGTAGAATTTATGATGACAGGACATGTATTTTTCCCACAGAAAGCAAATGTGAAAGGTGGTATGAATCAGAATTAAAATGTCTTCACAGTGCATATGAACAAAATGAGCTACTGTTGGAAATAGGAATTGAGTAAGAGAAAAGCATAACAATTTTTATAATATGTAGAAGCTTGTGTGCCTAAAAGGCCTGTTAACTAACAAATAAATTTCAGCTTTCCTTGGTATGATAGATCTTTGTTCCTAATCATGACAGGTTTAAATATATACACGTATGTGTATATATTAAATAGACACATATTTTGGTACTAGCTTGGGAATATGATGAATTATGATAGTAATTATGGTATCTTGGCTAGCAGAAGTAAAAGATTATATTTTTAGAAACCATTTACAGAAGTTTACATGATTTTTGCTTGTATATATAATATTCCATTGACTATTAATGGAAAATATAAATAAAATATTTAAAAGTGACATAAATATGATCATAATCATAAGCAATACTCAAGGTATAGCTGCTTTTCATATCTAACCTTATTGGTACTTAGAGCATACTTTTTGTTTTTTCTTTGCACCTAAAGATTTTCAATTTGCCTCTTCCTTTCTCTTTCGTTATTATCAACTCTAAGTTTAACTGAAGGAATAATTTCCTATTCATCATTTTGCAACACCAGCCTGTCCTACAAAAAATAATAAATTACTTTCTCTTCAAGGTATTTTCTTTCTGAAAACATCATAGTGATTCTTACTAGCCTATAATGTTACCTACATTTTTTCAGGACTTCTGATTATCTATAACTATTTCTATATTAACCACATTTTACATGCATAGTTTTTAAGTCTCTTCATCATAATTAATATTACAGAAATAATATGTTTATATATGTGTGTATAAACTATAGAAAATATGGAAAAATCTGTGTGACTCAGATATTATCACCTCAGTTTTGAGTGAAAAGCTGAATAAAACCTAAAAAATTTGATAAAGAGAAATACAAATTAAATTAAAATACATATTTGATTTTAGTTATTGTACATTATCATGGATAATAGCCTAAAAACTATCTCTGAAAAAGTAAGCACAAAATTAATGTATTGAAAAATAGTGATATCATGAAGTATATACATATACGTATGTGTGTATGTGCATTATAAACATATATATATGTATGTATGTGTGTGTATATATACATACTATACATACATAATACAAGGGGTCAGTGAAGATAAGAAACCAAGGTTTTAATGACTAATGAAAGTATGCTTCTTGTACTACTTTTGGCAAGAAAGTTGTTTAGCCAACTCCAGCAATTATTTTATTTGCTTTTATTTGTTTACTCAAATGATGTTCATAATCTAGGGAGAAATAATCTAATGTCTCAGTTGGTTCAAATACCTAAGAATAACATAATAGTAAATTTTAAGATAACTAAAAGAGCGTAATTGAATTGTTTGTAACACAAAGAGTAAATGCTTGAGCAGATGTATATCCCACTCTCCATGTGATTATTTCACATTGCATGTCTGTATTCAAAACATCACATGTACCCCACAAATACATATACACACAAACATTAAAAATTAAAAAATTAAAAAAGACTATGACAAATAGGTTATTTCACAAAAGCAAATTTACAATTTTAATTCTAAATACATATTAAGCATAAGACTAAATAACTTTAGATGCTTTTCTCATGTAGTTTTCACATAAATCCTGACAGAATTATTATTATGCCCATTTTGCAAATAACGATCTTAAATTCAAAATAATTTTCCTTTGATTACATAGTTAAGACATAATGAGATTCATGTTGAAATTCTGTTCTGTCTGAATAAAATGATTTAACCTATTTTCCATAAATGAGAACATAGGAAAGAAGTCCCTTTCAGCAAAGTTCAATGTAGAGTTGCAACCCTCTTATTCCCCATCAAGAAAGGCAGTTTCACAATTTCACTAACTATTGTCTAATAAGGTAATCAATCCACAATGACCTTCACAGTCCCTTAAAAGGAAAAATTCAAAATTAAAAAATATACAGTATAACTTCCAAATTAAATGTATTTATGCTTGAATTCAAATAAAAATAGTGGTTGTAGATAAGGGTGAAGAGGAGCATGGCCAAACAGCCTAGTTTGTTTATGACTTTTAACCAATAATCCTATGAACATGTACACAGTTGCAAACCATGTATTAGTATAGGTGAGTTCACTAACCTATTAAACCCTAAATATTTGAACTTCATTTAGAGAACTAAAGCTACTTGCTAAAGACAAAATAAATTCAAATGAATTGTTTTTTTATTTATCTATTTTCCTTTTATTTTAAATTTAACTGTGTGATGCTTTGTTAAATGTATAAATATATACATGTTAATCTGCACTTCCCCCAAAGTCATATGATTATAAAGTTCATGGAAAACATTTTTATAAAAATCTTTCTAACATCAAAATATCTATCTGGTTTACCTGCTTAGAAAGGAAAATAAAAGTGCTTTCATGACCTAAGGGAACAGATATGTAGCAGGAAAAAGTTAGCTATTGATTTTTCAGACTCAGAACTAAATTATTTATTTATAATATAACTCTATTCTCCTAAGAATTAGGCTATGTAAATATCTTTTTCTTAGGAAAAAAAAGTCAAGTTTATTTGTTTATACATACTTTGAAAACAGTAATATTGATGACTACTTTTTAGCTATAAAGATATAGGCACAGGGTGTTTTTTAACTATCTGAGTATATGTAAAAAAATAAAAGCATTAGAGTGAATAATACATAAATATATATTTGTATAGTTTTTAACTATAGTAACTATTTTATTAATATTACCCACTTATCCTATTTATAGGGAAATAAATTCAAATTTTCTTTTTTTATTATTATATTACTTTAAGTTTTAGGGTACATGTGCACAACGTGCAGGTTTGTTACATATGTATACATGTGCCATGTTGGTGTGCTGCACCCATCAACTCGTCGTTTAGCACTAGGTGTATCTCCCAATGCTATCCCTCCCCCGCCCCCCACCCCACAACAGTCCCTGGTGTGTGATGTTCCCCTTCCTGTGTCCATGTGTTTCTGTAATAACCACAAGCTATCCTTCCTAGATTGGTCTAGTTTTATCTCCTATGTTCAGATAGAATCCTCTGAAAGTAGTATTCTATCAAAGGGGCATCTTTCTGTTTTTTGTGTTTTTTTTCCTCATTCTAGAAACAGATGTGATGATGGACCCTGTCAGGTATAATTGAGTCAATGTTAATACTTCCATAAAAATAATTAGAAAAGTTATAAAACTGAGGGTGGTGTTGTGATGAAAGGATTATTGAGAAACACTGCACCCATATGATAATATAAGAACTAGATGCCTTTTACCATAAAACTCAACCATGCATATATATATAATAAAAGTAAAAGTATTTTAAATATTTCCTATATAACAGATAATCTTCTCAATGTTTTATACAGGTTTTCTCATTTAATCATTTGACAGATGCAATAAAATCTCAGGAGGTTATACTGATGTTCTATTTATGTGACCAATTTTCAATGTTTCTTCTCTGAGAACTTAGAAAAAAAATTAGCCACTATTTAAAGAATGTATCACTAACCTTTTTTCTGTTTGGTCTTCATTTTATTTCTTAAGGATTTTTCTTTTGTCACAAGTATGCCTTCTGTCTTAGAATCACCAATATTTTTTTAGAATCATTTGTGAATCTTGGTAATATTGTTTTATCCTTTAGTTCAAGAAATGTGCCTGCAGAAAGCAGCAGTAACTATTTGAAGACCATAAGAAGCACTTCAACAATTTTTGTGGAATGAATAAATGGCTTTTCTTTTGTTTTTTTTTCAGGATCTCTAGATGAAAGAACTAGAATCAACAGATGTGTGCTGCAGGGAGAAATGGTAAACAAGAGCTTTCATTAAATCAGAGACGTCCCACAGCTGTCAAAAGGAAAAACAAATTTCTTTGCAATAAAATACTGGATTTGTTTCATGTTTACTGGAAAAATGTGATTCTATGTAAGAGAAAAAAAGTATGAAACCATAATCATCTAATAGAGCTTCAAATATTATTTCAAAACAATAAATAAATATGGCTCATTCCTGCAAAATTACCTCTTAGTGGAATAGCCATGTGATCCCTTCTTTGAGAAGCAAAATTATTTCAAGTCTTCCATTTACTGATGGGCTAATATTTAGCAAGTCATATATGTCTATAAAATAAATATTCAGGTTACAAAAGGAAAGTAACAAACCTAGCTATCAAGGTTTTTATTATTATACAATAGGAACTCAGACAAAATACATAAAATCAATGCAGTCTTAAAGTAGAACTGTTGCTATTGATAAATACTATATTCATGTACTGAAATAATTTAAAGCGTTAATTTACTTAAAATAATAATATATAACTTTTATTAAAATATAAATATTATCAATATTTTCATATCACTACAATACTGTGAGTCAGACTTGGTTATCCAAATTTTATATATAAGAAAACAGGCGGCCGGGCGCGTTGGCTCACGCCTGTAATCCCACCACTTTGGGAGGCAGAGGCGGGCGGATTACGAGGTCAGGATATCAAGACCATCCCGGCTAACACGGTGAAACGCCATCTCTACTAAAAATAACAAAAAAATTAGCCAGGCATGGTGGCAGGCGCCTGTAGTCCAAGCTACTCGGGAGGCTGAGGCAGGAGAAGTGCTTGAACCGGGGAGGCGGAGGTTGCAGTGAGCCGAGATCTTGCCACTGCACTCCATCCAGCCTGGGCGACAGAGTGAGACTCAGTCTCAAAACAAACAAACAAACAAACTAAAAAAACCCACAAAAATTAGCTGGGCCTGGTGACAGGGGCCTGTAGTCTCAGCTACTAGGGAGGCTGAGGCATGGGAATCCCTTGAACCAGGGAGGCAGAGGTTGCAGTGAGCCACGATTGCGACACTGCACTCCAGAATCTGGGCGACAGAGCAAGACATTGTCTCAAAAATAAAAATGAAAAATATAATAAAATGCTAGAACTTAAAAAAGAATTGCACAGAAATAAGTAATTCCTTTGATGACTCACCTGTAAATTAGACATGGCCAAGGAAAGAATCAGTGGGCTTGAAGATGTATTGATAGAGACCTCCTGTACTGAAATGCAGAGAGAAAAAATAATGAATAAAGCAATAGAGCCAAATAGTCAAGAATTATTGGATACTGATAAAACGTATAACGTGCAATGGAAGTATCAAATGCATCAGAAATAGACAAATGAGCAAGACAAATATTGAATTATTTGAAATATTAATTGCTGAGAATTTTTCAAAATTAACGACACCCTCAAAACCACAGATTTAGGAATTTCAGAGAATACCAAGTATGAAAATCCTCAAAAAATCAGAAAAAGAGAAAGGAGCAAGACAAATATTGAATTATTTGAAATATTAATTGCTGATAATTTTTCAAAATTAATGACACACTCAAAACCACAGATTTAGGAATTTCAGAGAATACCAAGTATGTAAAAACTCAAAAAAATTGTTGCCTAGGCACATGATATTTATTTATTACAAAACAAAAGACAGAGAAAATATTGAGGGAAGCCAGAGGGTGTGGAGTGGGGTCATGTGAAACCTTACCTTTAGAGAAGCTAATAATTACATTAAACTTCTTTCAGAAACCATACAAGTAAGAATAGAGTGCAGTGAAATATTTAAAGTGTCTGAAGAAAAACCAAGCAATCAAGAATTTTGTATCAAGTTACATTACCCTTAGCATTGAAGAAGAATTAAAGTCTTTTTCAAACAAAATCCGAAGGCATTTGTTGGCAGTAAATACAGCTTGCAATGTGTCAAAAGTATTCTTCAGAGAGAAATAAAATGATATTCAGTTTTTCATAAAGAAAGGAAGCACATTAGAGAAGGTAGAAGTGAAGGATTTTCAGTGCAATGCTGAAACTAGAGGTTTTCTTTTGAAAGATCTATATTCCAGGAATTCAAGAAACAAAAGTCTTTTTTTTTTTTGTTTTGGGTTGTTTTTGTTTGTTTGTTTGTTTGTTTTTGTGCTGATCAATTGCACAGGATTGGATGTGACTCTTGACGATGTCCTTGTATCCTTTACTTATAGGTGTAAATGAAAGCCAGTGATATACATTTTCCTATGGATCCTATTCTGACCTTTGGTTGATTTTATTAAGGCAAAGAAGCTGCTTAACTGGGTGATGTCTGCAGACTCAACTTATTTTATTAAATATATTGAAGGAAAAAAAGAAGCAAGAAGAAAGTATACACTGTCATCCAGTCACTACTTAAACAAAACAAAACAAAACATGCAAAACTTTTACTCACATAATGAAACCATTCTCTCCTTAACAACACTAATTTTTTCCTTGACTCACACTAGAATTTCTTCTAAGTAAGATAGGAGAGACTTCATGTTTCCCTGGAGGCTAAAATTTGGATGTATACTTCTATCCACTCAAATGAAATGAAGAAAGAAAGCACATATCCACACATGCATATTTATATTTTTCTCTACAATAACACAGATATATCTTCATTTGAAAGAAAATTATATTTTGTTTAACATTTTCAAATTTGAAGATAAGAAATATCTTTAGCTTTTATTTTTTAACTTGGGCTGATTAATATAAGATGAAACATGAGAATTTTTTTTTCAAATAAAGAATAAGAATATTATGTTATAACTTATATTATTGAATTGTATATTAGCATACATACATATTCAATAAAGAGGACCTAGTTAGGAAATATACTGAAATCTAAGCGAATTTTATACCTCTAGTTCTTTAACATGGATAAATTAATATTTTACTTCAAAGTACTCGTTTTTAATACTATACACAGAAGTTATGTTTATAGTGAAATATTAAACACTGAAGAAGTTCATATATTTTCTTTGTTAATGTTACTTTCCTCTAAACCCATTGGATCTTCATCTTTATTTATAGAGTACTTTTACTACAACAAGTAATAATTTTTAGTACAACAAGTAATAATAAGTAATAACCTTCAGTACAACAAGTAATACTTTTTTTCTTTTGGAATAAGATACAAAAATTTTACCCTGTGTAGAAAGGAAAAGCAGAGTTTGTATTATTACCCCCACACACTCCACGTGAATTTAGACCTCATCAGAGGGGGACTGAAAGAAATTCTGGACCTAGAAAGTAAGGGCAGAGGTCAGGTAGGGTATATGGTCATCAATATGAATAAAATATTGCTTTCTTCTCTGAATAATGTTTGAAGAAGAAACTGAGCTGCTACTAGACCCAGTGAAATTTGTCTGGGAAAAATATGGACATCTGCCCCAAAGATTAATCACATGACCTTTCTGGATTTCCATTAAGACATAGAGTACATATTCTTTACTAAGTACACATTATAGGTAGAGCTTTATACAGGGCATCTGAATGGGCCCATCCAAATTATGAAATACAGGCTGCTACTTGAAGTTAATACTGCAGATATATTTTGAAAAATATCAGTTTTGCAAATTCACCTAATATCTTTAAAAATACACTATATTTTCTGTATACATATTTTGTAAAGTAAAGCTATATTTTAACTTTCAGTTAGATAAATGCATATTTTGAGAGAAATCGAATGGGTACAGGTTTTTCATGGAGTTTATTTTTCCTAGCAGACCAGAAACAAGGAAAAGTGATTCTATTTCACAAATATTGCGATGGAATGAAAAACAGAGCTAGAGACCACAACTGTAACAGAAGCAGACTGAATGATTTCCTGTCCCATTATTCAGCCTCTGTTCCACAGGGCACAGCAGTCATCAATTCAAAACAGGAAATAACAGAAGATTGCAAAAAAGGCTAGAGACTGTAAGAAGTCAGATATGCAGGCAGAATTTAATTATCCAAATTGGAATTTAACCAGGATACCATGGTAAGGCTCTGCAGGTTGGGGAATGCATTGCTATGGGAATGAACTCCTGTGACATATTCAAGAAATCCTTCAACCATTGCTCATTTTATAAAGTGTGGTTAATGCTGAAATCCACTAATAGAAACTAAACTTTTAGACCAGCCTCAAATGGCCTCCTTCACTAAAATATCCCCTGAATGCTATTACTTTTTTCATGAATGAATGCTTTTGACAAAAGGGCAAAAATGACACACATATATGTTATAATAAACTTAGATATAATGTTTTAATGAAATTTTTGTATTCTTGACATATTTGACTGTTTAATAATATGTAAATGGTTTTTAGTCCTTCATAGACCAGAAAAGAAAAAATTGCATTGCCTTCCTTACCGCACAGTCTTTATGGAATGATCCTATAATATCATGGTATATTAGTATTGAAGATAAGGAACAAATGCACTGTATTGTTTCTGTGCCCCTTAGCATTAAGAATAGAACATTATGCCGTATTGAATATGAACTGCATTGAATACAAATCCATGTCGGTGCTAGGAAAACGTAAAGAGAATAGTAATGCATGAAATTATAAACTGAAATTACAAGTTGAATCTAAATAACGTTAAAAAGCTGAAAGTCAGTAAAGCTATAGAATAAAGAAGTTTATAAAAGAATTGAAATAACAGTTCACACACAGGCTCTCACATGTTATAAATTATGAGCAGAAATTCACTTGATTGTAAATGACTACAAGGTTTATAATTTTCAGAGAAGAAAAGGTAGCTGAATGACTTTTTTTCTATCTGGATATTTGATTGAGGTCTGTATTTTTCAGGGTCACTTGATAGTGACCCATTTAGGTGCTACATTCATTTTATCCATTGCCAATTCACTTTTCAGGATCCTCCCTCTTGCTTCCCCCTGCCGACTAATCAATGACAAGCCAACGTACAAGGATTGTACAAAAATAAATCTCCCTTGCAAAGGAGTGTGAATCATATTTGAACCAACACACAGGACTTAACATCTAATTATACCAAAGTTTACGGGACAAATTGTTGCTCACGAAAATAGCCATTACTATATACTTAAACAATACAAGAATTAAAGTTGAAAACAATTAAATTATATTTACATGATCATCTTAAGGCAGCAGCACTGGCTATGCACTAATAGCAAGATGTTCTTCCTGAAAATTTTAGAAATGTCAGGTACATGCATGGACACATCACATGCAGGAGAGGTACAGTAAGCTAAGCATTACATGGTAATATATCCTTGCAGTAATATCTAAACTAGAACTCTAGTCGACACTATTAATAGTATATTAGTAATATAATAATTTTAAGACATGAATATAAAATTATAAAAATCTATTGATAATGCACTTCTTAGATTATTAGAATTTAAATGAGAGCACTTTATTGTTAATAATATGGCAAAAATTAAAGGTCTAACATACGGGCCAATTGGCTTGCTAGTTTCCTACGATCCTCCTAACCACCCTTTCTCTCCCATTTCCACATACTCTGGATCCTGGGTCAGGTATCCTATGAGAAGTTTGTGACAGAAGAGTCAAAATGCCTACTCAGGAAAAGAGTCAAAACACCTACTCAGGAAGGTGTTTCACACTGAAACAAGTCAAAAGAGAGAAGAAAAAGTCTTGTCAAATCTCCACGTTATCCAACTACTCTGACTATGAGACTATCACCGGGATAACAGGAATTGAGTGCATATTCAGTTCTATGCAATTAACTGGAAGCCTCTACATCTCCTTTTATCATATTGCAGCACTTAAAGATGAAGTGATAGGATGTATTGGTCATTTTCTGCCAAAATAGTGTTCATAAACAGTTAATATACTAGGTCTACCTGGGTAAGTCACATACTAACCAGAAAATTCATTCATTCTTTTTTTAAAAAAACTTTTATTTTAAGTTCAGGGTTACATGTGCAGGTTTGCTACATAGGTAAACTTACGTTATGGGGATCTGTTGTACAGATTATTTTATCGCCCAGGTATTAAGCCCAGTACCCATTAGTTATTTTTCCCAATTCTATCTCTCCTCTCACCCTCCACCATCCAATGGACCTTAGTATGTGTTGTTCCCCTCTATGTATCCATGTGTTCTCATCATTATGCTCCCACTTAAAAGAGAGAACATGCAGTATTTAGTTTTCTGTTCCTGTGTTAGTTTCCTGAGATAATGGGCTCCATCTCCATCCATGTCCCTGCAAATCACATGATCTTTTTCTTTTTTATGGCTGCATAGTATTTCATGCTGTGTATGTACCACATTTTCTTTATCCAGTCTGTCATTATGGGCATTTAGGTTTATTCCATGTCTTTGCTATTATGAATAGTGCTGCATTGAACATACACGTGCATGTGCCTTTATAATATAAAAATATGTTTTTGTGGAGGATGAAAGTAAGAACATAAGAAAACACAAGGAATTTGTCTTTAGTAGAGATCTGTTCCTAGCCAAAAGGAAAGACAAGGTAAAGATTACTTCTTACCCTCTCCATTGTTGTCTTCTCTGCTGCTATGGAAGCCAATCATTGAGCCAAACTTGGATCAGGTTTGGGACTACCACTGACTAACTTCTTAAATCCATACCCCTAATGTGGTCAATTTCTCTTTTATCTTTCTTCTTGCTTCTGCTGGTGAGCAGAGTATGCTTTGATACATAAAAGGCTCCAAAAAGGGTTAACTTGGTATATATTAATTATATTTTAATATAATTAATTAAAATAATTCCAAAGCTACACTATGCCCACTGCTGAAATTTTACCCATTTTTTTCATCATGCATTATGACCAGTGATGAAGTCCAATATATTTCATAACATGTTCCTCAATTAAATTAAATGAAAACATTGAGACCACAATGATATAATATAAACAACATAGAGATGTTCTTTGAGCTATCTCATTAATACTCTAATATATTGGATAAATTAGCAAGAGCACATTATTTTAAAAAAAGGTACGTGTCTGAAAATTTAGGAGAAAGTAAGAGAAATAGATGTTCAAATATCTGGAAAATAAACAGATATGTAGATTTGAGCATCATAAAGATAAAATAAAGGCAAACACCAGGGAGCTAGATGGAAAAATATTGACAATAGTTTAGAAGAATAAGAAAGTGAAGCCAATTAGTCATGGCTGAATTAGGTCTGATACTATTTTTACAAAATGAAAGGCATAAATTTTGCCCAAAAGAAAGGCCATGTATTTTGAAAGAAAGAATGATCACTTTTTAAATTTATTTTTATTTTTTATTTTTTGTCAGCAGAATTGCATGCTATCAAGAGGAGACACTCCATCCTTGGTTGGTGCGGGGAGAGGTGGGGGCAGGGAGTGGGCAGGAAACAGGGTCTATATAGCTATACGAGCACTTAAGACACATATTAAAATAGCAGACAAACTTGGTTAGGAGAACAAATCCATTGTGGCAACCTTCATGGTTTACAATTAAAATGAGTAAGAACAATTAGAGATGCCTTTCGTGTCAGTGCCAGGGCAACCAGTGTGTGGTCCAGGGTCATCAGGATTCTTGGTTCCATTATTGATATCAGAAAGTAAGTTAGCATGAGTAACTATCTCATAGCTCTGAATAAAAACATTGAAGTAATAAAAATTAATAAATTACAGCAAATACACAAATGTATACAGTTACCAAAGGTTGATTTTAATTTAAGATGGGGGAAGAAAGCAAATGATTGGAAGGGTGGGATCCTTTGAATAGCTATTGAAATTCTAACTGATGTAAGGTTATTTTAGATGGAACTAATTGATCAATATGAATAGCAACTGATAGATGTCAGTTAGTACTCAAAACATATATGGCAGATTTATTAAATATCTGAGAATCCAAGAGAGTTTATTGACTAATAGAAGGTTATAGATGTTTGAAGACAAGATAACTTAGACTGTGGGTTGGCTCCCAAATTAGACAGAGTTGCAGCTAGGAGGTCCTTCACCAAAACTGCAACCTGTGGTGTCTACCCCACATAGCAGTAACAGCTGTGAACAGGAACCTTAGAGTCTTGGCAGAACAAGAATTTATACACCCTATATATGAACCCTGTGATGCTCCAATCTGGCTTGTTTAAAAGATAAATGTGATTTGGAGGCTTGAAATGATTTTCGAGAGCTAAATGCCTTAACTTCTATTAACCCTGTGGTGACCTTGAGGTGTTACTAAAGATAGAGCCTTGGGAAAATTTCCTCACACTCTCTGATATTAGTAGTGAATATTTTATCATTTCGACTAAAAGAGACGGGTCATTACAGAACTGCATTCAGGTATGCAGGGAGTTATAAAGGCTGCATGAATCGAGACTACTACAGTTTGTTGATGACCTCCTATTAATGTCTATATCAGAAGGTGGAAATCAGAAATTAACCCAGATGTATTTTAGGGATATTAGGAGAAAAGCTCAGCTTGTTCAGACTGTAATATTGTACTGAAATTTTAAATTTCTCGAGTAAAAAATGTATTATACCAAGACAGAGCCAGCTTAATTTTTTTTTCCTTAGGCCAGGAAGCTTAAAGATTCTAAATTATGCCTAGGATTATCATTATCTGTATTTGTACTAGCTTGGTAGTTATTTCATTTTGCTGATAGCAATCAGTAGGACTAGTCTGAGAATAATTAAATGGCAAAAAAAGACATAATTTAAACAAAACTTGGAGAGTTTGCTGATTTCTATTCAATAAAAAACCTAATGCTATAGTCACAACTTGCCCGAGGCATATGCCTGCTAAGAATTTAGCAACAAAGATGTGAGGATTGAGTGGCATGAAGAACTATGAGTTCCTTATTATTGGAAATACCTGGAACTCTTCGAAAGAGGACAGAACATCTAGAACCAGCTACCATATGATGCTCTGATTACTTTCAGAAGAAGCGTACAGGGACATGTCATTTTCCACCATACTGCTTAGTACTTTCTATATTAAGCACTCTGGAGATTGCTGTGAAATAATCTGAGGGTTCTGAACCTAGGCAGGGAAGCTAATTACTCAAGTTATGTCATATGAATACATTCTCTTACGAGCAAAAAAAAAAAAAAAGTCTCATTTTACATATCAACCAAGAGACCCAAACTAGTTTTAAAACACATGTAATATGACATGAACTTCAGAGTAACTATTTAGTAAAAATATAGAATTTTCTTAAATCTGGTTAAAAATAAGTAAAAAAGAAGTCCAATTTCTGTCAATTCAGATTTATGAGACTGCAGAGAACATTAAGTTGCTGCTTTCTTCTAGCAACCCAGAGCTGCAAATTGACAAATGCCCCCAAAGAAAGAATCCCACTGGGAAGAGCTGGGCTCATCTCACTAAATTTTCCTCTTTCTGGGATGTTGTACTATCAAGTCCACAGTGACTTGACTGCTTTTTCATATGTTCAAATAGCTGGCCTTTTCTGTTTGCTTGCTTTTACTTAATCCGGATTTTAAAGATTTTCTCTTTGTGACAGTCTAATACAAACTACTTAATCATATATATAATATATAACTTGAATTATCTGTGTAGTTTTACTTGAAATTTTCTTTTATGAGTAAAGTTGAGCATCTTTTCACATAACAAAGATGCATATAAATGTACTATTCTTTCAATCATATTCATATCAATAGACTTTTCCATTATTTATTTTTTTCTTTATTGACTTGGAAAATTTATATATTGAGGAATTAAGAACTTTTCTTGAAAAATGAATTGAAAGCTTTTTTTTTTCTCAATTAATCATTTTGTCTTCAGAATTGCACCATTTTCTTCCTTTCTCTGACACCCTCTGAAAAAGTTTAGGAAGTGTTTGTTTCTGTGTTGACCGTTCTTTTTAACTTTTTCCTTCATGGCTCCTGGATTTTGAGTGACAGATATGTCTTCCCCACTTTAGATTAATAATAGAAAACTTCACTCTTCTAAAGTTTTGGTTTATTAATGATTTAATGTTGATCCACATGGATTTTTCTTAATTTACAGCAAGAAGAAATAATCCAACTAAATATTTTTTAATCAATGCCATCCAGTTTTCTCAATAACATGTCTAGCACTACAATTTCAAACTGGTTTACATTAGTGCATTTGTGCTACACTAAATTCTCTGATTATTTGGGTCTGCTTGGATAACTTCTTATTCAATTTCATTACTTATTGTTTAATCCATGTATGCAGCAAACATAACTTTTGGTAATTAAAGCTTGTTTACTTAATTTATATATTTTTTTATAATCACGTTTTGCTACTTCCTATCCCTGCACCTATTTTACACATTTTTATTACTATTTTTTTAAATAACTCCAGTGCCATGTAGTCTTTTGAAAATAAGAAGTATCAATATTTTATTAGAATCATATTAAACTTATGCATTATAGATAGCCATTTTTTACAATGTTGAGTCTTCCTTCACAAACACTGATATGACTTTGCATCTGTTAGTTCTCTTATTTTTGTGCAGAATTTTATTTTGAAATATTACAGAATAAAATCAATGGTCATTTAAGGCTTCTGAATAGGAATCACACTTTGAAAAATTTTCCAAATTTTGATATTTTATATACAGAGAGTTGAATTTACAGATGTATTCACAAAAGTTTTGTAGTAACATAATTTAGGAGCTTAAGTTTTTATGTCTGTTACATGTCATTTTAAAATACAAATCATGAGGTAAGTACTCAGCACTTGTTTTTCAAATATTTCTAGTTGTCCCACATCATTTACTGAACATTTTACCTGACTTCTTCCAAACTCCTTGTAATTCAAATCTTTTTCTGGTGTTGGACTCTCTCTCTGCTAATATTTTAAATTATCTCAATTTTCTCATTTTTATTTCTTTCTTTTCTTTCTTTCCTTACAAGCTAATTCTTAAATAGAAAATCTGTAGTTCCTCTTATTACTTTCACTTTTCTACACACTTAGTAAAGTTTCAAATCCTTGCTGCAGTGTATATATTCTATTGAAAACTATCAGGAAATAATCACCCTTAACCTCCCAAATGAAAAACATAGTTTATTTAAAATAATAACATTTTCTCACCATTTCATCAAACCTACCATTATGAAGCATCCGTCTCTTTACTCCTTGCAGTTTCTCCCAATGTACTGTTCAAAACACATGGGGAAATTGAGAGGGCAAGACACAGACTGGGAGAAAACATTTGCAAATGACATATTTGATAAAGAACTATTTCCAAAATATGTAAAGACTTAAATGGAAGACACTAAACTGAAATAACTAGAAAGAAACTAGAGAAAAAGCTCCATGACATTGGTTTGGGCAATCACTTATTGGATATGACTCCAAAGCCAGGCAAAAAAGCAAAAATACACAAATGGAACTACATAAAACTAAAAAGCTTCTGCACAACAAAGGAAACAGAAAACAGAGTGAGACAGCCTAAAGAATGGGAAGAAATATTGGCAGATTGTACATCTGAAAGGGGGATAGAGGATAATATGAAGACATATAAGGAATTCCAGAGCAAGAACAT
Organism: Homo sapiens; assembly: GCF_000001405.40. NCBI lineage: Eukaryota > Metazoa > Chordata > Mammalia > Primates > Hominidae > Homo > Homo sapiens. The sequence continues at coordinate 188,645,314 of NC_000001.11, read as the reverse complement.
GGATAATCCAACTTAAAATGGTCCAAGGACTTAAATAGACATATTTTTTTAAAGTAGTCAGACAAATGATAAACAGATATATGAAAAAATGCTCAACATCACCAATCATCAGGTCAAGTCAAAGATCATCATCAAGTTAAAGCCATTAGGAAAATGCAGATCACTTCATACATGTTGTAATGGCTATTACCAAAAAGACAAAAGATAAAAAATATTGTCAAGAAAGTGGAGAAAAATGTGCACACTATTAGTAGTAACATATAAATTAGTAGAGCCATTATTAAAAACAGTATGAGGATTTCTCAAAAAATTAAAAATTGAACTACCATATGATCCAGCAATTCCACTGCTAGGTATAAATCCAAAGAAAATGAAGCCACTATGTCCAGAAGATATCTACACTCTCATGTTTATTGCAGCATTATTCACAATAGCCAAGATACGTTCTCAACCTAAGTGTCCATCAATCGAAGAACATATAAAGAAAACATGTTTTGTATACACAATGGAATGTTATTTAGCAACAAATAAATGAAACTGTACCATTTGTGACAACATGGAAGAAAGTGGAGAACATTATGTTAAATGAAATAAGTCAGGGAGAGAAAGACAAATAACAGATGACCTCACTCATATGTGGAATCTAAAAAGTTGACCTCATAGCAGTAGAGAGTAAAATGGTGGTTACCAGGGGTTAGGGTGGTTGGAGATGTTGTGGAGATGTTAATTAGAAGGGAGAACTAAATTCGAGAGATCTGTTTTAAAACATGGTACTATGGTTAAACATATATTATATTATTGGAAAATGCTAAGAGATTAGATGTAAAGTGTTCTCACCACAAAAATAAATATCTGAGCCAATGCATAAGTTAATTAGCTAGATTTTGTCATGCCACAATGTATATCTGCATCAAAACATCATGCTATACATAGTAAATATGTACATTTTGTCTGTCACTTATACAATTTTTAAAAATTAAAATAAAACTAAACAAAATATACAAAATACTCTTAAAACTCAGCAATAAAAAAGTGTACAATCTAATTAAAAACATGACAAAATACCTGACTAGACCCTTCACCAAACAAAATATACAAATATACAGATGACAAATAAACATGCAAAAATAAGCTCATCCTCATACGCCATTAAGGACTTACAAGTTAAAAGAACAATGGGATGTCATTACACACCTATTAGAATGGCGAAAATTCAAGACACTGACAACACCGAATTCTGGCAAGGATGGGAAAAATGGAGACTCGCATTAACTACTGGTGGGAATGCAAAAGATTACAGGCCCTTTGGAATGCAGTCTGCCAGTTTCCTACAGAACTAAACTTCTTAAAATAAAATTCAGCAACTATAATCCTTGATAAGAGCAGAAAATTTATATTAACACAAAAACCTGCATGGATACTTATATGTATTTATAATGGCCCAAAGTAGGATGAAACCAAGATGTCCTTCAGTGGGTGAGTGGATAATTAAACTGTGAAAGAGCCACACAATAAACTATTCCTCAATGATAAAAATAAGTAAGTTATCAAAACATCAAAAGCCATGGTGAAAATGTAAACACTGATTTTTAAGTGAAAGAAGCCAATCTGAAAGGCCACATACTGTATGATCCAACTCTATGACATTCTAAAGCATAGAGGACTTTTATGGCAGTGAAACTGTTTATTATAATGTAATGATAAACTCATGTCATTATATTTTTATCAAAACCAATGGAATATGCTACACTAAGAGTAACTCTTAATATAAACTATGAACTTTGGATGACAATTATGTGTTAATGTTGGTTCACTGATTGTAACAAATACACCACTCTGATGTGGAATATTAATAGGGAGGAACCCATGAGTATGTGGGACCAGGGGTATATTTATATTCTCTATACATTCCACTTAATTTTGCTGTGAACTAAAAACAGCTCTAAAAACAGTCTATTTTTAAAACATACACACATTCACTGAGAATGATACAAAGTCAATATGCAAAGATCTAACATATTTCTGTATACTAGCAATTAACAATTGGAAATTGAAAGAAAAACAGTACCATTTACACTTAGAACTACAGACATGAAGTGCCTAGAATGGAATACATATTGACAAAATAAATAAATGTGTAAACATTATAGGAACCAGTTTGTTAAAAAATAGGAAAATAAAATTTCAAATACGGAAAGTGAAACTTACTAGAATGAAGAATGTGGTATTGTCACCGGCAGCGAGTCCACAACTAGCAGCAAGTTCAGAACCAGCGAACCAGTCCACAACCTGCAATGAGTCCACAGTGATCCTGGCCCTTGTATTCGCAGAGAACCCAAGCAAGTTTTAAAGCAGAGGCAAAGGTTTACTGAAAGAAGCAAGGTATATTTGGAAGAAGGCCAAATGGGCTACTTAAGAAATCAAGTGCCCCATTCAGCCCTTGACTTGGTGATTTTATACATTGGCTTGGTTCCAGGGTTTTCTCTTTTCCTCTCTTGATCTCCCTCCTGTGGTGGGCTGTTGCTCAATTGCCACATGGGCTGAGGTGTGGCATGTACAACCTCTACTGAGGTTGTGTGCATGCTCACCTGGGGTGATTTTCTCTTACCGGTTGAGAGCCTCCAGGGGAAAGTCATATACCAAACTCTGCCGTTTTGTCCCCTATTGCTTATGTTTAAGACCTTATCAGGGAATTGGGATTGGCTGGCTTCTAATGGCTCCTAACCATTGGGGAATGCCTCTTCCTCTTGGTGCAGCTGTGGCCACTTACCTTTTCAGTGTGAGAGTAGTATGATCACCTGACCATCACCCAGTGAGCACCTGACATTTCTGGGGCACTCTCTGATTATCTCAGAGGTACAGTTTTATGATTGGCTGACCATCACCCCATGAGTGCCTGCCATTTCCGGTGGCATTCCTGCCCTGCTCATATCTGTCTAAACTACCTCCTCTAACAGTAGTGGATTGTAACTAGATATATTGGTATTTTATGTTCATATGTGTATATGTATGTGTATATACATACATACACATAGCTATATCCCCAAGTTTTATTCTCTGAGATGATATGATATATGTAGTAAGCAAGGTAAGGGGGGCAGGGAGAGGATTTTGTGACATCAGTTACATGCAAGAAGATTGATAAAACAAGCTAATATGTGAAGGTTAATGGAAGCCAGATTTGGAAAAGAGATTTCATTGTTCTGCCTTCAGTTTGTTCTAATAGCAGATATGTGAGCAGTCACTGTGATACCAGTGTTTGACTTATTGCCTTCCTGTCACACAGATTTGATGTGCCAAATCTCTGTAGTTGGTAATGGTCAGATCCAAGGATGCATTATTAGGCCACAGACCTGGGTGCTGCTATTTCGTCAGTGAAAAGAAATATTGCTACAAGTCAAAGTTCACATTTAATATTACATTTTCTTTTGATCCTAGTTCCTAGTGCATAATTTCATTTTATTCTTATCCTCCTCCAACAGTGTATAATTGGTAAGGGGACTAAAGACTCTCATTGGAAAATTTAATCACGCACCAAAGGCTGATATAATGATTGAGTGTCTGTGTTCTGTTGACAAAGTAACCATTTCTTTGTCTTGACCTCTTAATTTTGCTTACTATTAGAGTTCTCTGTTTGCTCCTATGAGATCATCTTTCATGATCTCCTTTTATTTTTTTGAACTGCTTCAGTATTCTTCCACACAGGCAGCCTAATGAAAGGATTATGGCATGTCCTCTAAGAAAATATTGTTTCAAATATCAATTATAGAATTTATCTGTTAAAGGAGGATGAAAACAGCAGTTGCCCTATTTAAGGCACTATATTTTTACTAGCTGCAAATGAACTAATACAAGAAAGTACACTGTGAAATTCAAAATTTTAAGTTAATACTATTTAGGACATTAAGATATTATAATTTGCTAATGTATGCACTGATTAAATGCATCATAGCATGTTTTGCTAAATTTTAGAGTCAATTGTTTCATCAGTTAAAGTATCCAAGAGTTTAAGGTCAATTAGCCTTTTAAGATGTAAAATACGTATTGTGTGAATGTAAGAATACTGTATGAATAATAAATCATTTTTTTATGTCAGATTAGGGAAAGGTTCATCATCCCCCTGATCTCTTTACTTAGTATTTTTGGAAAAATGCACAGACATCTGATGATTTGAGTTAATTTGTTCCTGAATGCAATTTTAGGTATTTTATAATAACTTTGGGTTAAACATGTTATTAAAAGACAAAGTTAACTATCATATGAATAAAAATAAATAAATATTTGAGACTAAAATAACTTGAGCACCTAAATATGCAAGGTTCTTGGCTATATCTTGCAAGAGATGGAAAACTGATACAGTCCCTCACACTCTCCGAACTTTGTTTCTCATCTTCCTTTTTTAGAAGGAAATTATTAGATTCAAATGAAATTTTCAATTTCCAAATGAATGTGTTGCAACAAGTCCAGATTACTATCTAAATATGTAATAAAACATAAAATAGAGAAAATATTAATATGTTGGTAGAAATTAGAACAGCCATTTTGAAGTAAAATATAAAGCATATGTTAAGAATGGCAGAGAAAAGAAAAAGAAGCTGTATTCCCTGTTGATTGCTGCCATATCTAACCTGGTTGGCCCACTCAGAGATTTTTATAATAAAAAACATAACTTTCTTAATATTCAAATCATTGCATTTGTTTGGACAAATCCTTGTTCACGTATTTTTATGAATGATGACCCAGTACAATAAAATTTGCCAAAGCTGTTGATCAGACATTTTTATATAGACCCAAGCATGTATATGTGCCTACAGAAGATGCCCTAAAATGTGGAACGCTCACATAATATTTTTGAAGTTACATAAGCAGCACTAGGATATAATGTATTCATTACACATTGTATTCTTATTTTGTGTCAGAGGCTATATAGAACCTTGAAAAAGCTAACTTGCCAGTAGTAAAATAAGTTGGTTTGAAAAAAAAAAACTGGAATTGACAGCTTATTTAATTGTTCACTTAAATTTACTCATTAAGTATTTACTGTATGCTAGGCACTCTTCAAATTAGCAGGAATGCATAGGTAAATAGGACAATCTTATATCCTTAATGGTATTTAAATGCTATCAGTAAACAGGAGTGACATATAAACAAAAATAATAATTTTAAATTAGGAAACTAAATATATAATGGTTTGTGCCAGAGTGCAATGTAGGAAGGTACTTTAGAATGAGTGGTTAGTTTTCTGTGATGGTTATAGCTCACCTGGAAACTCAAGGAGAAAGGACATTTCAAGTTAAAATTGGTAGGTATAGGGATAGAGTTTTCTAGGTATAAGGAAGGACTTGTCCTAAGTTTGAAATCAAGAAGTAATCAGGTTAGAGCTGACGCAAAGGAATCAGCATAGGTTGAACTAATTGTATCGTTTAAAAGATCACTGGAAAATATTTTTTAAAAAGCACTTTTTAAAAATAGCATAGTTTATCATTAACTTAAGATAACTAACTGGGCAAAAAATGTTTTAGCAGTAGTTCAAAACAAGTGCAGAAACACATCTGTGTTACATTCACTCTTAATTCAAATTATTGGTGAAATTTAGGAAGCCCACCTGCTTATGAAAGATTCATTGTAGGATGCCATATGTATAGAATTGACTAGATTCTAACTACTACTTCTTCTGTATTCAAACAAAGCATTTGTTAATCTAGGCACTACCTTAAGTATGAAGATCCAGTTAGGGTACTGAGTAGAAAGAATGTACATCTAAAAGTGATACTGATTTCAAAAACATATAAAATACTTGTAGTTCTAAAAAGTTGTAGACTGGTTTCTTCCTGCTCCTCCAAAATATATACAACTATAAAATGAGAAGAAAAATGCAAGATACATCCAAAGGAGAGCTCTGCAAGGTAGTAAAACACAAGTGAATTGCTTTGGAATACTAGCGCTGGAGGAACAACACACAGCAGGGCATCTATGTCCTCATACCCAAGAGAAGAAGGCAACTTAGACCACTGTTTGCCAACTACCACTCTAGCAGCAGAAAGTGACCAAAGTAGGCTCATTCTGATGCTGGATTCAACAGGCGTTCCTCCAAAAACAGCAGTTGAGTGATAAACCGTAAACCATCAGAAAGGGATCAATCTTGCTAGAAAAAAGCAGCCAGAGGAAGTAGTATCCTTTCCCACCAGGCCCAACTCTCTCCTTCACAATTCAGAGACACCAGAGTGGTGAGGTAAGAGAGACATCTGCCATGAGTAGCTATGTTCAGCACATGTGTGTCTTCCAGGCAAGGGGTGGGTGAGAAATCCCAATCACCATGCCAGGGAAGCCTCTTCATTTCTGGAAACAAGAGCATACCCTCCCTCAGCAAGAGGTACCTAACAACTCTAGGTAAATAAATAGTTGTAGGTAAAGAAATAGTTGTAGGTTCCCCTCTTCAAATGGCACCAGCAGGAACCAGTAGGATCTCAGTGGCTTTGGATAATTCAAGCAGCACAAAATAACACTGCAAAGGTTCTCAAATTTAAGCTAGTTTGGGAATTAAATCACACAAAAATTAGGCCAGTGCTAGCGGTAACTTAAACAATGTGACTGAAATAAAAAAAATTAAATAAGACAAAGAGTTGCCCAATATCATACATAAAAGGTCAAAAGTAACATTAAAATCATCTGTCATACAAAGAAATAAGAAAAACATACAACTTAACTGGGAAAAGATAATCAACAAATGCTGACTCCGAGATAAATCAGATCCCATAAGAAATTTGACAAGAATTTTACAGCAGCCATCAAACAAATTTCTAAAATCAAGTACAAATTTTGTTGAATGTAAAAGACAAAATCTCAGCAACAAGTAAAAATGATAAAAATGAACCATATGAAAATTAAGAAACTGAAAAATACAATAAATAATATTTAAAAATGGGATAAATGAAATAGTAAGATAGAGGTGGCAGAGGATAGATTAAGTGGAGGACAGATTAATCAAATTTTTTCTATATGAAGAACAGAGAGAAAATATACTGAAAAAAAAAACATGAAAAACGTCCCAGAAACCAGTTGGACAAAAACAAAAGTTCTAATATTTTTATTATCAGATCACCAAAGAAAAGAAGAAAATCAGCCTGAAAGAGTATTCAAAGAAATAATGTATAAAAACCTCTTCAATTTGACAAAAGACACAAACTTACAGATTCAAGGAGCTGAGCAAAACCTAAAAAAACATAAACCCAAAGATACAGCATAATTACACTTCTGGAAAACTAAAGAAAAAGTAGAAATTTTGAAAGCAATGGAAGAAAAACAGCATTTATGGGGGAACATCTATTTAGCTCACTGGTAATTTCTCGTCTGAAATTGTGAGGGCTAGAGAAATTGGCATAATAATTTTCAAACCCTGAAAGGAAAGAAACACTACGGTGAAATCTATATCTTATGAAACTATCTTTCAAAAACTGAGGAGAAATAAAGACATTCTCAGATAAAAAATAAATAAATAAGACTGTCACCAGCATATCTATTATTAAAGATAAGTTAAAGGCAGATCTTCCAGCAGAAATAAAATAATAATCTTGCAGTATCAAGATGGAAGAAAGAAAGAGCCAAAATACAGGTACATGAAATATGCTTTCTTTTTTTTTTAATTATAGTTTAAGTTTTAGGGTACATGTGCGCAACGTGCAGGTTAGTTACATATGTATACATGTGACATGTTGGTGTGCTGCACCCATTAACTAGTCATTTAACATTAGGTATATCTCCTAATGCTATCCCTCCCCCTCCCCTCACCCCACAACAAGCCCCGGTGTGTGATGTTCCCCTTCCTGTGTCCATGTGTTCTCATTGTTCAATTCCCACCTATGAGTGAGAACATGCGGTGTTTGGTTTTTTGTCCTTGCGATAGTTTGCTGAGAATGATGGTTTCCAGCTTCATCCATGTCCCTACAAAGGACATGAACTCATCATTTCTTAAGGCTGTGTAGTATTCCATGGTGTATATGTGCCACATTTTCTTAATCCAGTCTATCATTGTTGGACATTTGGGTTGGTTCCAAGTCTTTGTTATTGTGAATAGTGCTGCAATAAACATATGTGTGCATGTGTCTTTATAGAAGCATGATTTATAATCCTTTGGGTATATACCTAGTAATGGGATTGCTGGGTCAAATGGTATTTCTAGTTCTAGATCCCTGAGGAATTGCCACACTGACTTCCACAATGGTTCAACTAGTTTACAGTCCCACCAACAGTGTAAAAGTGTTTCTATTTCTCCACATCCTCTCCAGCACCTGTTGTTTCCTGACTTTTTAATGATTGCCATTCTAACTGGTGTGAGATGGTATCTCATTGTGGTTTTGATTTGCATTTCTCTGATGGCCAGTGATGATGAGCATTTTTTCATGTGTCTGTTGGCTCCATAAATGTCTTCTTTTGAGAAGTGTCTGTTCATATCCTTTGCTCACTTTTTGATGGGGTTGTTTATTTTTTTCTTGTAAATTTGTTTGAGTTCATTGTAGATTCTGGGTATTAGCCCTTTGTCAGTTGTCAGACGAGTAGACTGCAAAAATTTTCTCCCATTCTGTAGGTTGCCTGTTCACTCTGATGGTAGTTTCTTTTGCTGTGCAGAAGCTCTTTAGTTTAACTAGATCCCATTTGTCAATTTTGGCTTTTGTTGCCGTTGCTTTTGGTGTTTTAGACATGAATTGCCTGCCCATGCCTATGTCCTGAATGGTATTGCCTAGGTTTTCTTCTAGGGTTTTTATGGTTTCAGGTCTAACATTTAAGTCTTTAATCCATCTTGAATTAATTTTTGTTTAAGGTGTAAGGAAGGGATCGTTTCAGCTTTCTACATATGGCTAGCCAGTTTTCCCAGCACCATTTATTAAATAGGGAATCGTTTCCCCATTTCCTGTTTTTGTCAGGTTTGTCAAAGATCAGATGGTTCTAGATATGCGGCATCATTTATGAGGGCTCTGTTCTGTTCCATTTGTCTATATCTCTGTTTTGGTACCAGTATCATGCTGTTTTGGTTACTGTAGCCTTGTAGTATAGTTTGAAGTCAGGTAGCATGATGCCTCCAGCTTTGTTCTTTTGGCTTAGGATTGACTTGGCAATGAGGGCTCTTTTTTGGTTCCATATGAACTTTAAAGTAGTTTTTTCCAATTCTGTGAAGAAAGTCATTGGTAGCTTGATGGGGATGGCACTGAATCTGTAAATTACCTTGGGCAGTATGACCATTTTCACGATATTGATTCTTCCTACCCATGAGCATGGAATGTTCTTCTGAAATATGTTTTCTTTTCATGACTTTAAAAATCACATTTACAATAGGTAATCAGCTGCCAGCATGGCTAGGATAAAAGCAGGCAGAGGTACGTGGAAGGTCTAGGTTGACCTGAGTCATGCAAATGTATGCATACAGTTCGGTTTTATTGTAATGTAAAAATTGTATCTAATGCATGAATACATTTTAGAAACAACTTATTTTATCTTGTGAAAAACTTATATGGCATTGTATACATTGTATTCCAAATTGAAAACTTACTCCCTCAATATCCCCTATTTCCAATGTTTGTGACATTTTTTCCATTGCTCTAAAATAAGCCAGTATGTGATTGCTTTCTCTCTTCTCTCAGCAAAGCTTAGGGTTCATTAATAGACGCTCTTTAGAATCTACTCTGTTATTATCTATATTGTCCATCATTTGCTACAGAATAGGTACTCAGTTATTTGTTGAATGAATAGATTCCCAAGTCAAATCATTCCACTTCTTTTTCATTTATATACCAACTCTAGCATAAGTTCATTTTTTCCTTCTATCCTATATATATATAGTTGTAGCCCCTTAAGTGAGATTCCTATATCCAACTTTACCAGCCTCGCACGAATTTTCTGTTTCCATGCTTTCTGTACTCACCTTTATCCCCCTTGAATTAATTACAAAAATTAAAGAGAAACACTATACTTTTAAAACACTGCAAAAGTGTTTAAAATGTGGTTTAAGTTCAATCACTTTTAGCTTAAAGTCCTTCCATGATTTCTCATTGTCCTATGATATACACTCCAATAATATGTTTTACAAAGTCCAGCATTGTCTGAAATCTGCTTTCTCCCTTTCCACTTCCTCCCTTGGCTCCAGCTGTACTGGCGTCTTTTAATTCTTTCTACCTCAGCACACATGAATTCCTTTCCATCTCTGTTCTCTTTGAATACTTTTTTTTTTTTTAACATCCAGGCATTCTTTAGTTGTGTGTTTTAATTTCATTTTATAGGCAAAGGTTTTCCTAGAGTTCTAAACCCCACTACACACAAATTCTCACTCTTTCTTCGGATGATATTATTTGTGCCAGGAATAGAGTGAAGAGTCCTGATACCTTTGTACTCTCAGGTACTCATACTAAATTATGTTTCAGGAGAATATTTATAATTGACTTAAATGATTTTTCTTGGTTCATATCATTCTAGTTTTAGAAATATATATATTTATATATTTACATATATATAAGGTTTTAGATTCATTAAAAGGAATGCAGAATTTTCGGAAGTAATAAAATACCTTACAAGATAGGAATATTAATCATTTTCATGCTTTATAGAGGCAGAAGTCTTTAGGCAGCGTTATTAATATCAGAGTATGAGTCAATTTCCTTAGCATGGAGAAAGGTACCGATAGAGAATGCGTCTTTGAGAAAGTGGAACTTTGTTGGTTAATGATTGAAGTTTACATAACATGAGTATAGGGAGGATTTAGCTTGCTTGAAACACAATAATAAGCAAGACACAGAGTCCATTATGAGGAATATGTTCAGGGGGCTTTGACGATATCAAAGTCATTGTGTAATATATTATTCAGGTAGAAAGTTGGATAAGCGATATGAGCTCATTCTGTGATTGTTTAGATAATAAAGAGCATTTATAGGATCCTGATCAATTTCATGACAAGATGATAGTGGTCTTCCAACAGCAATTGGCTGTTCACTAGTACTAGTGAAATTGAAATAGGCTGAGACTGGAGAAAATGTGAGCACAAATGAAATTACTTCAATAACTCAATAATTAGTTGATGGACTGCCTAGACCAAGATAGTGACAGTAAGAATGGAAGAAAATGTAAAATCAATGAGGAAATTTGAAATAAAATTTTATACAGCTAGATGTAGAAAGTAGAAGAGTAAATGAAAAAAAAAAGACTGTTAGTTTTCACATAAGCAACCAGAAAAAGAACTGATATTACTGACAATAAAGAGGTAAAAAGTATATGATACTAATAGTAATGATTTGCCAGAATTTCAGAAAAATAAAAGATATAAGAAAGGGGTGGGGTAGATATTTTGGTATTTGACAAAATATTTTAGTAGGAGAGAAGCATAAGCTGGCTCAAGATATCTGATTTAGAGTCATAAATGTGCATCCTCCTGCATCTGTGACCTTGGATAAGCCACATAATTTATCAAAACCTCAAGCTAAAATAATAGCTTATTTAAGTGTTTTTTATATCTTTTTCTATCCATTACATTAAGGATATTTAAGATTATTCAATGTAATTATTGATACAGTTGTATTTAAATGTAAAATTTTACTATTTGCTTTTTTTTTTACCTATATTCTATTTTTTCTCTCTGCTTTTCTTTTACTGCCTTTATGAGAAATACACATGCTTATAAGGCAGAATGAATCATTTAATATCTTAAGAAATATCTTTGTGAACTCTTCACTAGTTCAGTTTGAAGTTACTGTTATTACAATTGTTATGGTTAGATATTCACTAAAAACATAGTTTAGTTTGATCTGAAGTAAGACACAAAAGGGGTATAAAACTCTACCAATGTTAACATTTAAAAGTCTTCAAGCTTTAATTAACATTTAAGAGTTGGAAAATGGAGACCACTGAAAGACTATTTTTATTGTAAATGAAAGCAACATTCTTGGTTGCAAATGCATATCTCTTTTATACAGGAAATGCATCATCTCTAATATGTACCTGGTTTGAAATAATTTTATTTCATATTAAATTTTATAACATATTAGCCCACATGTGGTAAAATATTTAAGATATTGTTTGTTGAAATAATTTACATATGTTATTAGCTGGTAATAAAGCTAGAAAATTAGAGTATCCATTATAGGATACAATGCAAAGAACATTGAAAAGACTGTACCTTTCACTGCTGGATCTCCTCCTAATGTCCTTATTGAATATATAAAAAAATTTAACATAACATTAGGTTTTATGGTATTATAAAATTGGCCGGGCGTGGTGGCTCACGCCTGTAATCCCAGCACTTTGGGAGGCCGAGGCGGGTGGATCATGAGGTCAGGAGATCGAGACCATCCTGGCTAACACAGTGAAACCCCGTCTCTACTAAAAATACAAAAAATTAGCCGGGAGCGGTGGCGGGCTCCTGTAGTCCCAGCTACTTGAGAGGCTGAGGCAGGAGAATGGCGTGAACCCAGGAGGCGGAGCTTGCAGTGAGCCGAGATCGCGCCACTGCACTCCAGCCTGGGCGACAGAGCCAGACGCTGTCTCAAAAAAAAAAAAAAAAAAAAAAATTATATGAGAGGTTTGTTCCAGTTTTATAAAAATTAGCTCATGTTGTGCATTTCTACAAGGGGCACTGATTATGCACACCTGAGACTGCAGAAGACAAAATGCGGATCCCTTCAGTCTGCTTGCTGATTTCAGCATTTGAACCTGGCTGGGTTTCTAATTAGAAAAATAAATAAAACGTGAAGCATAAATAAGGAGGGTTAATGAAAACTACACACTGGGACTAATCTAAAAGACTATTTCCAGGAATAGTTTTCACACGTCAAAAAGCAAAATATTAAAAAAGGAGGATACATACTTTGAGAATAAGTCAAATTTCTCTTGTGGAAAGAAATAACAAAATTATAATACAAAAAAAGTCCTGGAATAAATAATATTTTATATTGTGTTTCTTGTAAAACTATTATTTTAAGACCATAGACAAGAAAAGTGGGCAACAAATGATTAGCTAGATTTTTATTTAACAGTTAAAATGTGAGCTATGAGATATAATGCTTCAGAACAATTTAAGTAACCATGAGGTTCATTTATATTAATCCTATGAATCATGAGGTTCATTTATATTAATCCAACACTAGATCAAAATCTAGAATTCAAAAGCATAAAAATTAGATAGTTTTTGAATATGTGGTTATAAAGAACAAAGACAAGTTCGACAGTGCTTTTTGTAAATGTAGAAATCCATTAATTAATGGTTAAGTTACATTTTGGGAATTAGTTACTTGAGATAAAATGTTAGTATACTTTAAAGATAACCAGTTTCTCATAGAAATACCTATTTCAGCACATCACTCATCTTTCTTTTTGGCAATTACACACCACGAGAATTTAGAATCTGAAATGTTTGACCTTCTTCATGGCCTTTTCACTGTGGTGCAATGACTCACACCCGTAATCCCAGACAGGAGGATAGCTTGAGGCCAGAAGTTCAAGACCAGCCTGGGCAACACAGCAAGACACCATCTCTACACAAAATAAAGGAGTTAGTCAGGATTGGTGGTGTGCGCCTGTGGTCCCAGCTACTCAGGATGCTGAGGTAGGAGGATCGCTTGAGCCCAGAAGTTTGAGGCTGCAAGTGAGCTATAATTGCATCACTGCACTCCATTGGAAACAGAAAGACCCTGTTTCCAAAATAAAAATAAAAATGAAAAAAAAAACCCTTCAGAATTGGTGCCATTAATTTCATTCCAGTTCTCCCAGGCTATAATCATAATTTATATATGTACATGATGGTTAATTTTATGTCAATTTGACTGGATTAAGGGATACCAAGATAGCTGGTAACGCATTATTTCTGGGTGTGTCTGCCAGGTTATATCAGGAAGAGTTTGGCATGTGAGTAGGTGGACTGAGTAAAGATCCACCGTCATTGTAGGTGGCACCATCCAATTGGCTGGGGGCCCGGCTGGAATTTCAAAAATGTGGAAGAAGGACAAATGCTTGCTCTATCTTTTGGGTCCAGGTCTTCCTTCTTCCCCAGCCCCTAGATGTCAGAAGCCGTCCGACTTCTGGACTCTAGAATTCGTATCAGCAGGCTCTCAGGTTCTCAGGTCTTTGGCCTTAAACTGAGAGTTATACCATTTGCTTCATTGGTTTTGAAGCTTTTGAAATTAGACTACGGGCATTATTGGTTCTCCCGGTTGCAGATGGCCTATCATGGGACGTCTCTGCCTCCATAAACAAGTGAGCCAATTCCTTTAACACATATCTCTATATCTCTTCAACTCTCTCTCTCTGTTTATCCTACTGGTTGGTCTTTCTAAAGAACTCTAACTAATACAATATAAAAAATCTTGAAGATCTTCTGGTCAGTATTATTGAACACCTCACTTGATGGAGTTAATATCTGACTGCAGCATCCTTTTATTCTCACTGCTTGCTTGAGGATGGAAAGACACACAATGAACATTTCCAGAGCTATGCAGTAAAGCTCTAGACTAGGAATTTCAGTAAGTGGAAATCTTTCCTTCAATGTGTAATTCTAAATAAAGTGTTTAGTTACTTAATTTTTGATAAAGCCCCAGTCAGAAAAAAAAATGCAAAAGGCAGAAACTTGATAGGATTTTCCCAGTTATCTACTTGAACTGAATTGAAAATTATTGTCTTGAATAAAGGCTGTAAGAATTTTGCAAACTACTGTAACTATTGAACATAACAATTTGAACAAAATAGTTTGTATCCCCTTTTACCTCTAAGCCCATTGAGGGATGTTAACAATTTTCTAAATAAAATAAATCCTGTGAGAAGCTGAAAATTGGAATATTTACATATGTGGATGTAGTAAATTAGTAGGATAATCTGAAAGACCAAAGTCAGATGAAAGAGAAAATAGTTGAACTATTTTATTGTTGAATATTTGCAGTTATGAGAATAATCAACCAAATAACTAAGAACATAAATGATACAATTTGGGAACTTGAGAAATTTGACTTAATTCTGAAGCACAGATTGGGTGGAAAATGGACAACATTTATTTTATATTTTTAACCTTCTATTGTATTGAAAAGTTATTTGCAAACAAGTATCTATATAAAATTTAATATTTGTCTGTTGAATCATGTTTTTTGAGCAAATAGAAAATTATTTTAAATAAATACATACATATACATACATAATAAAGATATGTGTCTATCAGAAACATAATTATTAATTATGCTTCAGATTCATTAAACATATTTACAAGATTAATACCACAGCCGTTCTGAATACTACATATTATCACACCTCTCCTGCATTAGAGATACCTATGATCTTGCAATAGATGTTAATCTT
Source organism: Homo sapiens (assembly GCF_000001405.40). NCBI lineage: Eukaryota > Metazoa > Chordata > Mammalia > Primates > Hominidae > Homo > Homo sapiens. The sequence goes on along the minus strand of NC_000001.11, from coordinate 188,629,996 downwards.
TTCTGTCCACAATTTTAAACTTTCAACATCTGTACATACCTTCATAAACAGTATACATCATTGCTTTTTCATATTTGAAAATTTTTCTTTCATTGGCATTTTTGTATTTTAAATAATTAAACATATTTTTATATTTATCGACAGATTTTTACTTCTGAAAATAGTTGTTCACATCATTTGTGGACTTCTTTTTTATTATTAATGACCTGTAAGAGAGTCTAATATATTCTGCGGAATTTCTAAATATTTGTTAAAGTCCCAGAAAATACAATCCCATCCCAGTCAGGAGCTTGCCTTTTATTTCTGTTTCTGAGCCTTATGACTTACACAATAAGTCCAATTTATAGATCTTCTCATTTCCATGTCTTTCCTCTCTTGTCTTTTAAAATCTTATATCATAGTATTCCCTAACTTGTTTCTAAATATTCGAAATTTTTACTCCTTATAACAAGATGTCTAGTGCTCTTAGAGTTCATTTTTCTTGTACAGTGAAAATAAAGATCTATTTACTTTTTTCATGTGAAGAAGAATTTGATCACTATTTTGCAGAGTCTGTGCTTTTCTCCTGATTTGCTGTGCTTTCCTGGTCAGATATTTAGCAACTTTCCGTATATGTTTGAGGATATGTCTTAGCTTTCTTTTGTTTTATTGTTCCATATGTCCATAGGTATGGCAATACTATACAGCTTTAATTGCATTAGTTTTAAAATGATATCATATCTGACAGAGAAATTACCCCTTCTTGTGTTCAAACTTGATTCAGTTGTCTATTGCTCTGTATTTTACATACTAATAATATATTTCTAATTCAATAAAACAACGTTAGGATTAGAATAAACATACATTCGTTTTTAGATATTCAATAACTTTTTTTTATTATACTTTAAGTTCTAGGGTACATGTGTAGAACGTGCAGTTTTGTTACATAGGTATACACGCGCCATGGTGGTTTCCTGCACTCATAAACCTGTCATCTACATTAGGTATTTCTCCTAATGCTATCCCTCCCCTAGGCCCCCACCCCCCGACAGGCTCAGGTGTGTGATGTTCCCCTCTCTGTGTCCATGTGTTCTCATTGTTCAACTCTCATTATGAGTGAGAACATGTGGAGTTTGTTTTTCTGTTTTTGTGTTAGTTTGCTGAGAATGATGGTTTCCAGCTTCATCCATGTCCCTACAAAGGACCTGAACTCATCCTTTTTTATGGCTGTATAGTATTCCATGGTGTATATGTGCCACATTTTCTTTATCCAGTCTATCATTGATGGGGATTTGGGTTGGTTCCAAGTCTGTGGTATTGTGAATAGTGCCACAATAAACATACATGTGCATGTATCTTTATAGTAGAATGATTTACAATCTTTTGGGTATATACCCAGTAATGCGATTGCTGGGTCAAATAGTAGTTCTGGTTCTAGATCCTTGAGGAATTGCCACAGTCTTCCACAATGGTTGAACTAATTTACACTCCCACCAACACTGTAAAAGTGTTCATACTTCACATCCTCTCCAGTATCTGTTGTTTTCTGACTTTTTAATGATTGCCATTGTAAATGGGATGAGATGGTATCTCACTGTGGTTTTGATTTGCATTTCTCTAATGACCAATGATGATGAGCTTTTTTTCATACGTTTGTTGGCCGCACAAATGTCTTCTTTTCAGAAGTGTCTGTTTATATTCTTTGCCCACTTTTCGATGTTTTTCTTCTTGCAGATTTATTTAAGATCTTTGTAGATTCTAGATATTAGCCCTTTGTAAAATGGATAGATTGCAAAAATTTTCTCCCATTCTGTAGGTTGCCTGTTCACTCTGATGGTAGTTTCTTTTGCTGTGCAGAAGCTTTTTAGTTTAATTAGACCCCATTTGTCAATTTTGTCTTTTGTTGCCATTACTTTTGGTGTTTCGGTCATGAAGTCTTAGCCTATGCCTAAGTCCTGAAGGGTATTGCCTAGGTTTTCTTCTAGGGTTTTTATGGTTTTAGGTCTAATGTTTTTAATCCATCTTGAGTTAATTTTTGTATAACGTGTAAGGAAGGGGTCCAGATTCAGTCTTCTCCATATGGCTACCCAGTTTTCCCAACATCATTTATTAAATAGGAAATCCTTTCCACATTGCTTGTTTTTTGTCAGGTTTGTCAAATATTCAGGAACTTTTTATGTATTTAAGTATACAAAATTCAACAAATTTGTATATTGTCATACATTTAGTGTTGTTAATGATATGGGAGTGGTGTAGGGAACTTCTTGGTAGAGAAGGGTGGGGTCCCTGGTGAGGGATACACCCTAGGGCCTGTGCCCACAACCCAAGTGAGAACAGGCACTCCTGTTCCTGCACCCGAATGTTGCGTTTTCCAAGACTACTCAGTGCCCAGCCCCCCGCCCCCAAACCAACCGTGCCCATGTAAACCCGAGATATTAGCGGGCACACTAAATATTTGTTTTATCTTTTTTTACACACACACACAAACCTTTGTGAAGTTAGGGAATTGTGCCTATTTCATTCACATTTACAGTCTTAGAAAAGTACCCAGCCCACAGAAATACCTCAAAAAGTATTTGTTAAATGAGTGGATGAAAGAATGAATAAAAAATATTAAAGAGAGATATTCTCAAAGAGTACTTTGATTGAGAATATTATTTCGTTATTAGCATAGTACTATTATAAATTGAAAAATATCAACATTCATAAAAGAACATGAAGTCCCATGGTTTAGCAACTTTAGGGCATCAGATTTTCTAACTAAAAATATTTCAAAATATGAAAACATATAATTTTTGTCATCTAAGATCAAGGTTATATTCTGGGAATAATAATACTGTAAAAACATTTTGTCACACTGAAAATACATAAAGCAGTATTCTCTAAAAACCTAAAAAATTATAGAGGAAGCAACAATTCTGGGTTGAAGATTCTTGACTCAAAGCTTGAAGAATATGGAAATACTCTTTCTCAAACACACACACAAATGGGTGTTTTCATAACATTTTCTTCCTCCAGTTTTGTTAGATGTTGACTCTCTGGACATTGTCAATTTGGACACTAAATTGTATTCTCTTAGTGCTACAAACTCTCATCTACCTTCAAGTTTTGGAATCAAAATTAAAGGAAAGAGTGGCAAAACATACATGTAATGTTAACAAACATTCACATTCTAAAATATTATATCTTAATCTCAAAAGGAATAGTTCTGTTTTTATGTGAATTCCCAAAATTCTGACCCCAAAAAGATCTTTTACTACCTTTATCTACCTAGCAGGGAAAAATAAATAAATATATGAAATTACTGAAATATACTATTATCATCAGGAATGCATTAAAATTGCTTTGCAGATAGAACCATTGGCTAAATAAAAGTATTGCTGCTTACCTTGTAAAATTATCTTTGATATCAGTTCTGTAATTTAGGAGAGTGTCAATATGATTGTTTTGTACATGGCGGTCATTTTTAAGACTCTTAGTAATTTCTTTCTGATAATATAAATCAATCTTCATAGTGGTCATTTCATTTAGAGCGTATCACTATATATTCCTGAAATGACTAGTTTCAAATCAGATCAGTTGTTCTCCAGAATAAAAAAAAAAAAAGAAACAGAAATTGCACACTCCAGAGCCTTCTTCTGTCAGTTCAGACATGTCCTATATTGCTGAAAAGATCAAGACTCACACCAACAGGTCGCTTTGGGAGTCAAAAAATAAAAGCAACCATAGAACAGAATTTAACCACTGGCTACATCCTATGGGTCAGGCAGCATGCCAAGTGCTCTTTCCATGCATTATCTCTAATTTGTGCCATAATCCTTTCTCATAAGGATTATCATCCCTAGTTTATAAAAGAATAACAGAGGTTTAACAAAATTAAGTGAATTTTCTCAAGATCTTTAGAGCGATTAAATTGTTTGTTTGGAATCAGATCCCCAGGATCTATCACACCAGAATCCTGAGGCAGCCCACAAATGAAAGGATCATATTATAAATGTGTGGCATTAAAAATTATCACAGAAGGAGGGTTTGTTACAATATGTTCTATCACTTGACAAAAAGCCATTTATTCACCTAATAGTGAAAAACAAGACTTTGTTGGGTCAAGGTGGCTCAGACTGCTAAATTTCTCATACAATGAGTGAAAGGCTCTCCAGGTTCATCTTGTGCTTTTGCTTATTTTGTGTTCTCCATCTAATTATTCTGCTATCCCATCTCTTGGTGGGATCTTTTCTATTCTTTTTCATAACCACTCTGAGTGGTGGTCATTTGTAGGCTAATCTGACACTGAATCTCCAGCTCATCCTTAGTTTCTAAAGCCCAGTCTAGGAATCCAATTTCAAAATATGGATCTCTGCCCATGGGAGCATCCTAGTGCTTACAACTTAACTGATATTAAATTGGATTTACTTTTGGTAGTTCAGTGTTAACAACTGAATGTTTCCGCCATCCCAAAATTCAACTGTTGCAATGTAATCCCCAGTGTGATGGAATTTTGTGGTAGCGCCTTTGGGATATAATTAGACCATGGGGGTGGAGCTCTTATAATAGTGCTAATGCCCTTATAGGAATATGCCAGAGAGCTAGCTAGCTTTCTGCTTCTCCATGTGAAGATATAATGAGAAGTCAGTACTCTGCAACCTGAAAGAGAATTCTCACCAGATCTCAGCCACATGGGCACCCGGATATAACATTTTCAGCTTTCAAAAGTGAGCAAAATAAATTTCTGTTGCTTATAAGCCACCTAGTTTATGGTACCTGGTTGTAATCACATGGGTCCTTAAAAGTGGAATTGGGGGTCAGGAGAGAAGGATGAAAGGAATATTTGACTCTAGAAGGGTGGACAATGAGGTGTAGGGCTTTTACAAGCTGGAAAAAGCAAAAAAAAAAAAAAAGAAAAGATTATTTCATAGAGCCTTAAAAAGGAGTGTTGTCCTGCAGACACCTTAATTTTAGCTCAGTGAGACCCAGATTGGATTTCAAACATACAGAACTGTAAGATAACAAATCTCTATTCTTTTAAGGCACTGTATTCCTGACAATTTGTTACAGCAATCATAGAAAACTAATTTACTTATGATCCAGAGTACTGTATTACTTGCACTTTCATGAGCTGATTGGTTAGTTGCACAAGTATGCAACTTTGTTCATTTAAAAAACAACAGGTGCTGGAGAGGATGTGGAGAAATAGGAACACTTTTACACTATTGGTGGGACTGTAAACTAGTTCAACCATTGTGGAAGTCAGTGTGGCGATTCCTCAGGGATCTAGAACTAGAAATACCATTTGACCCAGCCATCCCATTACTGGGTATATACCCAAAGGTCTATAAATCATGCTGCTATAAAGACACATGCACACGTATGTTTATTGCGGCACTATTCACAATAGCAAAGACTTGGAACCAACCCAAATGTCCAACAATGATAGACTGGATTAAGAAAATGTGGCACATATACACCATGGAATACTATGCAGCCATAAAAAATGATGAGTTCATGTCCTTTGTAGGGACATGGATGAAATTGGAAATCATTATTCTCAGTAAACTATCACAAGGACAAAAAACCAAACACTGCATGTTCTCACTCACAGGTGGGAATTGAACAATGAGAACACATGGACACAGGAAGGGGAATATCACACTCTGGGGACTGTTGTGGGGTGAGGGGACGGGGGAGGGATAGCATTAGGAGATATACCTAATGATAAATGACTAGTTAATGGGTGCAGCACACCAGCATGGCACATGTATACATATGTAACTAACCTGCATATTGTGCACATGTACCCTGAAACATTGTATTCAAATTGTATTTCTTTTAAAGGACAAAATGGAGTACAGTTAAAATGAACATTGATTTGTAAGAGACAAAAAGAAAATGAAATTCTTAAACTACTTTAACTATATTTTGAACAGATAATTAAATGTTTTAGTTACTCCATACTCTATTACAAGGTTTGCCCTGATACCATGGTGAGATTCATAATTATGTTTATGCTGGAATTTTTGCTACTAATGAGAAGAACTCAAAGGAGAGAAAGTATAAAAAATATAATACTATTTTTGACAGTTTCTATAGATACTTTTCAGAGCCTTTACAAAAATGACACTTTTCAAGGTAGGTTAACATTCACTTTCAAACATCCAAATTAATTTTTACATGCAATTAAAAGGAAGTCTTTTATTCCTGGTTTCAATCTAGTTTACACAAAACATTTTTAATGATGTTTTTATAAATTATAGTATGCCCTTTCGAGATTACTTTCCTTCACAACGATGTTGCTTCTTAAATGAGGTTTTGAATATGTTTTTCATGTAGTGGAAATCATTATTCCAAATGGTGTCATTGTTTAAACAGCTGTATGTTATATATTTTAATAACATATCTGCTAAAATATAAATTGATTAGACATATTTTTATTTATTTAAAATAACAAATATTCTTGCTTATTTTTCAATTTTGACTAAATATAAGTAAACATTTTGTTTTATATGTTTGGGAAGATGGATGTCATATTTATACCCTTTCTTTCATAGAACTAGTCCTAAAATAATTTGCCAATTGAAGGAATTATTATCATTTCATATGACAACTTTTAAGTGGTGCTAAACATAGCCACTTATCTTCTGCAACCCAGATGTGATCTGTTCAACAGGGAAAGTGAAATATTGGAAAAGAAAATATAGAAAGAATAAAAGAGAAATTTTGCATCTAATAGAAATATACACAAAGAATTATTTCTTCTAGCACATATTTATATAAAATTTTCGTAAATAAAATATCTCTAAACACTTATAATAAATATTTCGTATTAATTGACTACTTTATTGTATTTATTTCACCACCATTATGCAAGACACCTATTGTGTTAGGAATAGTGTTTTTTTTCTATTATTTAACAAAAATAATTTCTAGGTCTAGTCTAATCAATTTATATTTTAGCAGATATCTTATTAAAATACATAACATACAGCTGTTTAAACTATGACACCATTTGGAATAATGGTTTCCACTACATGAAAAACATATTCAAAACCTCATTTAAGAAGCAACATCGTTGTGAAGGAAAGTAATCTCGAAAGGGCATACTATAATTTATAAAAACATCATTAAAAATGTTTTGTATAAGCTAGGTTGAAACCAGGAGATTACTAACATTACCTCATTGTTGGGTAACAGTGCACCTGTATTTAATTTCTTTAATGTGTATTTATGATAGAGCTAGTTATATATCGTGCAATGTATAACTCTCTGTATCTTAAATACAAATATATTAATTTTAGTGTATAAACTCTAAAGCTGAAAATAAAGTATATGTTAATAAACTAGAATGACATGTCTTCTAAAACAAGATAATGATGTAGGCATGTTAAATATCTTGTGGATCTATCAGTGAATGTAGTGTTGAGGCAACCGAACTCAAAATTTCTGCATGAGATTGCTTTAAGCCTCTGTTGTGACTGCATTACGATTCAACTGGTCTGTCCACACCAAACAACAGTTTGGTTTCTCATAGTTCTGATTCTGAAAGAACTCTCTATCAAAGGTCCTATAAGCAAATTTCCACCTCTGAGTTTCTTTACTGGGGAACATAATCTGCATAAGTTATAGCTCATTTCAGAAAATTACTTATTTTTTTACAGATATTTAAAAAAATTTTGAATAAGGCATTTCAATAAATAACCTTGATTTTAAATTATAATTTAAAATAAATACTAACTTTTACTTATTGTTCTGAGTTATTTGCTAGGACTTATACTAAATATAAACATTCTAGTATTGCATGCAATTTGTACATGCCCTGACTATTGAAAAGCAATCTTTGTAAATTAGTATGGTAATTGTTTGTTAGTTAAAAAATAATATTTGTGTTGCTCAAAAGTATGGTCCTTTTTTGTGTTTAATTTTTGTAATACTTTTGAAAGTTGGTCAAGATATTTAATTAGATATATAGTATTTCCTATATTTTTTCTACTGTAAAGAAAATGTTCTTTTTTTCTGGCAACATACTGCTAAATTTAATAATAAATTATTTTTCTTGATGAATAGAAACTTTTAAGGGCAAAATAATCATTTTAGATTAGATGGTTTAATTTTCTATTTGGCCTTGCACTTCCGTAATTTTTGTTTTATTTAAATATATCCCTTATGTCTCTTCTTTTCTTTAGCATATCATTGGTTGTGTTTATTCTTCCTTGTCCCAGCTGCTCTTTTGTTTTAGTTGCTAAGATTATTTTATTCAAATTGTTTCCTAAGTTTGATTGATCATATTTGTTTCACATATTTCCATAGTTGGTATTATGTTTTTATACTGGGTGTTTGAGTTTCTGATCCATAATGTTTCTTCATATCTGTGGTGTTTTTTTAGAGAAAGATTTAATTAATGTTGTGGAGTCGTGCTACTGATTTCCTCTGGTTTTGGGTTTTTTTTTGTGGGAGAAGGCAGTTTCTTTCATGAATATTTTGATATTTTTTATTTTTATTTTTATTTTTACTTCATCAACATTTTGTGTTGATTTTTTCTTTAAAGCAAGCGATGATTTTATGAAGTTGACATTAACAGGGTTTCTGTAAATTAATATATTTCTTCATTGAAAAGAGCATGTTTTTGTTCCTAATTCAAGTGCAGTTTTTTTTTTTCAAAGGTTTAACTTATTTTGTTTCAAAGCAGTTCTTACTCCAAATTGGAGAAAAAGGAAAAAAAAATTATGGAGAAAAATCACGAACCAACTCATTTTTATTTGACAAAAAATCACTGGCCAAGCTATCTTTATTTTAATCATTCATGACAAAATATTTGAATATGTTAAATAATTCTCATTATCTTAGTATCTTAAATGTACATTATAGAATGCATAAAAATGATTATATACCATAACTAAGAAGGACTTATCTCAAGTGTGCAGGGCTAGCTCAACATTTGAAATTCAGTTACTGTAATGTATCACAACAGGCTAAAGAAAAAAAAATGTAAATTTTGGTAGATACAGAAAAGCATTTGTTAAAATACAACATTCATTTATAACAAAAATTCTCAGTAAACTAAAGGTAAAGAGGAACTTCCTCAACTTGATAAAGAATACGTACAAAATATCTCCAGTTAACAGTATGCTTCATTATGAGAAACTTGAAGTTTTCCCACAAGGACTGGGGGCAAGTCAAGGATGTTTTCTCTCACCACTGCTTTTCAACATTGCAATACCTAGCCTTTCCTAATTGTTTTTCTACACTACCGTGCCCACCTTTGAGTGATGTCTTTGCTTTGATCATTTGTGCATACTCACAACTCAATCCCCACACACTCTCTATTCTGAGCCCATAAAAAGCCCTGGGATCAAACATATTGGGAACCCTCCTGTCTTTGGGTAGGGGACCCAAAAAAGCTGTTTCATCACTCAATAAAACTTTTTTCCTTGCTCACTCTTTGAGTGTCTGTGTGCCTACTTCTTCCTGGTCGTGAGACAGGAAGCCAGACCTAGCCAAGCTAAGGAGCAAAAAATTCTACGTCGGAGTTACTGTTAAGACTCCTTTGATAGCACTGTATCACAAAACTCTTCCAGCTTCTGCCATTACCCAGTTCCATTTACTTCCACAGATTTAGGTATTTGTTATAGCAATGGTCTATTTCGCAATACCTATTGCTGTCTTATTCCATTTGGGACACTATAAAAAATATCTTAAATTGAGCAATTTATACATAATAATAATTTATTGTTCATAGTTCTGGGGACTGTGAAGTCCAAGATGTTGGTACCAGCATATTTGATGACTTGAGAGGGCCCGTTCTTCATTAATGTCATCTTCCATGTGTTTTCACATAGTGGAATGGATGAACACTGTGTCCTAACATAGCAGAAGGGGACAAGGGAGCTCACTCAAACCTCTTTTGTAAGGGCACTACTCCCATTTGTGAGAGTGAAGCTCTCACGACGTAATCACTTCCCAAAGGCCCCAACGCTTAATACTATTAAATTGGGTATTAAGTTCCATCACATATATTTTTAGAAGATCCAACATTCAGGCAATAGCACTTGTGATAGGGAGGTGTCATCATATATCATTGCAGGGGTTGTGGTTGGGATTGTCTGAGGTAATATCTATGGAAAGTTTTATCATGTATAATGTGCTTCAAACTTGGTTTCTGTTTTCTGTCTCTGCTCCCTTTCATGTCGTATATTCACATATATCATTATAAGCTTGGGCTATTGAACTTAGTTGGAGTGTAGTTTTATAATCAGACCTTAATGAGTTGCATGTGCTTGGTTTTCCTTAAATTAGATGTCCTGAGGGTGTAGCCATTTTCCTATTTATTGTTTGTTCCCTTGCTTATTGAAAATTACTTGCAAGTTACTTGCTTATGATTTATAGACATTTAAAATATATTCTCTGATAAAATGTGTACAAAAATTTTTTTAACTTCTGCACCAGGGTGAAAAATGGAAACTTCTCTGTGGAGATAATATGCCTATTGTCACAATCCCTATTAGCTACTGATTTTGATTACTTGTGTTTCTTGCTGGAAAAGGCTCTGAAACAATAGAATATGTCCTATAAATCAGCTACTTAAATTTTAGAAAGACAATTTTAATAACTCTATTTTGGCTACAGACTTCTTTTCTGCATTCCTGTATCCTGACATGTTGTTTTACTTGAAAATATTAATTACATGGAATTAGAAAGAAACAAAATTATGTTAAATGTGCTGTAAGACAATGATGAATGACAACTAAAATGGTTATTCAATATGAATTTCCTCTTTACTTTGCTGGGTTAATCCCAAGTTCTTACCATACTTTTCATTCACAAAAAGAAAACAGGAAATTGTAGTAGTATCTGAGAAGCTGAAAACATCTATTTTGATTTTGGTATTTTAAATCATTATATAATAGTTTTGAATTTTGTTTATTAATGTGATAGTTGCTGCAAATTTTGCCAGAATATCTTATTGGTTGTCATAAGTAGATAATTTCTTCATATTAGGAAGCAAGGATTTTAATTTATAAAACAAAATTTCTTAGACATTTTTTTCTCAATTTTTTTTTACTTTTAGTATTAGTTTCTTTCAAAACGTTGTTTTTCTAATAAAAACCCATGAAATTCTTATGGAGAAAAAACAATTTCTTTTCTAATAAACAAGATTAGGGGGAAATCCAAAACATGAGGCTTATGATGTAAAAGGCAGAATAATTCAGAGTCCTATATTAAACCCTTTAAAACCAGATTAATAAAGGATATAAAGCAGGATTCAACTTTAATGCATAACAACAAATGATTGATTATAATTGCATTGGAAGACTATTATCATGTGTAACTGTACTACTTCAGATGTATTAAAATAAGTATACATGCATTTTTTATAGATGTAAACAATTATAAGGTTCAGTCAAACACTTGTCAACCAACAATGAAACTCTTATTAGTTTTTTTGTACTCATCAAAAAGTGATTTTATGTGGCTGTTCTTTGCTATAATGGCTTTGGCTTTATTGAGAACAAGCATAGAAAACACCTACACGTGTAATATTATTTAATTTTGTTAATTAAATGAAACACCAAACTGCATCTTTTGCCTAATTCTTCTATACAATACTCCTCATAAAAAATATTTTATAGTTCAAGTTCAGGAAAAGGTTTCTCTATTCTGGTGAATAGCTGGGCTTCCCTTCATTTGGTATACAAAGGTAGGGAGGATCCTGATTTTATAATTATGTTGAGTTCAGAAAAAAAGTTATATATTCTACTTTGTTGACTTTGTTGGGGGATGCTACTATGTGTTTTGTGACAGTACTTTTTTTGGAGTGTTTTTTCAAAAATGTCAGCATAGCCAAACACCATGGAAGAGATAGTTTGTGTCTTGCTCTTGGGCAGAGGACAGATTTGTATTTCCCCTGACCACAATAATAAAGATAATGTCTTTCTACAAGGCAAAGGTTGAACACAAGTTTTTGAGCATCCTGTTTGTGAGGTTTAGGGATTTCCAAGTTTGAGACTCTTCACCAGCAACATAGACCCACTATCTGGGAAGATCCTTTTAGTCAGCTAGACATCATCTTCATGGAACTTTGGGGACACAATGAAATGATAGAAGCATGCAGTTCTTATTGTCTGGAGCAATAAATAATGTTATTTTACTCAGTAGTCTAGTAAACAATATCAACATTTATGAAACTGTGGCAGCTAGCTAGTTAACTTGCAAGCAAATAAATCTCACAATTTTCAGTTTGTTTTGTGACAAACTTCCTTCTCCATTATCTCTTGAATATCTTTTGGTCTTGAAAGTATTTTTTAAAAAAATTTTTACATCTTTCTAAATTATATCTCTTTTTGCAGTAGCTCATTAATTAATATATGCAATCTCAATGCCAACTGTAGTACCATATCCAAATGTCTTTCTCAGAGTTTATCTGAATCCCATGACTTATTATCTCATGAACATTAAATCCCCGTTCCTTAGAAAAAAAAGAAAGAAAAGTCTATTCTCCTCTCTTAACTCTGCAGACATAATTTGATATTTTACACCAGAAAAGCAATATGACATAATTATTAAATGAAGTTTCAGAAGCAAAAAGTCCTATTGATAGGTTCAAATTCCAGCTTTGAAACCTGTGTTATTGTGGAAAAACAACTCGCTTTCACTGTACATCTACTTTCTCACCGGTAATTAAGTGTTAATAAATCTCTTCATTCTCTGAATATAATGGCCATGTCATTGTGTTATTATTAGGATTTTATAAATTGACTCATAAAGTTCTCTTATAAAACAATGCTTGACACATGGAAATGATTTAAAATACCATTAGTTTCCAGTAATTTATTATTATCACACCATTTGGGTCAAAGAAAAATAATAATCTGAAAGTAAAATTGCAATGCTTAGGGAAGCCTTTTCCAATAGGTCTTTCTGTGATTATTTCTGTGTTAATACTTGAGTTGTCTTGTTCCTAGTAACCATTAGCCACTAGTTTACTACGTAACAGGAACTGACTTTTTAATAGTACACACTATTAACTAAATAGTTAAATCTAATAATCTAAATAATAAACTCAAATCTAAATAATAATATTTATCTAGTGACTACTGAATTCAGCAACATTGTGTAGATACTATGTATACATTGTACACATTCTTTTGTATTATGATGTATTTCCAATACAGATTTTTAAATATGAATAATAAATAAAGTAACTTTTTGAGCCAAATATGATAAGAAGTTAAAATCTGTTACACTGAGTACAAGGTTTAGGAGTTTGTTGTTTTATTTTCTATACTCTTGTAATTTGTAACTTTTTAAAGAAAAAAGTGAGTGTAGCTTGTCAAAGTTTTAAAATTCATTTCTTACAAAAGTCATATACTAGTGAAAATAAAAATTCATATTACTGTCTTTACCTTAGAGTAATCCATAAGGTAAAAGAGTTCACATATGACTAGAGATAATTTATACTATTATTTGGTATAACACACTAATGAGTCTTTGAAAACGTGAAGTAAGACATTAAACTGCTTTTTGGGGATCAGAGATTTCTGCTACAGAGCCAAAATTGTTGTTGATAATAACAGTGTAGTTTCCATTATTGCTTTTAAGGACTGTTAGGGGAAGCAGAAAGAGGGGCAAAATATGAGGGGCAGGGGCAAACAAATTGGGAGGAGGTGACACCCAGATAAAATTGGAGTCAAGTTTTAGAAATATGAATGTTTCACATTTACTTTTAAATGAAATGCTCTATTGAGCAGTCACATATAATGACCCACTACTGTTACCCTTGCCCTTTTGTAAAAATCCACCGTGTCTATACCACTTGAACCTGGGGAGGGTTGAGAGAAGCAACAGAGAAAGAGGGCTGAGCCCTCACTTTACTCAGAATTCTTGGACAAAAAAGTAGCTCAAGGATTCTCTTGAAACTAGGAATTTAAAGGCACCTGTTAATCAAGCTGTCTAATTACTGAGCCCACCATCTGCTTAAAGGTACAATCAAAATCAAAGAACACATCTAATTCTCAAATCACCATCTTTGTTTTTTTTTCATTACATAACATTGAATATTCTTTTTTTCCTGGTTTTATTTTGATATTATTGACAAAAAAGTATATATATTTGAGGCGGTGCTTTCTGATATTTTGACATATATATATATAATTTTGTGAAATAATGACTGAAAACAAAATAATTGGCATACCTATCACCTCACATAGTTACCATTTTTTTTGTTATTTTTTGTGAGAACGCTTCATATGCACCCTCTTAAAATTTCAGGTAAACAATACATTTTTGTTTACTATCATCAACCTGCTGTACATTAAAGCTCAAGAATGTACTCATCTTGTGTAATTGATGCCTTGTACCCCTTGACCAACATCTCTCTATTTCCCACCCCCACCCTCTAGTGTGGCAATCTCCATTTTAATCTCTGCTTCTATGAGTCTGACTATCTTACATTCTATATAAGTCATAGTTTGGCAATCTCTGTTTTACTATCTGGTTCTATGAGTTTGACTATTTTACATTCCATGTAAGTCAGATCATGCAGTGTTTGTCTCTCCGTGTCTGGCTTATAATTCAGTTAGCATGTGCTCCAAATGGCAAGAGTTTCTTCTTTTTTAAAGCTGAAAAAAACTCCATCATTTTTCTGTATATATACAACAAATTTTCTTTATTAATCTGTTGATGGACACTCAGGTTGTTTCCACATCTCAGCTATTGCAAATAATGCAGCAATGAACATGGAAGTGCGGACAACTTCAACATACTGACTTCATTTTCTTTGGATTATGCTCTGACGTGGGACTGCTGGATCATATGGTAGCTCTGTTTTAATTGTATGAGGAACCTCCATTTTTTAAAGAAGGACTATATCAATTTACATTCCTAAGAACAGTATGCAAGGGCAACCTTTTCTGCGTGCCCTCACCAACACGTATTAACTTTTGTTTATTTGAGCATAGTCATGCTAACAGGTGTGAGGTGATATTTCATTGTGGTTTTGATTTGCATTTGTCTGATGCTTAATGTTGTTGGGAACTTTTTATAACTTCTTTGGGAAAATGTCTATTCAAGGACTTTGCCTGTTTTTCCCATTGAGTTTTTAGTTTCTTGTAACAAAAATATACGGATATTTCATATATTTGTATATTATCCTCTTATCAGATATATAATTTGAAAATACTTTCTCCAGTTCCATAGACTGTCTACTCATTCTGTTGAATGTTTATTTTACTGTGTGGAAGCTTTTTATTATAGACTGATGTAATACTACTTTCTATTTTGGGTTTTGTTATCTGTGGCTTTGGGATTATATATATATAAAAATCATTACCCAGGACAATGTCATACATGTTTTTCTTATGTCTTCTTGAGTAGTTTTATGTATCAGGTCAAATATTTATGTCTTTAGTCCATTTTGAATTGATTTTTGTATGTGGTGTAAGATAATGATCCAGTTTCATTCATCTGCATGTAAATATCCAGTTTTCCCAGTACTATTTATTGAGAAGACTATCTTTCACCCATTGTGTGTTCTTAAAACCCTTGTTGAAGATCAGTTATATACAAATATGTGGATTTATTTCTGGGTTCTCTATTCTGTTCCATTGGTCTATATGTCTGTTTCTATTCTAGTACCATGCTGTTTTGATTATTTTCACTTAGTAGTATATTCACACAAAGGGAAGTGTAATGCCTTCAGCTGTGTTCTTGCTCAGGATCTCTTTGGCAATAGTATACTTTTGTGGTTACATATAAATATTAGTGTTGTTATTTTTTTCCTATTTCTATAAATAATTCAATGGGATCTTAACAAGATTGCACAGAGTTTATACATCATTTTAGATAGTATGGATATTTTAACAATATGAATTTTTTCAATCCATTATATAGGGCTGTATTTCCATTTGTCTTTGCCTTTTTTTATTTTTCTTCAGCAATATTTCATAATTTTCAGTTTTCAAGTCTTTTCCCTTCTTGATTAACTTTAACCTAATAATTTTTATTGTCTTTGTTGTTATCATGAGTATGATTGTTCATCATTTTCTTTTCAGTTAGTTTGTTATTTGTGTATAGTAATGCAAATAATTTTTATGTTGATTTCATATTCTTCAACATCGCTGAATTTGCTCATTAGTCCCAATAGCTTCATTGTTGAGTCTTTAGGGTTTTCTATGTATATTATCATGTCATCTGCAAACAGAGATAATATTACTTTTTCTTTTCTTATTTAGATGCCTTTTACTCATTTTTCTTATATAATTGAATTGGCTAGGACTTCCAGTACTATGTTGAAAAGAAATGTGCAGAGTGGAAATTTTTGTCTGGTAGAAGATCTTATGGTATTTTTAGAGGACAGTGTTTGATATCCACAATGATCATTTACAGAACTCAAGCAATATGGAAGAAATTTCATTCTAAATAAAAAGTGTTGTCTTATCAAAATGAAAATTATGATGCATGTATTAGGTTTCTCTAGAGGGACAGAACTATAGCATATATATGGGGGGAGTTATTAAGTATTAATTCACACAGTCACAAGGTCCCAAAATAGGCCATCTGCAACATGAGGAGCAAGAAGAGCCAGTCCAAATCCCAAAACTGAAGAACTTGGAGTTCAATGTTTGAGGACAGGAAGCATCCAGCACAGGAGAAAGATGTAGGCTGGGAAGCTAGACCAGTCTAGCCTTTTCACCTGTTTTCAGCCTGCTTTATATTCTAGCCATGCTGGCAGCTGATTAGATGGTACCCACCCAGATTAAGGGTGGGTCTGCCTTTCCCAGCCCACTGACTCAAATGTTTAATCTCCTATGGCAACACCCTCACAGACACATGCAGGATCAATACTTTGCATCCTTCAATCCAATAAATTTGACACTTAGTATTAACCGTCACAAGTCCGCTTCTTGTCAACTTGAACCCATACACAGCTCCTGAGATCATACAAAATCTTCAGATAAAGACAATAGTAAGGTCATAATTACACCTAACATAATACAATTATGCTTTATACAACCGGAAACATATCAATCCCCAAACCAAATACTATTACAAAAGTTAACAATACTTAAATGCTGATATGAAGTCAATAAATCTTATGGCACAAGATAAAGGAAAATGAAATAAAATGAGGACTTTTTTAGTACAAGTGTATGCATGCGCAAACTTTCTTCTTTTGTTTTAACAAAAGAAGAAAGAAATACTTATGACAATTACAGTATTACAGTCCTCCTTTCTGCAGCTGGTCACGTGGTCATAGCTAGTATTGATGACCACTTTCTTCTACTACACATTCTGTATTACGTTTGCCTTCAGCAAGCACCTCAGCAGGTCGTGATTTTTTTTTCTTGTTGAACTGACCCAAACCTTCATTCCTGAGGGGTCTGGGCTATCTGTAATCCTGCCTGGATTGTGCTGTTATAGTATTCCATTGACCTAATCACAAGGCATGGTAATAATAAGAGACATCCTAATGGATGTCCTGTATTCCACGCATAGTCTTCTTTGCCTCTGATGTGAAGTAGTAGACTGATTTCATCTTGATAGTCCAGGTCAATCCCCACAGCCAACACTGTAACTCTCTCCCTAGCCTGTTGACTTAAAGGTAGGAGGAGCCCAAAGTGTCCAGATGGCAATCTTAACCTCCAGCTTAATAGAATCATTGTGCCTCCTGGTAGCAACATCCCATCCTCTGGAAGTAAGACCTCTAGCTAGCAGGATGTAATATTGTGGGAACAGAAGCCAAAAATTTTGGTACTGGATCACTAGGGATAGTGGTGAGTGGTGCCACTTCCACTTCCACCCCTTGATTCCTGGACCTTTGAATCTTAGCTACGGGAGAAACAGTACCATATATTGGATACTGAGTCAGAGCATACATGGCCTTCTGGAGAACTTTGCCCCAGCCCTGCATAGTATTGCCACCTAGTTGGCATTGTCATTGTGACTTCAAAAGGCCATTCCACCATTATATCAATCCAGTTGCTTCAGGATGATAGGGAACATGGTAAGAGCAGTGAATTCCATGATCATGAGGCCACTGCCACACTTCTTTAGCTGTAAAGTGAGTGCCTTGGTCAGAGGCAATGCTGTGTGGAATACCATGATGGTGGATAAACCATGAGTCCAAAGATGGTAGTCTTGGCAGAAGCATTGCATCCAGGATAGGCAAACCCATATCTTAGTAAGTGTCTGTTCCAGTGAGGACAAACCTTTGCCCTTTTCATGATGGAAGAGGTCCAATTTAATTAACGTCACCAGGTAGCTGGCTGATCACCCACAGGAAAGGTGCCATATTGAGTCCTCAATGTTGGTTTCTGCTGCTGGCAAATCGAGTACTCAGCAGTGGCCATAGCCAGGTCAGCCGTGGTAAGTGGAAGTCCATGTTGCTAAGCCCATGGGTAACCTCCATCCCTGCCACCATGGCCACTTTGTTCATGGGCCCATGGGGTGATGACAGGGGTGGCTGGGGAAAGAGGCTGAGTAGTGTCCACAGAACAGGGTATCCTATCCACTTGATTATTAAAATCCTCCTCTGCTGAGGTTGCCGTTGGTGAACAGTCACATGGGTACAAATACCTCACAGTTTTTGACCACTCAGAGAGGTCCACCCACAAACCTTTTCCCTAGATTTCTTTGTCATCAATTTTCCAATCATGCTTCTGCCAAGTCCTGGATCATCTATACCAACCATTGGCTAGAGCCCATGAATCAGTATATAATCACACATCTGGCCATTTCTCCTTCCATGCAAAGGGCACAACCAGGTGCACTGCTTGAAGTTCTACCCACTGGGATGATTTCCCTTTACTGCTCTCCTTCAGGGATGTGCTAGAAAGGGCTCTAGTGCTGCAGCTGACAACTTTCAGGTGGTGCCTGCATATCATGCTGATCTATCTGTGAACCAAGCCCTAATCTTCTCTTCCTCTGTCAACTGATCATAGGGGACTCCTGAAGAGGCCATTGGTGCAGGCTGGGGGAGAGAAGGCAGGCAGTGGCAGGAGTGGAGACCATGGGCATTTGAGCCACATCCTCATGTAACTTACTTGTGCCTTCAGGACCCACTTGAGCCTGATCACGTACACACCATTTCCATTTGATGATGGAATGCTGCTGTGCATGACCCGGTTTATGGCTAGATGGGTCAGGAAGCACTCAGTTCATGAAAGGCAATTCAGGTCTCATGTCGACTTGATGACCCGTAGTCAAACATTGTGTTTCCACCAAAGCCCAGTAACAGGCAAAGAGATGTCTCTCAAAAGGACAGTAGTCATTTGCTGAAGATGGAAGGGACTTGCTCCAAATTCCTAGAGGCCTCTGCTATGATTAACCTTTGGGAGCCTTCCAAAGGCTCCAAACAGCATCCCTATCTGCCACTGATACTTCAAGCACCATTGGATCTGCTGGGTTATATGGCCCAAGTTGCAGAGCAGCTTGCACAGCAGCCTGGACCTGTTGCAGAGCTTTCTCCTGTTCTGGACCCCACTCAAAACAGGCAACCTTTCAGGTCACTGGATAAATAGACTGGAGTAACACAATCAAATGAGGAATGTGTTGTCCCCAGAATCCAAATAGGCCCATGAGGCATTGTGCCTCTTTCTTGGTTGTAGGAGGGGCCAAATGCAGCAACTTGTCCTTCACCTCAGAGGGAATATCTCAACAGGCCTCACACCACTGGATCCCTAGAAATTTTACTGAGGTAGAAGGTCCATGCATTTTAGTCAGATTTATTTCCCACCCTCTGGCACACAAATGTCTCCCCAATAAGTCCAGTGTGTTTGCTGCTTCTTACTCACTGAGTCCAATAAGCATAATATCATTAATGTATACCTTGTGGAAGCAAAAAACGATCAAGGTCTCTCTGAGTCAGATTATGGCACCAAGCTGGAGAGTTGATATACCCTGAGATAGGACAGTAGACATATATTGCTGGCCTTGCCAGCTGAAGGCAAATTGCTTCTGGTGGGCCTTATGAACGGGAATGGAGAAAAAGGCATTTGCCAAGTCAATGGCTGTATAGCAGGTATCAGGAGATGTGTTAATTTACTCAAGCACTGAAACCACGTCTGGTACAGCAACTGCAATTAGAGTCACCACTTGGGTAAGCTTACCATGATTCACTGTCATTCTCCAATATCCATCTGTCTTCTGCACAGGCCAAATGGAAGAGTTGAATGAGGATGTGGTAGGAATCACCACCCCTGTGTCTTTCAAGTCCTCAACAGTGGCACTAATCTTTGCAATTCCTCCACTGATGCAATGTTGTTTTTGATTTACTATTTTTCTAAGTGGAGGCAGCTCTAATCACTTCCATTTGGCCTTTCCCACCACAACTGCCCTCACCCTACCCGTTGGGGAGCCAATGTGAGAGTTCTGCCAGCTGCTAAGTATGCCTATGCCAACTATGCATTCTGACACTGGGGAATTGACCACAAGATGAGTCCAGGGATCGACCAGATCCAATGTAAGTCAGACCTGAGCTATAACTTCACTAATTACCTGACCTCCATAAGCTCCAACTTTAACTTGAGGACCACAACGACATTTTGGGTCCCCTGAAATCAGTGTCACCTTAGAGCCTCTGTCCACTAGTCCCCAAAATGTGTAATCATTTCCCCTTCCCCAATGCACAGTTACTCTGGTAAAAGTCCATAGGTCTCCTTGGGGAAGGATGGGAGAAAGATTAACAGCATAAATTATCAGTAGTATAGTGGGGTCCTTCCTTGGGGGGACCTTGCCTCACCTTCGTTCAAGAGGTTCTGTCTGTAAATTGGCTCAAGTCTGGAAATTGATTGAGTGGCTGTTATTCTCTGTTTTTATAGTTCGAATTAGTATTTTATCCATTAGACCTAGAAGTTTTCTGTTTATACAAATTAAGTAGTAATGCAGTAGGCTTTCTATCAATTTTACTTCTAGGAACATTGTGATTAATTAGCCAATGCCAGAGCTCTACATGAGCCAGAGTATTCTGATTGCTGCTTTGTCTCTGTTGTCCATTTTGGTAGCTACACTCACCTTGTTTTTGATGGCTGAGTGCTGCCACTTGACTACTGCCACCTCAGGATCCAATTATTCCCATTGTATTTACATTTTGTAGTTGTGTGACTGTGGTTCCCACTGTTAGATCTGACATACATAGAAGGGCAATTACAGGGCTCTTCAAAGATGCAGGTGCTGCCCTCACAAATTTATTTCACAAGGCATTGGTCAAGGGTATATCTTCTGTACCCTCCAAGCTGAGAAGAGTAGGTCTAAAGTGACTAATCAATTCCACCTTCCCAATCTCCCTAAGCCTTTGGATCCCTTCCTCTACATTAAACCAAGTGGGATCACGCATTTCCAGCTCACAAACAGTGGGCCATATTTTAGCTAACCAATCAAATAAACTACTAGAACCCTTTTTAATTCCCTGAGCTACAACATTAAATGCAGAGTCCCTACTTAGTGGACCAAAATCAATAAATTCAGCCTTATTCAACCGCGTGTTTCTTCCACAATTATCCCACACCCCTAATATTCATTCCCATGCCAGTTCTACAGATTTCTGTTCATATCAATTGGAAAACTCAAGCAGTTATTTTCTGGTGTAGAACAGCTTCTCATAGGTCACACTCTCAACCTCACCTTTAGGGGCCCATTAGGAATTTAGTCTAGTTACAGGTCTAGAAGCAAACAGAGATGTTGGGGATTACTCCTGAAAAAAATCAACATTATCTTGCCTGGCAACTGCCTCTGGGGAGGCCATCAATGTTGCCTCGGGTAGCACAGAGTTTATATCCTCACACAAAGATGGAGAGGCTGATGGCAGCATGGGTCAGATTGGGGATGTTACCTCTACTGGGGATGGTGAAGCTGTTCCTTCTGGCAAAATAAATAAATAAATAAAAAATAAAAAATAAAAAATTATCAGAGTTTACAAACTCAGTGTCCTCAGATGCATCATGGTCCTCCCACACATCCCCATTCCAAGCTGCAAGGTCCCATTCTTTTCCAATTAATGCCCTCTCCTTAACAGTAGACACCTGGTGAGACTGTGCATTTACCTTTTGTTGCAGGTCAACCACTCACATGATAAGAGCTTGTGTCTGTTCTTCCACAATTTCAGCTATTTTTCTAGAGGAAATAAGACTCTCACTCAGGGTAATCTTAGCAGATTTGAGGCTCAATATCTGTTTCTGAAGCCAAGAGATAGAAGCCCTGAGTTCGTAATTTTCTTTCATCACTTTATCCTCTGAACTTAGGAGCAATCAACCAGCTTCATTATGTTCCTTGGTTCTCCACATATGGTCAAAGGTCTTATGTATAGGGTAACTAAACTCCTTGCTTCTCACGAGCGGTGAATCAGGAGTGTCAAATGCATTTATTTTGCATAATTCTCTAAATAGTTTATGCCAAGGACTATCAGCTTCCTCCATACTATCAGAAGTTGAGTTTTAACATTTTTTGGTCTAATCATATTAAGCAGCCAATCTCAGAAACCACCAAACTAATGAAAAAACTCCATCCTTAATATTCTGTTCCTCTACAACCACTCTTGATACCAAAATCTGTATTAGTCAGGGTTCTCTAGAGGGACTGAACAAGTAGGATATATATATACTAATTGTGTGTGTGTGTGTGTATATATATGTGTATATATATATGTGTGTATATATGGGTATATATATGTGTGTATATATATGTGTATATATATGTGTATATATATGTGTGTATATGTGTGTATATATGTGTGTATACATATGTGTGTATATATACATATATAAAAAGAGGATTTTATTAAGTATTAACTCACACAATCATAAGGTCCCACAATAGGCCCTCTGCAAGCTGAGGAGCAAAGAGAGCCAGTCCGAGTCCCAAAACTAAAGAATTTGGAGTTCAGTGTTCGAGGGCAGGAAGCTTCCAGCACAGGAGAAAGATGTAGGCTGGGAAGATAGAGCCGTCTAGTCTTTACACATTTTTCTCTGCCTGCTTTATATTCTAGCCATGCTGGCAGCTGATTAGATGGTGCTCACCCAGATTAAAGGTGGGTCTGCCTTTCCTAACCTACTGACTCAAATGCTAATCTTCTTTGGCAACAACCTCACGGACACACCCAGCATCAATACTTTGCATCCTTCAATCCAATCAAGTTGACACTCAGTATTAACCATCACAATGCATAACTGCATTTCTCTATGTCCATGTTTATTTTCATACTTTATAAAAGACATGATTTAAGTCTGCAGATAGCAAGACATCTTTAATCTGTAAGAACAGAAGCAAACTTTCAATAGATATATGAATATTAATTCCAAAGCATTCATTGCAGTGTTGCATAGCTAAACTCCTTCCATAAGAGAAAAGCTAGTATAACTCACTGCTGATTTTATCTATATCTGCATTAAGAGAAACACTTCTGTTTATGCATTTATTCTTAAAAATAAATACTAATAAGGTATTAACCACTTAAGTATAAAAATTATGTTTTGTTTTAAATATGCTTTCTACCTTTTAATATATGTTATTAGATCTGAAAATGACTGATCACCTTTATGTTAACACTGAATTATAAAAATATCAAAATGTTTGATTAATGGATATACTCGAGTTTGTAATACTGTAGTTTGGGGATTAAAATGTTTAAGTGTGATTTTTTTTCTTCTGATGTTTCAGTGGTTCATCACAGTATGTATTATAATTTATGAAGTTTTGAAATGCATTGTTAACCTAAAATGTCTCTGACAATTTGAGGTAATCGTGAAGAAAACTCTCAAATTAAATTCTGCTCAAAATTGCTTTCTTGGAAGACAATATAAAGTAAATATTATGTCATTTGGGAGTTGGGACTGGGTAAAATAATACCTATGAATATCATCAAAAGGGAATAGTTTGTTTTTATGAAATTGCAGGAATCGCAGGATGAAACAAAAAGATATGCAGTAAATGTAGTAAACATAATATAATTTCCAGAGTTCATGAGAATCCTGATTAAACTGAGTAGTTTCCAGCAGAAAAACTTAAAAAGGATTTCTCCAAACTATGTAGTGATAAACAGCCCTCTTGTCAGCTTAGAGTAACCCTTTTTCAAGAGGAAGAAAAGGACGTCAAATAGGCTCAATGGTACTTATGCACAACATATGAAAAAACTATCACATGGGAGCCACAATATCAAAATAAAAGGTAGGTGGATATACCACCAACACAGCTAGGGAACCCATTCAGTTATTTTGATCTTCAAATGATTTTGGATTGATAATTATTATCTGGATGACAATTCCAGTATAAGAGATAAGTATAGGGAATATTCCTCACGTATGCAAACATTAAGTCTATATAACTTAGGCTGAGACAATTTGAGCATGTGGCAGGGATGATATGATAGTTCCTATAGCTTTTCATTATGACCAGTGAGTCTGTTATCTGCATTTCAAAATCATTTGGTCCAAATACCATATATTACCAGTGTTATTGGGAAAATGTAGTGTTTAAAATATATAAATAACTCATAAATTGAACACCCTAGAGAATCCTGGAAAAGTGTGTTTTAGAATACTGAAACATATAATTTTTCAGATGAAAAACTAACTTTGGTTAGTTTCTTATAGCTATAGGATACACTCCAAATTCATTAGCAGAGTTTATAGGTGACTTTAAAATTGCCTATATAGAAAAATTGTGGACCGTAAGAGGAGTTACTGAAGACATTTCTACTCGTAGAACTTATTGACTTCTGGCCTGATTTTAATATGGTCTTATAAAAAAGTATGTACATGTAATGACATTTTTAAAATGACAGGTAAAGTTAGATTAATAAATTATTACTTTGAAACTAGAGTGAAAATGATTTTAAGAAATGACAATGAAATGTAATAAAAATAAAAGGAATATGTTTATTAGAAAATTTAAATATATAAATATTTCAAATTTAATAACATGTATATATTTAAATAAGAGATAAAATATGTATAAATTGAGATAATTAAAGTGAAATAAAATACTTGCAGATAAGGCAAATAATAGTTATTCTACCATTGAAAATAGCCCAATAATTACTCTAATCAGAAAACCTATAATTTATTCTGTACTAATATATACAATCCAGGGATAAGTAACTTTATAAAGAAATAGAATGATAAATAATGTAAGAAATAGGCTAACTTAACAGACAGAAAAGTATGGAAGAATTTCAAATCTCATGAAACAATGAATAGTGTAATATTAATAAATTATGTGGAAGTATGTCAATATTATTTGTGAAAGAGAAAGATCAGAAAATGGTAAAGGGAAAAACAACAGAAAAGCATATATTCTTTACAGTTAAATAATTTGAGATAATAATGCCTTAAACAGATAAAGAGGTGACTTTTTGTTATATACTACCACTGAAGTAGTGGCTGACAATGTGATTAGAAATCTAGATCCTTCTAATTTCTGCTGTGCCACTATTATCAAGAGGCTTTTATTTTCATCCTTGCAAGATGACTATTGTACACTCAGGTAGGTTGTCTGCATTCAGTTAGAATAAAATGGTGGTGGGTAAAGAAGCAACATAGACACACCTAAAAAGAGAATTCAGTTTAGTGTGTCTATTTAAAAAAATATTAGAAGCCTCCATTTATTGATTTATTTCTACCTCCCATTGAATGGAAGTGTGTCTCATACACATCTTTCACTGAAAAGAGATGTAAAACAAATGATCATTTTGCTTTTCTAAACTTAGTAGGGCAAAGTGAAACTTTACTGTGAATACAGAGAAAAAAATTAAATAACTAGTTTTCAACTACCTTCATCAATATGTTAAATAAATATATTAGAAACACTTAAAGAACTTGGGAGGAGACATATTGAATTCATTAAAACATTGTTATAAGACAAAATTGAAATGACCAACTAAAAAGAAATAATAAAATTCATTTGGTGACTTAGTTGTTTGGTCGATCATTTTTATAGCAATAATATTTGGCAAATTTTTGCTCAGTAAATTATTTTAGAGGTTTCACTAGCTTTTAAGCTTTAAATGGAAATGAACAGGATTTCAGTGGCTCGCTTGCTAGAGAAAGAAAGCGCCTGGAATGCAAGATTTTTACCTAAGGCAGACGAGACGCCTTTATTCCTAATATACCTATCTATTCTATTTAATATGAATATGCTGCTCTGTGTTCAAGAACTATATTAAGATAATTATTTGTATAAGCTATGCTCTGTGGTGAGTTAACTAACAAAAGTCAATTGTGGTGTAATCCAAAAGGTCTAGGGAAACACATTTATAACCATATAAGGTAGTTTACAATAAATCAGAAGAACATGTAACGTAAGTGGTTATATATGTTTGTTAAAATTTCTTTTTTCTTTTTTTATTCCTATTATAAAATGCCCTACAATTTGATATTATTCTGTGTATAATTTTTAAAGTACATGTTGTAACTGATGGTTGTCGTGTGCTATGGTTTGCATTCCTCCAAAATTTATGTTGAAGTGTTATCTCCAAAGCAATAGTATTAAGTGATGAGACCTTTTGTGAAGTGATTAAATCATGAGGGCCCTACACTCATGAAGGAGATCAGTGCACTTTTAAAAGGGATTACAGGAGCACATTAGTCTCTTCTGTTCCTTTCACTATGTGAGACTGCAGCAAGCTATGCCATCTATGAAGCAGCAAACAAGGTTTTACCAGACACTGGATCTGAGGGTGACTTGAGTTTAGACTTCTCAGCCTCCAGTATTGCAAGAAATGCATTTCAATGATTTATTAATTACCAAGTCTGAGGTATTTTATTGTCTTAGCTCAAATGGACTAAGACAGCATGAAGCGAATGCAATGAAAAGGGAAAAGTGTGATTTTCAACCGATTTATTCAGGGAAAACTAGGTATAAGAGGTGGCTTTTGAGTCAAAAGTTAAAGCTCAGATAATGTTCTGGCACAACAAATTTACAGGAAAGATCAGGGCCATGGAAAATTATAATAAGCACTAAGAATTTCAAACTATGCATTATTATGTAGTAAATTTATTTATTACAAATAGAACTAGTCATTTCCCCCTCTTTCCTTTAATGATATGAGTTCATAAGCAGTGACAATAAAATATGTAAACAAAAAGGCAAAGAAAATATAAAGCCCACTTTAAGTCAAGAGTGAAATTTTATATCTGATAATGTGCCAATTGAATATTAGAATAAAGCACCTTGTGTGGGAAGTCTTCTGCATGACAACTACGCAGCACAAAGGGCGTGTTAGTTATCATATTCATGAAAAATGTTGGACATGGAAATAAGCCGTATCCACAAACCTTACTGAGTTATGCTAAATAAGCCTAAATTAGTAATACTTTGGGGCAATGTTTATGAACACTTTAAAATTCAATGGTATAGTTACATATGTTGTTCTGTGATTGTTTGAGAAACAAATGTTACAATGACAGAATAATTTTCATGATAAATGCTTCTGTAAAGGCCAGGCTGTTCAGAAAAACTCATACATATTTTCCCTTAAGAATATAATAAAATTAGCAGAAATATGGAAAATTCCAAGTACTGACACATGGTGAGTTTGCTTAAAATAATAAAAGCTCATACATGTAATTTATGAATAGTATTCAAAAGAATTATCCTAAGAAAAACATTTGTAAAACTTTCAGATATTAACAAGAATACACGTAGACTATGAAAATATACAAAATTTCAACTGCAGAAAAAATGCATATGTAGAGAGAGAGATAAGATTAAAATATGCTCAAATGAATAAGCAATGAATTAGTGATTTTGGAAAGTTGTTCTTATGTTAGTCTATTTATATATTTTAAGCAAAAGCATATCACTTTTGTATAATATTTAAGATTGGACAGATTAATTTTTCCTGTTCTTTCCTCAAATGATAACAAAATCAATAGAAAAGATTTTGTAAGGCAAAAATTTCACAGGAACCCAGAAAAGGTAGAAAATAGGATGGGAACATAATTTTTAAAACTGAAAGGCAGATGGATATATGACAAGTGAAATGAACAAACCCAAATTCTGAAATGAAACTGATTTTGGGAGAGTTAGAAATCTGCAAGGCTGAAAAATGGATATTACCAAGTGCTTCTGAATGTGAGGCTGAGGTAGTGCTGGAAACAGGAAAATTGCCTGAAAGTCTGTTGAAATAGTAGTTACAATCCTAGGTGCTATAGTCTCCCCTTCACCATGATAGATGATTGAATGTGTACTGTTTGAAAAAAAAAGAAAGAAAAGAAAGGCAGAAGTCTAAATATAGAAGACTAAAGTATGTGGTCCTTTCCTTCACTTTGTGGCATGATAGACAGCCTTGTTCTAAACAGAGGAAAATGAAATGTATTTCTCTGGGTAATCTAAGCACACCCAAGAAAAAAAGCATATATATAATATGTATATATACACACATATATATTATATATATACACACATATATATATATACACATATATACACACACGTGTGTGTGTATACACATATACATACACACACTTTAGAGTTCAAGGTTAACAAAATAAATAGCTCACTTAATAGCCCTGTCTATGGTAAAGATATAAAGTCTGCTAGCCACTGAATCAAAGCAACACACAGAAATCCTGGATCATTTTGTGGACATTACGAGCAATGCATCGCTAATGATTTGAATAGACTCACACAATGATCTGATTTTGTAAATGAAGTAAAAATTATTCTAGAATTTCAAAATAAAATGAAGCTCTAAAATTCTGTTGAGGCATCACTAAGTTTTATACTTCTTAAATAATCATTGGTTCTACAAAACTGATGTGTTGCCGATATGTACAGAGAAAGCATACATCTGTGCAGAATGTACTGGTAAACCAGCTATCAGAGAGTAAAGGAGTGGAATATGATTTAGCATTTCCAGTTTCCATGGTTTAAATATTCCCGGTATGATTGTTTTCAAGCTAACATGATCAAATATTATATCCCTGAATACATAGTTGGTAGGAGATGCACACAATTGGCTATGGAGAACCAGCTCCAATATACACCAATTATATTCTAATGTGAAGGTACTGCAACTTCTAGAATACCACCAACATCAAAAAATGTGGCTATGATGAAGCCTAGGTAAAATAAACTCCAGTTTTTTAAAATGTAAGTAAAGGTCTTAATAAAAGTCAGAAAACCATATATGAACTTTTGCTTTTGTAAATACGTTTTTACTATTATCAACCCAAAAGATCACAGTATGTCCCTTAAGATGATTTATGATTTAATACAATTAATTCTTACTTGAAAAGTAAAGCCTTTTTCAAGGAAGTTACCCAAAATAAATGTCAGACTATAGTTTCAATTATTTCAGTTTATAACACAAGGATAATGGTTTACAATAGTCATGGCATAATGATTTTTCTAGACTCTATTATATCCCATTAACAATGAATGTTGTAGTAAAACATACCACATTGTTTTATAAATAGTTCTTTCCAAATACTGTTACAAATTTGTTTTAATTTCATTTTAGCAATAACAGAAATGATTTAAATTATGTCTAGTAATGTTGATTAAATACATTAATAATTGTCAAGAAGGTAACAATTACAAACTTAGAAACATAAATTTTCCCTGGTGATGACAGATTAAGCATCATTTTTGACTGAGTTTCTCTAAAGTGAAGAATTTGCTTTCTACCTTGGTTAAATTTGAAGATAGCTTAAACCTCATTCACACTTGCAATATGTCAAATTCTCTCAATAAAAAAATTGTTAAAGGTCCTAAATATCTTAAAGGGACAAGATTGTAATTTTTAGAAATTATTAATATTTGATATTTGAATTGGTATGTTAAATTCCTTTAATGGTTTATTGCTATAATAAACTATAATAAAATAAAAAAGTTTTAAACATAGCTATCCTCAGGGTCATCACATCCTTAGATTCTATCTAGAAGTTATCAATCATCCTTAGATTCTAACTAAAAGTTATCAATCAGAACCCAGAAGGTATTCTAGGTATTGAAAATTTAGCAGGCTTTGTGGGTAAATATGACATTGATGTTTGACAAATTTGTAATAACCACTTTTAAGAACAATTAGTGTAAAAATATCTGCTTCTAAATCAAAAGACAAATATCAAAATAGGGAATGGAGAGCAGAGATCTCTTTTCATTGTCAGTCACCTAGAGAGCTCATCACTGGAAAACTGTAGAGAGGTGATGTTTTCCAGTCTCATTCCATAAAGATGCTTGAAGTGCCTTGGATTCTTGCTAGAATAATGAGGGAAGTCTCTTCAGCAGTTGCTTTCACCTTGTTTATGTTTAAGTGCCATTATTTTTCTTCAAATGGGTTATCCTGTAAACCTTGAAGAGGATCTGTGGCATATTCAATATATGAAAATTTATTTTTCTCATTTCCTTGTTAAAATAGCTTTGAAAATGTTGACTATATTTCATTACCTACTAATGTAAATTCTTTGAATGATGTCTGATTGTTTTCTTCTTAATCCTTTTCTCCTCTTCTTCCCTTCCCTTGGCCTCCTGTGCCACTCTACTTCCTCTCCTTGTTTTGCTACTCCTTCTCCTCCTTTTTCATCCCCCTACTGGTGGGGCCCCATTTTGATTTCTGTCTCCTAACATATATTCACTTGGCAGTGTAATTGTTCAAGGAAACTGGTCGAAAGTGCAAGGCTCAATGAGTCTCTTTTCTGATCACTACAATTTGCTTTATATTTATTTTCCATCTGCGTTTGGTTGTACACTTAATTTTCACAGCATTCACTCTATTCTTAAGTTTTTTTGTTTTGTTTTGTTTTGGTTTTTACTTTGACGGGCAAATTCATTCAAACTCCTCATTGGGCTCAACAAGTACAGCTTCATATTTTTTTTCTTTCAACATTTTAGGCAGTTTCTGTCATTTAATTCTACGTAGTCAAGTCAAATTGCACATTGGTGGTGGGGGAGAAAACCTCTCTCTCTCCTACTGGAAGTTTTCTTGATTGAATTTATAATGTATGTTCATATCATAGAAAGCTAAGTTTAGGGTCTTGCTATGAAAAATCCAAAAGAAAATATACCATATTTTAATACTAGTTTCAAAGCATAATAAAATGTTGTACAGAAAAAAAAATAGATGTTGGTTTAATATATCAGTCTGCCATCATACATTCACAACAAGACAGTGAAGAAGGATTCCCATAGTGTTTTACTCCAGAGAGTGAGCTGAGAAAAAGGCTAACGTTACATAGATGGATATTTTAAGACTTTCATAATACTTAAGAGTTTCATAGCTGAAAATGGAATAGGCTTCCACCTCCCATGTTCTCTTTCCCTAGAAACTGAACGTCCTGTATTACGTCTGAAGCATCAGCAGTAGGTTTGGAACAAATAATATGTATATTTCTTCCAGTCTTGAGAATCTATTATATGTATTTTTTATATTTTTTCTATGTCATACCTTACTCATATTTGTAAATAAAACTAAAATACTTCCTACCACGGAAGACAGGGTCACTAGCAATAGGACCCTGAGTGAGGTTTTCAGAGAGGGTCATTTTTTTCTTTTAGATTTTTAAATAAATTCATCTCTGGGAGAAAAAGTAGCAAAAGACATTTTTTATAAGCTTTATAGTTACCCTAAGGAAATGAAATGGCTACAAAATATAGATATATATTTTGTACTTAGATGGTACTTAGATTGTTAATTTGTCTGTATGTTATGAAATCAGCACTGGTGACAGTAGTAGCCAGACTGTGGTCAAGTACAGACAGAGATTAACCTAAACACAGGAGAAACAATTTTGCATAATGTGTCTGAATTGCTCTCAAGAATTTAGATGAACAAATGTAATATAAATACGGGCAGGGTAGAGATGATGAGTTATACATATATTTATAGATATCTTACTTTTCTATCCCAAAACCTTAAAAATCTATTGCTAAACACTTAGTGACTACAAAATATGACAGCTATTTTATGGTAAAGCCTTTTGTTAATTGATTTTATAGAATTACAAATTGACATATACAGAAATATGTCAATATTTGTTGCTGTGTTTATCCAAATTTTGTCACAATAAAGAACATGGTAAAACAATACGTCAATATCTATTGAGCTCTTGCTATTTAACAGGCATTGCTATAGGTACCATAAAATACTAATAATTTAATACTCACAAAATATTTTTAAATGAGTAATATTGTTACATAGATTTGATAAATGGGGAAACAGAGATACAGAATAGTTAAGAGAGTTGACCAAGGTCACACAACTATGAAGTGGAGACAGAGATTCAAAACAGGACCCAGAGCCCACACTCCTAACTACTATACAAGTAGATTCTTCTCACCTTTGGCTTTCTTGACTTTGATTCTGTGGCCTTTGCTGCTCCTCCCTTGAAATAAGCAATACTTAAAAATCTATAAACGTAAGTAAGTTTTAAGTGTTGAGAAACATGAAGCTCCATTAATTATAAAAGAATAAAAATAAGCATTGGCTTATTAAATGTAGGAATATAACTAATATAAGGCATACTTGTAATTTTTAAAGACACCATAAGAAACCAGTGGTTTCACCTTTTCTAATAAAAATATATATTTCCCTTCAATAAGACACCAAGTTCTCTTTCCTTCACACCAAATTTTGAAAATTTCATTATTGTATTATTTAATTTCTTTCTGTTGTTATTTTATGTTTGCTCCCTTGTACAATTAACATTCCTCAAGCTCCTAATCACTGTTGACACAGAATATCTTAATTTGTGTGCTTTCATTGCACAGAATACTCTTTGGCTATCTAAATCCAATTTTTCTATAGTGCTAGATTTAATATGAACCTCTTAATGGCATATTGTAGTTCTGCTAATTTTACTTTTACCCCTCTTGTCTCTCAAACTTAAAACACTTTAAGTCAACTTCATTCAGATTAATATTTTGTCATCAGTTATTTTGATATGTACATATTCAAATAAAAATATTTACCTGAAATTCAAATTTCTGTATGTCAGTGACATAATATTTTATTTCTATTTGCTACATTCATTTTTTTCTAAAAAAAATTTGTATAATATTTTATGCTATGCAAATACTACAAGTTATAGTATAGTTTATATGCAAATACAGTATCTCATATATAAATCACTACTGGTGTTCAATAAATATATTAGTTGATTTTCATTTTATGTATTTAAATAAAATACAAATATATACATTTAGATACACATGTTATCCTACATTTCTGACAAGGTGTGTTTAATATATAAAATATGAAATATTAAAATATATTTAGGTAATTATTTCTTCTATTAGTTACAAATTGTGAACATTTCTTTTTTTTTCCTTTTTGCTTTTTGCTTTGCATAACTCTCTTGATTCATGCTGGGAAATTTACTTAACACTAATGTTGATTAGTTTTTCAAGGGTAAGAGAAGTAATAGTTTTCATTATCTATAGTAACCACATACATGCATTAAAGCACGTAAATAATACACCAACTAAAATTCTTTATTAAGGTGTTCTCTTACTAAAAAAAATTATGAATTAAAAGAAGTCAGTGAAAATCAACTCTGCGATTTCACCACTGTTAAGGTCCTTTTAATCATATACATAAGCCAATTATAAAAATGACAAAAGCCACAATGCTTTGTTTAGAAACATGATGGCATGTTTTCTTTATTAAGGTCATACTAAAAGAGGTGTTTTGGCTGTCTTTGAGTGTCATGTGGATACTTAATTTCATTTTTATATAGGTCTTTGTGACCTACTCTTCACAGCTACATCAACAATAAACATCTAATTTTAGTAACATATATTATAGTGACTGGTATCTGCAGTTTGACACATTGCTAATTAAATATTGATTTGTTGAATGAACTCTAGGCCGTCAGTATTTTTCTAATTGGAATAATGACTTTTCCATAGGTTGGCAGTTGTGTTTCTCTTTAAAAAATAAAAGACACATGGAAGTATTTCAAAAGTATAAATTATTAAGTGTATTGTACTTGAAGGTATGGTTAATAAATTAGACAGATTGTAATAAGTTCAGGCAAATTGCTTTTACTTCTTATAATAAATAGAGATTTCATTCTTCCAATACAGTTTGATAATGGAAAAATGCAGCATTTAATAGAAGTGGTATGACCTTTGGGTAATACTTTTTCTCAAGAGACCATACTCTGATCTCAGTGAAAAGTTATCCAATGGGATTATTGTATATCATATTTAAATTTAAGATCAGTAAATGTCTCAAAATAGAATTATTTGTCATTTTAAATGAGCATAAATAAATCTCTATCAATTGACTTATTTCTAACAATAGCACGTTACATCTAAATAGTATTCTCCAAATAATAAAATCTCTTTAAACAATCCTGAGTGTGGAAACCAATTAAACACGAGGAAAGTCAACAAATAATAGAAAACATTAAGAAGGTACCACAAGGTAGCTTTATTATATTTGCAAGAAAGCAGACCTAAGACATTATGTCCTATAGACAGTGTTGAAACAGTTATTGACAATAAATTGCCCTTTGAAGAATAAAATGAAGCTTAGGAAGCAGATGCTGCAGTTAGAAAAAGACATAAACTGATGACTGTGCTTTAAAGGGTTTTCCCAAATTGTATCACTTTTAATCCACATAAGAGGGATATGAGTTAATCTATTCTTTCTCCTTTTCTCATTTTTCTTCTTTCCTTCTATACTTTCTTTACATATCTTTTTGTTAATTTTATATTTTCATTTTGAGTGTTTCTTGACTATTGGCTAGATTAAACAATATTTTAAACTTCATGGAATGTAGCGAACAAAAATGCAAAAAAAAAAAAAAAAAAGAAAAGAAACACCTGTATTAGTCTGTTCTCATGCTCCTCTAAGGAAATGCCCAGGACTGAGTAATTTACAAAAAGAAAAAATTTAATTGACTCACAGTTCCACAGGGCTGGGGAGGCCTCAGGAAATTTATAATCATGGCAGAAGAGGAAGAAAACACATCCTTCTTCACATGGCGACAGGAAGGAGATGAGAGCTCAGTGATGGGGGAAGCCCCTTATAACATCAGCTCTCATGAGAACTTACTCATCATCATGAGACTAGCATGGGGAAAACAGCCCCCATGATTTAATTACCTCCCAGTGGGTCCTTCCCACCACACATGGAGATTGTGGTAAACTATGATTCAAGATGAGATTTGGGTGGGTACAGACTGAAACCACATTATCGGCCATTATAAGAAACAGTGTAATCATTCTTTTTAAAATATTACCTACATCTCACTCCCTAATCGAATCCCTTCCACAGCCTCAACAAAGAACACTATTCAAGCTTGAACCCAGGAGGCGGAGATTGCAGTGAGCCGAGACTGTATCACTGCACTCCAGCCTGGCCAACAGAGGGAGACTCCATCTCAAAAAAAAAAATACAAAAAAAAAAAATCAGATTTATTCCTTCACAATTGCATTGCTCTTCTTTATTTTTCCCAAGTATCTTGGTTCCTATATAAATATGCAGTTTACTTTGCATTTTTAAACTATATCTAATATAGGCATTTTTTATGAGTAATTTTTTACTCAATGTTTTTCCCAGTTTAACATAGCTAAGTAGAACTACTCAGTTTTACTATTTTTTTTTGCTTCTCAGTAGTATTTTGTTTATGAACATACCACAATTTATTTATCCATTATACTGTTTAGTAACACTTGTATATTTCCCAACTGTGGCTAGAAGAAACAAGATTACAATAAATATTATTTTACAATGACTTCTTTTAACACTGTCAAGTTTTAGGGGGTACATAAAAAGGATCCTCTGGATCTTACATTCTGATGGAGAAAACTCAAGCAAAAGTGGTTTGGTCACCACTTAAGAATATTTGCAGCTATTGACAGTTTAGTATACTGTTGTGTCAAGTATCTTAAATTATCTGTAGGTTAGAGAAAAGAAGGTCAGTTTTATTGTATGACTTGCACACTCTTCGAAGTTGTTGAAGAAATGCAACTCAGGTTCTGTTTGTCATCGGATAGGATGAAGACCCTTCAAGACTGGAGTTAAGGTTTTAGCAGATATTAGTTGGTTAATTTAAGATTAGCAAGAGGAAATGATTAATTTAGAATGGGCAACAGTGTCAAACAATATTTTATTGAGATGAATGAGAAAATGTCGATTCTTCAGCATTTCTCAAAAAGCTGTAACTCAATATTTCGGTATAATCTCAAATTATTTTCAGAAATCATTATGCCAGTTAAATTTCAATAAAAGCCTATGTGTTCTTATTGTGTTTCTATTTTTCCACACCCTACAGACACTTAATACTATTTTGATTTTATTTGCATTTCCCTAATTATTGATGAAGTTGTTCATTTTCTCAAGTATTATCATCCATGTTTGCTTGATGATTTCTGAAGAGCCTGTTCTAGGGATTTGCCCATTTGGGTTTTGCATGTTCAGTCTTTCTTATTTCCAGAATCTGAGTTGTTCTTTATATTGTTTGTTCAGGATATCTCTATCTATGTCATTATCTTTCTATCTATCTATCTATCTATCTATCTACCTATCTATCATCTATCATCTATCTATCTATCATCTATACACTGTTATCACAAATTTTGATGACTTCATACTTAATTTTCTTTATTATATCCTCATACAAGCAGGAGTTATTTATTTAGCTGTAGCCAAATATATTTATTATCATATTTTTATATCATATAATATTTTTCTATCTTGAATAATGGCGTTATCCTATATTGTCTTTTACATTTTTATTGTATTTTTACTTTTTCAATTATATATTTACTTATCAATACAATTATGTATTTAGTAATTTTGGATTAAATTTTTATGAATAAAAAAGGAAGATAACCTATTGCATTTATTTTCCAAATAGAAATAAATGGTTGACACAAAACTATTTATTGAGAAACATTTCCCCCATTCTGCAGCACCAGTTTCTCATAATAATTTTTCATATGTGCTAAGTTCTGACTTGGTTGTCTTTACTTTTTTGCTCTTTTGACTACACAGCATTGATTAATTTCTATTTCTAAACATCTAGTAAGGCAAATTATCTCATCATGTATGCAATAAATTGGTACTTACTCTCATTTAATGGTTAGAGGCCAAGAGCACTGCTAAACAACATATATTGCACAAGATTATAACCCCCCTTCCACAATAAAAAAATTATCCGATCCAAATCATTATTGCAGAGATTGTGAAACCGTGAACTAAATAAGTGACATATTGAAATATCTTTTTGAAAAATTAATTGTATATTCCATGTGTAGCTGTGGGATTCTGTATATTTTTACATCTCTCTTTATCTCATTTTATTCTCTCACTTGTCTTTTTAATTTCTTCACTGCCATTTATTATATTTTAATTTGGGGCTGTTGTCTTTCAATATAGCCTTTATCACTGAGGGTTTTATTTTTACTTTCCTAAATACCTTGACAGGTAAGGTATTTAAAAAAGGAAGATCACATTGTCTATTCCTATCATTTCTTTCGCAAATTTAATCGACTCTCTTTTTAATTTCTTCCTGATTTTGTTCACTGTTTTTTTTCTGACTCAAGGTGATTTTTGCTATCCTAAATATATATTTATTTCTTCTATACGTAATTATACTGAACATATTTAATTCTGTTTGAGTATCATTTCACAGTTTTCGTTTGCTTTGTGATAATTTTACTCAGAATTTTTTTATTAGTTTAGGCATATTATATGTCACTTATCAATGTTTAAAATCTCTTTTCATGAATTCATTGTTTGCTGTATAGTTTGGTCAATTTTGGCTGGTATTCAGGTTTGCTAGTTTAATGACATTTATTTCTGATAGCAAAGTCCATATTCATTAGAGGATATTTTTTCAAAGGCAAAGAAAGAGACTGTGTGCCCTCCGAATTACGTTTCTCTTTTTGTCATGAAAGACCCCACATTTTTTTCCTTTTAACTATTTTCTTCTCTACCAACTAGTTCCCAAGAATGCCACATCATTCATTTTTCTCTTTGAAAATAGTACACAAGCTATGTTTTTTAAAGATTGACACTTCAAATTTCATGAATTTTAATTTCCTTCTCTTTACATCAATGGTTGTCAGTGGAAAGGGGCATTTTTTTTTCTGTTTTTTTGCTACATAGAACATTGGAAATTGGAGACATTTTTGATTGTCACAATCTAAGTGCAGGGATTGTTTAGAGCAAAGTTTGCTACTAGTATCTACTGCGCAGAGGCTAGGGATGCTGCTCAACATCCTACAATGCATAGGACGGCCCTCCACAAGGAAGAATCATCTGGCTCCAAATGTCACTGGTGCCGAGGTTGATTACCCTGCTTCGTATCATATCCACACTTAGGATGTAATTTTACTCTTTCTAGAAGTAGTGGTATATCAAATGTAGGCTGTCACTAGTCTCCTCTTCTCTCTTTACCATGATTCTTTTTCTCCCTGATCTTGCTCATCACAAACCCTTTTGATGGGGACAGGAAAACGAGTGATTAACTACTGGGAATTGTTTTTTCGCTGACAGTTGTTTTGAATTTGGGATAGCCATTGTCTTAAAATTATGCTTACAGCATAATTTTGTATAATTGTATCTGTTCTTATTAGTATTTTATAATACTTTGGAAGACATACTGACAGAGGTGGACCTACGTAACCACCATTGGCTTCAGATATCCAAGCGTTTTCCTCCTGGGTTTTTAGACTATATTTTTTCTTTGATATTTTAAAGACTACCCAATACATATGAATTTGGGCTACTAATTCAGGCAGCAGAGATTTTGTCTTCAAATTATTTGAAGAGATTTATTTTTGTCTCTACCCATTGCCAGACTCCAAGGTAATCAAATATTCTTGCTGTCCTCAGTGGTTGTAGAGAGTGAGAACAGGTCTGTTTGTAGCTCATATTCTCACTGAGGGTCCAAAATTACAGGATTGCATCGCCTACCTGTCACATCTTTGTTATATTTTGATTTTCTTTTTCTCTTTTCTGAATATCAGTAGAGTAAAATAAATTTTAAAAAATATTTCAGTTTCTTTGAGGGTTTGACATATGCTCTCAGAAAGCAAGCCTTTACAAGAAAAAAAAATAATCCCATCAAAAATGGACAAAAGACATGAATAGACAATTCTCAAAAGAGGATATACAAACAGCCAACAAACATATGAAAAAAGGTTCAATGTTACTAATTATTAGGGAAATGCAAATGAAAACCACAGTGAGATATTACTTAACTCCTGCAAGAATGCGCATAATTAAAAAGTTAACAAATAACAGATGTTGGCAGGATGTGGTGAAAAGGGAACACATTCACACTGCTGGTGGAAATGTAAACTAATACAACCACTATGCAAAACAGTAAAAAGATTCCTTAAAGAACTAAAATAAAACTACCTTTTGATACAGCAATCCTACTACTGGGCATTTACCCAAAGGAAAATAAGTCATTATATGAAAAAGACACATGCACCTACATGTTTATAGCAGAATAATTCACAATAGCAAAAATGTGGAACCAATCTAAGTGTCCATCAACCAATGAGTGGATAAAGAAAATGTGGTATATATGCACTGTGGACTACTACTCAGCCATAAAAAAGGAAAGAAATAATGTCTTTTGCAGCAACTTGGATAGAACTGGAGGCCATTATTCTACGTGAAGTAACTCGGGAGTTGGTAACTAAGTCTCAATATCATATGTTCTCATTTACAAGTGGAAGCTAAGCTATGAGGATGCAAAAGCGTAAGAATTATGTGATGAACTTTGGGGACTCAGAGGTTGAGAGAGAGGTCAGGGAATTAAGACTACAAATTGGGTACAGTGTTCAGTGCTTGGATGATGGGTGTATCAAAATCCTAGGGTGACAGGTGCACTAAAATCCCAGAAATCACCATTAAGAACACATGCATGTAATCAAAAACCACTTATATACCCAAAACTATTGAAATAAAAAAATAATAATAACCCTGTGGCCTTGTTTGTGTGGCTACTTTTATTTCAAGTTTATCGTCATCAAAGAGTTCTAAGCAGACCGTTTCAAAGATTTATGTTTTGTGGAGATGTTTAAAGGACAAAAGGGTGTTTAGTTAACCCTTGATATTCTGGAACAAAAATAAAGTATATCTTGCTATTTAATTAAAAATAATTGTACCTGACTTTATTGATAGTCAACTACAAAGGTGAATAATGAGGTTTCCAGGGTAAGTTTTGTTCCCATCAAAATGTTGTCAACAAATTATCTGTACTTAGTCATGTTAACAGTACTTATCTTTGATATGATATGATATGATAAAAATGGCACTGTACTTCTGTGGTTTTCTTCCTCAAAACACATAACTCTGGTTTAATCGTGAAAAAACAAATCTCATATGAGGGACATTTTATAAAATACCTGAAAAATGATGGTATCCTGGATGGGAACAACAAAAAAAAGACATGAAGTAAAAACAAAATAAAAAACTGAAGAAATCTGAAAAAAATATGAATCTTGGTTAATAATGTATTAATAATAGTTCATTAATTATAATCAACATATACAAATGTCAGAGGAAACTGGGTACAAGATATATGCCACTTATCTGTTCTATCTTCTCAGTTTTTCTGTAAATGTACAACTGTGGTGAAAATTAATTTTATCAAAACTAAATAGAGGCTGGGTGTGGTAGTTCACACCTGTAATCCTAGCACTGTGGGAGGCTGCTTGAGCCCAGGATTTCAAAACCAGCCCTGGCAACATAATAAGACTTCATCTCTACAAAAAAATAAAAAAAATAGTTGGGCATGGTGGCATGTGCCTGTAGTCCCAGCTACTCCGGAGGCTAAGGCGGGAGGATCACTTAAGCCTGGGAAGTCAAGGCTGCAGTGAGCCGTGGTTGCTCCATTACACTTCAGCCTGGTCAACAGAGCAAGACCCCATTTCAAACAAAATAAAATTAAATAAATAAATGCAAAAACTCTTAACATAATTACTTGATAGTTTAATGGGAATGTTAGTTCCTTCCCAGATGATACTGTAAATGTCATTATGCAAAGTTCTTTTTTTTTAAATTTAGTTTTGGAACAATATTTTTGTCAATGTTTACTGCCATGCTCTATTGCACACTGTGTGTAAGGTTGCACTTGATCTAAGGTAAGAACCAACTGGAATAGCATCATAGTTATTACTTAAATTAACAAAATCTTTGAACTGAAAAAAATAATTGTTCATATGACATAACCAGGATATAAGAACAAAGGGAATTGCTTTCCCTTATTAGTATTTAGGAAAAGAAGCATTGCATAACATTGGTCAAAAATTTGATTGGGGAATATCATTTAGAATATTTGGCAATTAGGAATAAAAGGAGTCATAAAGAAAGATGATGGGAGGCTCTAAGTCAACTCGATTTCATCTCCCCTACTTCTGCCTTTTTTAGATTCTATACCAGTGAATACTAATTTGTTCTTGTTGGGAAAAGTAGAACCTACTAACTGTAACACTCTGGACCTCAGCTTCACTGATTCCCAACATTTAAAGCAGTTGCCAAACACAAGGATCTAGTGGTTTAATCATAATAACTATTGTTAAATCAATTATATATCTCTAGCATCACCAGAATTCTGTAGCATAATTTATTTATTTTTACTTTATGCATGACTTATACCAATATTGTTATGTTCTCGTATGTGTATAACTGGGTTTATTTTTCCCCATTATGCAGCAGGACTCTACCCAAAACCCATATTTGAACATTAACCCTTAGCTTATTAAAATGGATTAAAATGAATATGGTAATTTTTTTTACTATTGATGCTTCTAACCCTGCCTATGTTCACAGAATTGAGCTCTACTAACATTCCCTGCTGAGCTGTACTTCTCATTTGATTTGTCTTTATGCATTTATGCACTTTACTTATTAAATTTTTTTCCCATATGAGCAGTTGGTAAGTTTAACAATTTTGACACTTTCTTCTGACATTAAGTGGATAAGTCATGAGCTACCATAACCTGATTATCACCACAAAATTCTCACCTTGACACTAACTCTGGCACTATATAATAATGAATTATTTTTTCAAGGAATTTAACTTTTTTTAAATTCATTTATGGTCCAAAATGGACCATAGTTGGTAGAAAATATTTTCCAAGTGCAACATTTTATGCATGCTAGAAAGCTTGTGAATACTTTAGAAAATCCAAGTATAATGTTAACAATTGATACCTCATTAAGGAGCTAGAATGATTTTACCAGCTAAATAGAATTTTCTGCCATTCTGTGAATTTCTGGAGATTCGTATTGGGTAAACCCAGGAAGTTAAAATCATTATTAGGGAAAAGTATAGTGCCTTTTAGGGTGGCAGGTTCATGATATTTTAAGACTCATTATTTGTTGTCAGTTTGACCAAGTCATGGAGTATACTAATGACATGCATCCTAACTCTGAGAATGGTGATGGGAGTCAGTATGTTGAAGCTCAAGCAAATATCCTAAAGAATATATGATAATCCCTAAATTAAAATGATATCCAATAGAATATTTTTCCTTCATTCTGCCATGTAAAGAAGTTGAAATATAATCTATCCTTCTCACCTAGTAGATCATTGATCTCAAATCCCTGCTCCCACTTTCTTCAATTTCCCTTTTGCCCTTGCTTAAGAATCCCTTTGAAACATCATTAGTCATTGTAACAGTGAGCGCTTTCTATTTTTCTTGAATTAAGATATAAGGCAAAATAGATATCTATGGGTCAATGTTAGGTAAAGAAAATAAAACAATTGTGGATTTAATTAACTAAATAAAATAAATAATAAATTATCATGTGTGACATATGCTAGAAATAAACATTTTATTTTGTTAGTATACTGAGATTTCTGGGTTAATAACACATAAGAGCTATTATTTCATAAAGTAACCTGTAGTAGCCATCATTTGAATAAAAAATGTATATGTAGTTGTTAAACTAGAGAGCTTTGATTAGGATTTAGAATATAAACAATAATGAAGGTTACTATTTTGATTAAAACATTTTCATTTTTGTATTTATAATAAGAATAAATTTATTATAGATAACATATTAAGAAAGGGGTTGAAATACAACTATATTTCAGGATACTTACTTTTAATTATATGTTGGATAATCTGGAGTTACAATTCTCCTAAACGTTCTCCATCAGATTGCAAGCCCTAAGATATATATTTATAATTTTTTCAGTTTTAGACATCATATTATAGGTATATGTATCAACAGAGTTGAGCTATGTAATTATTTACCTGAATTAGAAAGAACTGTTTAGGTTGAGCACAGATCACATCTGTAATCCCAGCACTTTTGGAGGCTGAGGTAGAAGGATTGCTTGAGGTCAGGAGTTCAAAACCAGCCTGGGCAACATAGGGAGACTCCATCTCTATTATAATAAATAAATAAATAAATAAATAAATAAATAAATAAATAGAAATAATTGTTTTAGACAGACTAATGACAGGTATTTTCAACACAATTTATGAATTGGGCAAGACATGTGCAAATAGAAAAAAATAGAATACCAAGTTGCAGATATAAGCATCTAAGCCTAAAATCCAAAGCATCTAAGTCTAAAATCTAAAATTGGACAATATTAAAAAACAAAACTATAAAATTGTATGAATAATATTTGATACGGAATGAGTTACCTTAAATTTGACTTTTATTTTTAACAATATTTATATACATTTTATCAGTTTTTTAGGCATTTAGTTGTTATGCTTCAAGTAGCTAATGCCTCTTAAGAACTAATCTTATGGGATATAGTATCGATATTTACTCTGCGAACTTGACATGTCATTCAAAATTTATCTCAATCTCAGCTACCATGTCCAAACAAACAAACAAACAAACAAACAAACAAAAACCAGGAAAACCTAGCATATCAATCTCTTTTTTTACAGAATGTTTGAGAAGAGTATGAAAGTCCTACAACTACTGGCACACAAATGTGTATATTTATACATATATAAAAATATGACCACTATTTTTTATAAAAATTTAATTTTATATACTACTACCAGTTTTCAATAAAGAATTGAGGATGAATTATAAATATATTATATTCTACAGAAATGTGGAAGGACAATTTGACTATAAGAAGTTTCTAGTTTCCCATAGTCATTTACCTTTGTCACTTCAAGTGAGAAATAGATAATTTTCTTTCAGAAGAGTTATGTTCTTGATTTTCTCACTACTGAAACATCTTGACATTTAGCATATAACAGAAAGACTGACACCATTTTTATGGAAGGAAAAAAAATCTTTATACTTTATAAGATGTTCAGTTCTGAAGGAGAGAGCAATGTTCCCTTTCTCCTAAAAATAGTAGCTGAGCGCGGTGGCTCACATTTGTAATCCCAGAATTTTGCGAGGCCGAGGAAGGCGGATCATTTGAGGTCAGGAGTTCCAGACCAGCCTGGCCAACCTGGTGAGACCCCCTCTCTACTAAAAATATGAAAATTAGCTGGAGGTGGTAGTGCACGTCTGTAATCCCAGCTGGGCTGTGGCAAGAGAATAGCTTGAGCCCAGGGGGCAGAGTTTGCCGTGAGCTGATATCTCACCACTGCATTTCAGCCTGGGCGACAGAGTGAGACCAGGTATCAAAAAATAATAATAATAGTAATAATAATAATTATAGCAATACAAATAGCAATTTGCTTGCTGTTAATTTTTTTTTGAAAAAATGATTAGCATGATACGCCTGAGAATTTTCAAAAATATACTCTACAGGTCAATAAATTGCATGACTTTGTTTATTCTTGATTTCTTACACCCACACATAGCTTGGCAAGTAGAGCATTATAGTGTGAAACTGAGCGAATTCTACTGATGAACAACTTGGTAACATAAAAGATTATTTGCAAATAATAATGTCAGTAATGTTATTTAAAATATTTTACTTTAAAAGATATCAATAGAATATTAA
The DNA here is from genome assembly GCF_000001405.40 of Homo sapiens. Lineage (NCBI taxonomy): Eukaryota > Metazoa > Chordata > Mammalia > Primates > Hominidae > Homo > Homo sapiens. The sequence continues at coordinate 188,585,183 of NC_000001.11, read as the reverse complement.
AATTTGCATTTTACACTACGAAATTCTCTATATTGCTTTTATTAGAAGCATCCTTCCTTTAACATATTTTAATAAAATCCTTTACCTTATCAAATTAAGGAGGGGTTTTTATGTCAAATTCACTTAAAATGAAATTCTGCCTCGCAGAGCAGTTATAAAGCTAACTTCATCAGTATTTACAGTCAGATATAATAAATATATTATTTTTGAAATTTTATAATCTGGGATTTCTGATTCAAAATGACAACTGGTTTGGAAGCCTCAAAGGACCTTCCCACAACTATTTGTTAAACACTCATAGAGATTCAGTGAAATATTTTAAACTGTTACCAACCTTCTAGAGTAATTCTCACAGGTAACAACATTGGTATGTTGTAGAAATTAACACAAATATGAGGTAAGTTCGAATTAGCTAGAAGAAAAGTAGAAAAATATAGACCCAGCCTTCAAAATCCTAAAATAAATTCCTCATCTTCTAAGAGCTGACATGAGACACAATAAGATGCTTAATGATTATACTGCTATTGCTCAATTAACTCCAAGATTCAGAACTCTAATAGCAGAGACCTTCTTTAAAATGCTGTTCAAAAACTGTTCTCTAAGACAGAGATTTCAAGTGCTAATTACTAGAAGAACATAGAAAAAACAGGTGATGATGGTGAAGTGTGTTGTGAAGAGAATAGTACCTCCCATGGGTAAACTGCTGTAAGTAAGGGCAAAGAAAACATAACCCGGTAGCGATGCTGGCTGACAAGTAATGGCCTTGGTGTACAACATTGGCTCAGTTCTTTGGCTCAGTACCAGATAACCTGGAAACAATGTTCAGAAAAACACTTAATCAAAGTAGAGCAGGACTAGAATATGAAGAACTGCCAGAAATTGGGAATTGGACTGGGAACTGTGCACATCAATTTTCCCTTCTGTTACAGATTTGAAAATAGAATCTGGAAACTGTGCCAGTTGACTGGAAGTGGAATTCAAGGTCAATTTCCTCATCCTGTCTATTAAGACAAAAGCTATGTGGATCTTCTTATGTTGGGGATGAATATGGAGAAAAACAGTAACATAGGTACGTGGAAAAGAATACTGTAAATGAAGGGAAATTGACTAGTGTCAAGATAACTTGAGAATGGCATATTTACATTATTTAGTGCTGATTCTAGATTAAAACACTGAAAAATGTACATAGAGGGTAATAGCATCAAGAAGGTAAATGTGTTCCTATTAATGTGTTAATCTGTGCATATGAAAAGTATATTCAAAAGAAAATATGATATACAAAGATAATTTAAGCAACTTAAGAAATAAAAAATGTAAATTTCAACAACTATAAATTGATGAACTCACTGATAATTAAACAACTATAAGAATAGTAAAAAGAAACTTGTTTTCTATTATTTAAATATTAAAAATTCAATGTTAATAATATGGAAAATTGGACATTTTCATGCATTGTTAGTGTGATTGTTAAATTCTACAATCATTTTGATTAGGCTGCATGCAAATTTAAAGTATGCAAGCACACAAACATGAATCCCTAGCCTTCAATATCTCTCCAATATCACTTTCAGAAATGTATAATCAGTACTGGTTAAAACAACTTTCAGCTTTTATGGAAATGTTTGATATCTTTTCTGTCTAACACAATAGCTTCTAGCAACATGCAGTTATTGAATATTTAAAATGGAACTGTTGTGACTGAGAAATTGAATTTTTAATTTTATTTTTAAAATAATTTTATGTAAATTTAAAAAGCTTACATGTGCCATGAACCAATTGGCCAGACAAGTGATTCCATTTTGAGATTTTCAGATAAAAAGTAGTCTATATTGTCAGGATTGTTATAGCATCCTACTAAATTAAATCAGGCAAAATAAATTGTATTACTAATTTAATTTTTTTAAAATACTTTTTTTCTGACTCAACAAAATTATGCATTGGGCAGAGAGAGAACCAAATCGGAGGTTTAACCTGAGAATGCTTCTTCTGTTGTATTCAAGAGCAATAAAGTCTTTGCTCACAGACAGTTTCCAGTGTGGAAGGATTATTTGCAGTTCTTTACAATTTCTCCTACTGTATCATTCAGATGTTAATTGATTCCACAGCTCCCAAGAGAGTCTACACTTCTATCTGTGTTCCCAAGTCTCTGCACTCCTACTAAGTATAGAGAACCTTAAGAACATATCTATTTAGGAACCCAGAAAATCTCTGAATGACAGCTACCCCTCCCTATTCTGAGTAACAGTCCAGGAAATTTTGGAATTTTGCGCTTATTCTTGTTGTTCCTGTTAGAGAGACCAGAAATGCACGGTCAGAAAAGATGTCTAACTTGGGTTCAAGAAACTTAGTTAGGCAATTGACAGGTGATAAAATATTGGAATTACTCTCACTGTATTGTTAGGTGTCAGATCCCCTTCTAGCAGACTCAGGAAGAAACTCAAATTGTCAGGAGTGACAGTAGGAAAAGGCAAAATCAGGTTGCCATGCCACTGAAAGTGACATTAGTCAAGTCCCATTGGGTGCCAGCTGGTTTAGCAGCCAGACAGTGCCAGGTCACATAAGGGTCAGATCCTTATGAGTGCCAGCAGATGAAGTTCTCAGTACATTAGAAAGGAATTCTGTCATTTCTAGTGAAGGCCAGTAAAGGACTCTAAACTGTGAAATTCCTAAACTGTGAAATAAATTTTAAGAGGTCCAATTCTAACTATAAAATTTCATTCTCAAGTATAATAGTCCCCAAAACAAACAAAAAAGTTGTAAATACAAGTACATAAATTCTAATCAAAGGGTATACAATTCCCTATGTCAAAATTTGAAAATCTATAGAGTTGAAATTTTTTCTAGAAAATTTAAGTGTACCAAAACTGATTAAAAGTAGTGAAAATCAGAAGAGGCCACTATATCAAAGTCAATAAAAAAATATTCTTTAGAGTACTCCATGAGTGATTTCAGACAATGTATTCCAAGATTTCCAGGAACAGATAATATGAACATTCTTTAAATTGACACTTAAGCCAATTGAAAATTTAACTAAATCCTATTCACAGTAGCAATAGAGTCTATCAAATGTGTAGGTATAAAACTAATAACAAATGACAAATTACAAAACTTAGCTGGAAACCTAAATAAGACTTGAGGAAATGCAGAAACCTACATTTGCATTAGTACATAAAAACAAATATTGTTCCCTAAAATAAACCTAAATTTCAATTGAAATCTTCAAAAATTCCAGAGCATTGTTAATTTTAGAAGTGTTAAAATTTCTAACCTTATATCAAACATAAGAGAGAATAAAACCAATTAGAAAATAAGGAGTAGAAAGACTTCTAGCTTCTGTCTAATACACCTAAGTTGTTTAAGTATGGTTGCCTATACAAACATGGAAGAATTTTGAAAAAAAATTTATTCAGTCTCTTCATTTTGGAACTCATGGCAAACCTTAGGGGAAAAGGTACTATTTATCAAAACATATAAAACTATGCATAATGTGCTTCTAGAAATGAAAAAAAAAAAGGCTATTCTGATGTGACATACCACATTTGCTCTTCTTGTTCTTTAGAATTCTTATCCTAACATAAGAACAATCCTCTTAGATAAAAGTTTTTTAAAAATACTAGAATTAAACAGAAGGTTGAATAGATATTTCAGCATCTAATTTGTCACTGCTGATCTGCAGAAAACACCAATTTGTGATGCAGTCAACTTAAAAATTAATTCAAAAATGATTGAAATATCCACTTCTGGTTACAAGTGATAGTTGCACCAGTTTTATTTTTGTTAGTTATTTTATTTATTCCTTCAATAATGTATACTTGCATTTTATTACTATAAAATCTATATTTATTTAGTAAGGTGAACGTCTAAAGGAATAAATGATTTTGTTAAGATATGTTTAATGATTGATTTAGATTGTAAATTATGAGGTCCAATCTTCTGCTTTTTAGTTATTTTTATAATTTACTTTTTCTATCACTTCAGAGAGAAAAGTGGGAATGGGACATACTAAGTTAAGTCAACATAGCTTTCAGGAAATTAGGAGTATATACTGAATTTAAGAAAGCCTGCATTTCACTAAGGATTTCATATTGTTCCTATGCAAGTGAAATATTCTTTTTTTCTCATATTAAAGGCTAAAACACTTTTTATGCACATCTAAAGCTTTAAAGGACTTAGTAGACTAAGAACTTAAAAGATGTAAAGCATGTTTCTAAAACACATTTGATAGAGTCAAAATCCTATGATCTGAGGAAAAATGTGGAAAGATAGTAAGGAAATTGAAACAGACATAACTGACAACAAATTGTAGACTCTTCCTCTTTTTCCATCCCTCTCTTTTTTCCTCCACCTCTTCCTTTCTTCATTTATCCCGCAGAAATTTCTTGTGATATTTCTCCTGAGTTTTCAACATGCTTTTTCATCATCGATCTTATCAAGGGCTTCCTATTTAGCTGTTGTTTGTTGCCCACTCCCCAATTTATTCCTGATAACTGTCATTTCCCCCTTTATCTGTACATATACACACTTTAATGTTTGATATATGTCTTTGAATAAACACTTTTAAAATAAGAATGGTTTGTATGCAACTGTTTTTAACTTTCTTCAATGATATTCTACACACCATTTTCTGTTCTATGTTATTTCAAAACTTACACTATTTTAAAAGATGTATCTATGTTGTTCTATGTACATCTAATTTATTGCTTCTCTTATTGCATAATATTGTATACAGACATACACAATATTTTTATAGTTATTACCATCTTGATGCAAAGTTATCTATTTTTCCTCCAAAAGTGTGAAATTTTCTCAGGGATTAAATGCTTTGGCACATGATTACTGACTGGGTCATAGGGTAAAAGCCTATTAAATGTCACAAAGTGAGACAATTTTATTAATTTTACACTCCAGCTTGCCATATATATGAGCTCCTGGTTCCCCATGCTCATTGTAAATTGGAATATTTCAACTTTCAAATTTGGCTAATCTGAGGGGCACGGAATGGTGTCTCAGGATTGTTTCAACTTATACTTTTCTCATTCCTAGTCAATTTGAATATCTAATTGGTCTCCTTTTTCTGCAAAACTTTGTTCATTTTTGGGATCACATTACCTGTCTCTTTGAAGCAAATTTGTAATTGTTTCTTGTACATAATAAGTATGTTAAACATTTACTGTATAGTACATAACAATGTATACTAATGTACTAATATACTATATACTAACTGTATACTAATGAAAAGTTATTAATTGCATAACAAAGAGTATTCTAGACACATATGCCTTGTTATTTTAAGACATTTCAAGGTATCAGCTCAAATCTGTCATTGATTAGTTTTGAAAACTATGCCCTTTTCTCTATGGAAATGATACATATTAGTGTAATAAAATCATTATTTTTTTCACTATCTGGTTTGAATTTTGAAATAGTAGAAGAAAACTTTTCAACCTATGAAGTAGAAAAATAGTCTACATATTCCTTCTGTTAGATTTTTAATTTTTCTTTTACGTGCAGGTGTTTATTCCAACTATTCTTCACCTATGTAGTTGGTATCATGTTTGTTTAGGTTTCCATTACTCCATATTTCAGCTTAACATTCACAAAATAAATATTGACAAGCTGTGCGTAGGTCTGTCCTATCTCAAATACATTTAAGAATAGTTTGTCAATTACTGTTTATAAATCTAGTTTTAATTTGGTTGTGTTCTTTATATTTCAGAGTTTGGTATGGAAAGAATTATATTCTTATAGATTAAGTCATTTAATCTAAGAATGCAACTGAGTACCTCTATTTTTCTAAGAGATAGTTTAGCTTTTTCCCTCTCTTCTTTTCTCTTTTCTTCTTTTTCTCACTTCCTACTTGGCTCTTTAAATATGTAATTACAGTCTTTTACCACTTCTTCAACAGACACTCCTATAGGGCAAGTTCATTTCACTGTGTGCTTACAAACTCCAGCATGAGCTGGGTGCAGTAGCTCATGCCTGTAATCCCAGCACTTTGGGAGGACAAGAGAGGTGGATCACCTGAGGTCAGGAGTTCAAGACCAGCCTGGCCAACATGGTGAAACCCTGTCTCGACTAAAAATACAAAAATTAGCCAGGTGTGGTGGTGCATGCCTGTATTCCCAGCTACTAGGGAGGCTGAGGCAGGAGAATTGTTTGAGCCCAGGAGTCAGAGATTGCAGTGATCTGAGATTTTGCCATTGTACTCCAACCTGGGCCACAGAGTGAGACTCCATCTCAAAAAAATAAAAATAAATAAAAATAAAATAAAATAAGAAGCTCCAGAATGGAACTCTCCCACACCAAGAAGTTGCCTCAATAAATGAAGGTTGACTTACAACTCAAAGTATGCTCATTGGAGTTTTCAGCCACCTTTATGTCCTATTTCTGCCAATGAAGACATCAACTTGACTACCCAGTAGATAAGACACTGAAGCGAATATGCAGGCCCAAATCAGGATGCTAACCATTGATCTAGTGACAATTTGGGGTCAGACATAGCTTTGCTTTGATTTGTTGGAGCATATCTCACAGAGCTGTCTGAGACATTTCCTAAATTATATCAGATATATACACAGCAGTTAGACTTAATTGCTTAAACATATCATGCAGGTTCCCCATAGCTGACTCTAACCTGATAGAATGACAGGTGGCTAAATATATATTTAACAGGTTACAGAAAAAACTGTGAATACTCAGGAAAGTGGTCATCAGACTGCTAGTTTTTGAGATCAGATCAGTTTAGTAAAATAGCTGTCTCATACAGGAGATGGCATTGCTGATGGGCTAGGCCTCTGCATCTGATGAAAGCAAACACATTTTTAATAAGAGGGATTTCTATGAAAAAAGAAGAAAAAAATGTTAACACTGGTCACAATTGATCTAGATGTTAGACTCAAAGCATATTTAGTTACAGAGGAAGAAGGTGGTGGGAGCCTGAAACATTTGTCTCACCTATGTTATAAGGAATAATGTAGTAGTAATTTCATTAAGTCCAAATCAGATAAGTGGAAGAACTTAAAAGTGTTAGTTTAGGAAATCATAGGCTCAAATAGAATTCAGGATTAGTTCACAATGCAAAAAGATTAAAAAACAAAAAAAAAATGATGAACAAGGCTGGTATCTAACAACAGAAGTATGATAGTTTTTTTCTGAAACTTATTTTTTTCTCTCCAATCCCCATTTTTACTAAAGACAAATCATAGTAGGACAAATTTATTTGCAAAATAAGTTTTACTTGTATTATACTTGGCCTAAGTATTTTCATAAAATGCAAAAAAAAAATTATTTGTCATATAGGCTGCTTTAAAAATTGGCTTTGTCAGAACTTTGTTCCATAAGAAATCTCTGATTAGACTTCTTAAGCCTTGAGCCCAGCCATGGATTTATCTGTGCCTGCAAATACTTGTATGGATTGAATATATTCCTCTCCTCTTGAGGTTCTAAGACAACGGGGTTCCTGGGACTGTCAGAAAGGGGCATCCTTTACTTACCAAAGTTTAGGAAACCCTGTACAAGGACTGTGTAGACAAGGTGTGAGGCAAGTTCTTCCCAAGGGACTTTAATTGACACTGCAAGTCAACTTCGAGCCCTTAAAGCAGTCTGTTTATATCAGAAAGTAGGTCATTTAAGTCAAATCTTTGCTAAAATAACCAGTGTCTCCAATGGAATCTTGTTATGAAAGAAAACAGACTCTTAATGAACTTATGCAAATAACTATACTGCCATAAATTAAATATAGTTACGGATAATTTTCAAATTCTGGGGAAATCAGGTAGCAAGAAAGAAATATGATCCAAAGTTTTCTCACAAGAGTGTACTGTACCCAATTGTTGAAAGCTTCAAATAGCTCAAAAGAGAAAAATTTTTCTAGACTGTGAAAAACAAATGAATTAACAATGTTTCACAACGTTTCACAATTAATAATGGTGTCCTTGCCAGTGGATGGGAGGTTGGATGACCTATCGGTGGAGCCTTGTATTTCCACTATCTTGATCTGCCCCTCTCTTGGGTGTTCACTGTGCTTTTACTCTAATGTTTAATCTAAAAAAGATAAATCCCTTCAAATTTTAGCCAACTTGCTCATACTCACATAATTTCTTGTAAAAGATTAATCTTTTAAAAACATTTACAACTTGTTTAAACTTTTAGCTTTGTCCTATTACTCTTCTAGCTTAGGACAACCCTTAAAACCTTCTGAAATAAACAAAATTACATTATCTTTAGCAATATTCATACATCCATGCATTCTTATAACTCTTTACCAAAAACATATTCACTTTCCTTATACACCTTGCATGTGAAACTGTTTCTCCAGTAGTCTCAATTACAGGTTACTTTGTTGACTATTGGAAACCTTTATTTTTGGTGGAAAACCTGGGATAAAAGCTATTTTAACCATATACCAGATTGTAGATCCCAGGACAAGGACAGAGTGGCAGACACTGTCTGACTCTTCCCAGCCTAGCCAGGGGACCTGGCTAACTCCATATGTCTCCAGCCCTTTCTTAGAATCTAATGACTGTAAAATAGACAAGTCAAATAATCATTAAAGGTCATAGAAGCAGTTTATGGCCTTAAAGCATCTAGCAAACAGTATCTGATCTGCCTGATTTAGACCAAATATCTAAATTTTGAAGACATTTTTATTTTAGTTTGCCAATAATCTTTAAACTTTCTTTATTTTTCAAAGATTATTAGAGTCATGTGACCTAAAGATATTAATGTTTCTATTTTTCTGAAAACATGTTTGTTTTTAGGTTTCTATTTTTTAAGTCAGCTAATTAGAGCTCTTTCATATATTTTGGTAGTGAAATATCACATATGACAGAAATACGCAGACAGAAAGATGAGGAACTGGTAGGGCTAAAAGATTAGATACAAGAAGAAGGAGAAACTGCCAGTAAACAGAGAATCAGAATTCTGTTGACTGTGATGTTTTTAGAAAGTGAGTAGGGGCTTTAAAACAGTATCTGTACTAACATATACCTCAGACATCAGCTTTAACTAAGTTGATTTCTAACTACAGAGCTCTTAAAAGAAGAATCTTTTGATACCTCATTTACCTAGAAGAAACAGCTAATATTCCTGGCTTTTGAATAAGACAAAATTATTATTTTTCTCCATAAGAATGCATCATTTTTTGCACACTTTATATAAACTTAGAAAGCAAGAAATTCTGAACTACTTTTAAGATATTAGCATTTTATAGATTAGAATCATTTCACAATTTTTGGAACATTTTGCACATACAATAACCTTTGTTAATTGAAAATGACCCAGACAACAAATAAGCATACAAAATGATTTTAAGATTTTAAAGTATACAAAACATAGTGGCTCACGCCTGTAGTCACAACATTTTGGTAGACCGAGGCAGGTGAATCACTTGAGTTCAGTAGTTTGAGACCAGCCTGGGCAACATGACAAAACCCCATCTCTACAAAAAATACAAAAAAAAATTTAGCTGGGCATGGTGGTGTGGGCCTGTAGTCCCAGCTACCTGGGGGGGCTGAGGCAGGAGGATCGCTTGAGCTGGGGAGGTAGAGGCTGCAGTGAGCTGAGATCATGACACTGTACTTCAGCCTATGTGACAGAGCGAAATCCTGTCTCAAAAATTAATAAATAAGTCAATAAGCAAAACTTTTACCAACTAGCATTCATTTCATTTATATGCACCCAATCTTCCAATGTCTATCCATTAATTTTGATTACTTATAAAAAAAGATATTACACAAATGTGGTAATTAGTAGCTATTAGGTGCATATCTAAGTAAGAAGCTTAAACATATGGGCATTTTGTTGATAAAACAGATTTAGCTTTTTTCATGGAACTAATATTAAATGTCTTACTTATCAATATCATACAAACTGCGATCATTCTGTTTGGGCTGTGTTTATAGTTTTATAACTCTTTTGTCAAATTTTAACATGTTACAATATCTGGCAGAGATAAATATAAAGCCACTTGATCAATAAATTTAAAAAAGTATGTTGACAATTCTCAAGACTTTCCTAATATTATTTTATCAATAACTTTGAAGCCAGCTTATTTATTTAAGATTTTACTTTACTTATTTAAACTTATTTGAACATGGGAACCATTTGACTTAATTTATGCATACTCTTTAATTAAGCCAGTTTGGTACATTGGGCCACAACACCTAACAAATACATGAATGTTTTCATAAATACATACATGCTCAGATAAACAAATATTTTTTAGTTTTTATTTCAGAACTCTAGCCATAGAGTCTAGATGTCAATAAAAGCTCATCAGTTCATAAAAAATGATTGCCTCTAAACAGTTGTTTTTATCTTAATACCAGTATAAAAGTAATAGAATAGTGAAATCAGACAGAAAATAAAATAGAGGAAGATATGCAAGCCTCTGCATAGCAGCCATATTTTACAGGTATGGCATCAGAGAGAGGGAAGGGAAAGAAAGAGAGGAAAAAGTTAAGTGAAAGAAAGGGAACTCAAGAGCTTTCTAGCCACTACATGGCACAAGGTTGATACTCTCACCACCCTCGTTTGTCTCCCATTAGGAAGAGCCTCAGAACTCCATGTTTATCATGGTGCTGGATGAGTCTCTCCCACCTCTTCAAGTCACTGGTCAAGGTAAGTGGCTTCCAGCCAGAGGGAGTAAGAAGCTAGGAGTAAAGCAGTAGGTGGCTCTCTGAAGATAGAAAGATGAGATTGGAGGTAGAGAGGAAAGAAAAAAATCAGGGCCCATACACCAAGTCATGCATTCACACATGCAAACAGTGCTTTTCCAAATGAGTCCTGAATTAAAGGGGTTGAATTAGGTCCTGAATTTTCCTTTTCAGTTCCGAATGACTCTATGGGCAGCTGAGTCCAAGCCAGGCAAATCTCCCATGGTGCTGCACATACAAACAAATACAGATGCATAAAATGTTCAAATGGTGTCACTAGCAGCCAAGTCTTAAATACAGCAGGGCCCCATTGACACCTTGAAAGAAGCAGAGGGTAGTCAGGTGCACTCCAACTAACTTGCCAGTTCCAAAATTTGACGGCGTTTTCAGAGATCACTTTATTTGTACCAGTGAAGCTTTGAAGGTAGCAGACATCATACCAGGAAGCAAAAAGGAAGGTTCCCCACAAAATAGTGGTATTAGCAGCTGCTGAGAAGTTCACTAGCATTTCTGTCATGGGGTACACTAACCACAAGCAGTTGGCACCCACAGGTCTTGCCTGGTAGCAAAACCCACCTGTCAAGTGCCGGCTCATCCAGAGCACCCTGTGTTTTCCCCATATAGGCCATCAAATTTGAAACCAAAATGCAGGTTCTGTCATTCACCACTTACAGATCTAATTTACAAGAGTGAGGTCAAGTGTGAAGAAAGTGACTTTTTATTCTAAATCAAGAATAAGTACATTGCTTAGTTCTAAAACTAGGGGAATAAGTACAGACCTCCTGCCTTAAGGGTACTGCTTCCTTTTTGGGGCAGAAAGCAGGTGCTTTTAAAGGTAGGCCGATGCAGGGGCAGAAGTTAGCAGGTGGGGAGTCTTCAGTGCCTCATCTACCAGGCAGTTGAGTTGGCATCTTCATTGGCAGAAATAGATTGTAAAGGTGGCTGGAAACTCTAGCAGGTATACTTTGGGTTGTAAATTGACTGTTGTCTCTTGAGGCAACTTCCTGGTGGGTGAGAATTCCATTCTGGAGCTTCTAAGCACACTATTAGATGAACTTGCCCTGTAGGGATGGCTGGGGAAGATGAGGTAAAAGGCTATAGTTACATTTCTAAAGAGGCAGGTAGGAAGTAGGGAAATGAAGGAAAGAGAAAAGAAGAGAGAGAAAAATAAACTATCTCTTGGAATAGTGGGGATACTGGTTACAATAACATTATTCATGTCATTATCTAGTCAGTAGTAAGGTATGTTTGATTACTGAGAAAGTAGTTTTGTCCCTAAGAGATTCCCGTTATAGTAGATATTGCTATACATAGTATTATAGTGTGTTCTCAGATATTTTATTACCAATAAATTATGTATACCATCCAGTTTACTATATGAGTCTTATTAGTCTGGTGCAAAAGTAATGTGGTTTTCACATTGTTGAAATTTGCCATGTCATATTGGAATACATTCTTAAAGTGGTTATGTTATACATCACTTTAATGTGCACTCAGTGATTGTTTTTGCTAATGACTTATTACTTGCTGTTTATTTTAGACCATGGAAATGATGTTAGACAAAAAACAAACTTGAGCGATTTTCTTATTCGAGTTCAAAATGGGTCATAATGCAGCAGAGACAGCTGGCAACATCAACAACGCGTTTGGCCCAGGAGCTGCTAACAAACAGTGGTGGCTCAAGAAGTTTTGCAAAGGAGATGAGAACCTTGAAGATGAAGAGCTTAGTGGCCAGCCATTGGAAGCTGGCAATGACCAATTGAGAGCAATCATCGAAGCTGATCCTCTTACAACTACATGAAAGTTGCCAAAGAACTCAACATCGACCACGCAGTCATTCAGCATTTGAACTAAATTGGAAAGGTGAAAAAGCTCAATGAGTGTGTACTTCATGAGCTGAGCAAAAATTTTAAAAATTGTTATTTTGAAGTGTTGTCTTTTCTTATTCTACCCCAAAACAATAAAACCTTTCTTGATTGGATTGTGACGTGTGACGAAAGTGGATTTTATTTGACAACCAGCGATAACCAGCTCAGTGGTTGGACCAAGAGGAAGCTCCAAAGCACTTCCCAAAGCCAAATTTGCACCAAAAAAAAAGTATTTTAAAGTATAAAATTAAGTGGTTTTTAGAATATTTAGTAAAACATGTAACCATTACACTAATTTCAGAATGTTTTTATCACCCCAAAAGAAACCTCATACCTTTTAGCAGTAACTCCTATTTCACCTTTCCCCAGCCCATGGCAAACACTAATCTAACTTTTATCTCTATGAATTTGTCAATTATGAACACTTCTAATAAACTGAATCACAATTATGCAATCTGTGATATATCGGTGTGGTTTGCTTTACTAAGAATAATACTTTTATGGTTTACTATGTTGTAGTATGAATTAATACTTTATTTTATTATGACTGTATAATATCACATGGATATATGAAAATTTATCAATACATCCATTGATGAATATTTGGGTTTTCTCCACTCTTTGGCTATAAGAATAACTTTTCTTCAAGAATTCACATATATAAATTTTTGTGAATATATAGTTTTAAATTTTGGGGTATATAAGTGGAGTGGTATTGACAAGTCATATTTTTATCTTATGTTTAACTTTTTTAAAAAAAATTACTGCCATAGCTGAGTGATTCTGATTCTCATTTTTTTTTTGTCTTCAAATGGTGCTTTTCTTTTATTATGCCTTGTGAATTTTTTGTTGAATGTTGGACATGGTGTACTGTGTTTAGCAAAAACTGAGTTTCATAAGCCTTTAGTAGGAGGTTTTATGTTTATCTGCCTAGGTGTTCACTATTTGTTGTTGCTGCAGGTGTCAGAGGCTAAAATTTCCCCTTGTGTCTTTGTTTTTGTCCTGTGTTTAGAGATATATTTTTAAGTAAGGGCTGAGGTCTGCAACTCTTTCCATCGTAACCCCCTGTTGTTATACAGGAGACTTTTTGATGTGGTGGTAAGGTGTGGCAAAGGGGAAGCATTCTACAGTCCTTTGATTAGGTGTCAGTCTTTTTAGTATGCCTGTGTCCCTGGGTTGTGAGCTTCACAACTGTGTCTCATTTCGGTGAACATTTTTCCTTTTAGATCAAGTAGGAGCCCTAGCGGAAACTGGAGTTGGTTATTTCCCTTCACCTAGTCATTGAAGTTCTGGTAAATCCCCAGTCAGTTGGGCTTTGTAAAACCCAGTAGTTTCTCTTGGTAAAATAGTTTCTCTTGAGGGCAGATCTTGTTAAGAAGAATAAAATATTCCAGGTGTATTTCATAGTGGCTATATTTCCTCTTCTCCTGCAAGAACTGGAAGGTTTTTGTTTGTTTCTTTGTTTGCGGTTTGTTTGTTTTTATTTTATTTTTTATTTTTTCTTCCCCAATCTAAATTGTAAGTATCTGGTACAGTTCCTGGAAGTAAAACCCACTCATGTGTGGGCCCTACCTACCTCCTCCCAAGACTAGGCTTTGGGGGATTTTTAATAATCGAGTTTACCTGCACTGGGCCTCCTGCAATTTTTCATTTGCACTTGAAAGTTTTTCTACCCTGAGTATAGCTCCAGCAGTGTTTTCTGTCCTGGGCTTTTGCCTTTGTAAATATGATTTTCTGTATCTGCCTATCTCTCCACTTTGAGGGGAGAGTAATTTTTCTGTGATTTCAATTATCTGATGATCTGTGGTATCTGATTTGATATTCAGTTTTTAGGTTTGTTTGTTGTTGTTTTTCCTGTTGTGAGCATGGGATTGATGACTTATGGGTTTCATACATGCAAAACCAGACTATCTGTAACTTTCTGGGCTACTACAAAAGTTTTCCAAAGCAACTGTATCATTTTACATACCACTAGAAATGCATGAAGGTTCTAATTTTTCAGTAGTTTTGCTATCATTTGTAATTATCTGTCTTTCTTTGTAACTATAGCCTGATTACTGGTGGAAAATGTTGTGTCAATGTGTTTTAATTTGCATTTCCCAGATGACTAATGATGGTCAGTGATTGTTACATGTGTATTGGTCATTTGTATATCTTCCTTGTAAAATTGTCCATTAAAATCTTTTGGCCACTTTTTAAATTGGGTTATTCATTTTGTTGTTCTCGTTTTTACATCATAACATTTCTTTATATCTTCTGCCTACCAGACCTTTGTCAAGTACATGATTTGCCAGATATTTTCTCTATTCTGTGAGATGTCATTTCACTTAATTGATGAGATTATTCTAGCATAAGTTTTCAGTTTAAAAAGTTCATTTTTCTTGTTTCTTTGATTAATGTGTTTTTGCTGTCATAAGAGACTATTGCCAAGTCCAAGATCAGGAAGATTTACCCTTTGTTTTCTTCGTAGAATTTTAGTTGTTCCTCTTACCTCTTTAGACACTGTTTAAGTGTTGTTGTTTTTTCTATTTGAGTTAATTTTGTATGTGATATGAGGTTGGAGACTAATTTGTTTCTTTTGCAGGTAGACATCCACTTAAACACTAGGACTGT
The DNA here is from genome assembly GCF_000001405.40 of Homo sapiens. Taxonomy (NCBI): domain Eukaryota; kingdom Metazoa; phylum Chordata; class Mammalia; order Primates; family Hominidae; genus Homo; species Homo sapiens. The sequence goes on along the minus strand of NC_000001.11, from coordinate 188,570,047 downwards.
TTGCTTAAAGGGCTAGTCTTTTCTCCTTTAGATTGTCTTGGCTCCCTTATAGAAAATTAACTGACCATAAATTTATAGAATTACTGCTGGCATTTCAGTTCTACTCCATTGATCTCTATGTCTACTCATGTGTCAGTACCACAAATCTTAGGTTACTGTAGCTGCATGTTAGTTATTAAATTGCTAAGAGTAAGTCTTCTAAGTTTGTTATTATTTTTCAAGTTGTTTAGGTTGAGTCTTTTGTATTTTTAAAAGCATTTTAGGAAAAGTTATTTTATTTTCTCCAAAATAAAAATAGATAGATGTAGCTGAGATTTTAATAGGAATTATGTTAAATACAAAGATCAATTTGTAGAGTATCATCATTTTATAATATTAAGTCTTCCCATCTATAAACATGAGATAGCTTTTCAATTCTGCCTGAAATTTGTAAAGTTTCTTATATATGTTGATAAAATCTTTCATCAAATCTGGGAAGTTCCGGGTCACTATTTGTTCAAACATTTTTCTGCCTTTTTTCTCTCTCCTCTAATTCTGGAACCCCCATTATGACCATGTTTGCTCACTTGATATTGTCCCTGTATCGCTGAAGGTTTTTTTTTTTATTTTATTGTTTTCTGTCTGTTCCTCAGACTGAATAATTTCAGATGATCTATCTTATATTTTGCTGAAACTTTCAAATCTACTATTGCACTTCTCTAACAAATTTATCATTGTAACCTCAGACTTTCCTTTTTATGTAATTTCTGTATATTTACTCATATTTTATATCTGGTGAGTCATTGTTCTCATATATTCCTTTGGCTTTTTAGACGATGTATCCTTTTGTTCTCTCAACATGTTTAAATTAGCTGATTTAAGGCCGGGTGTGGTGGCTCACACCTGTAATCCCAGCACTTTGGGAGGCTGAGGCAGGTGGATCACGAGGTCAGGAGATCAAGACCATCCTGGCTAACACGGTGAAACCATGTCTCCACTAAAAATACAAAAAAAAAAAAAAATTAGCTGGGCACGGTGGCTGTCGCCTGTAGTCCCAGCTATTCGGGAGGCTGAGACAGGAGAATGGCCTGAACCTGGGAGGTGCAGCTTGCAGTGAGTGGAGATCACGCCACTACACTCCACCCTGGCGACAGAGCAAGACTCCATCTCAGGAAAAAAAATAAATAAATAAAAATATAGCTGATTTAAAATCCCTGTCTAGTAAGTCTGTATCTGGCCTTCCTTCAAGAATAACGAATTTATATGGACTGTGTGTGTGTGTGTGTGTGTGTGTGTGTAATATGCATCATATATTTATCTATTATTAGTACAATATTAATAATGAGATAATATAGTTATAATTATTAGATTATATATGTTATAATATATAATTATCAATGTGGTATCATTACTATATTAAATATATGAATAATATGATATATTAACATATCATTAATATAGAATTATTATATAACATTATACATTATTTTTATATACATATTATTTCTATCCAGAGGCCATATTTATTTTTGTATTTGTAAATTTTGGTTAAAAATTGAACATTTAAAGTAATATAATGTGGCAACTCTGTTAGTCAGGTTTTCCCATCTCTGAAGCGTGTTTTCGTTCCTGTTTGATTTTGTTTTTTGTTTAGTGACTTTAATGAATGGATCCTGCAAAGTGTGTATTCTCTGTTGTAAGTGGCCACTGAAATCTCTTGGATTTCTTTAGTGATCTTCTAATGATTGGACAGGGTTTCCCTTAGACACTTGGAATCAATGTCTACTCTTCATTGCCACAAGTCTTTTTGTGCACGTTAGGATGTATCCTCAGCACTCACTCAAGCAGCTTACCACTCCATCTTAGCCTTTACTTCTTGCTTGTGCAGAATGTCATCATTAGTCAAAGGTGAGAGCTTAGGGTGTTCTCAAGTCTTTTCTCCTAATGCACACAACATGGACATGCACACAAATTAGTCATGTGCATGTGGCTTCATATATTGCCAGGAATATTTTGGAGCATTTTAAAACCCTCTATGGACATCTCTTCTGTCACACGCGTCTGTGTGAAGAGAGTCCACCAAACAGGCTTTGTGTGAGCAACAAGGCTGTTTATTTCACCTGGGTGCAGGTGGGCTGAGTCCGAGAAAGGAGTCAGCAAAGGGTGGTGGGATTATCATTAGTTCTTATAGTTTTGGGATAGGTGGTGGAGTTAGGAGCAATTTTTTGTGGGCAGGGGGTGGATCTCAAAAAGTACATTCTCAAGGGAGAATATTACAAAGTATCTTCTTAAGGGCAGGGCAGGGAATATCACAAAGTACATTATCACAAGGGCGGGGAAGGTGTATTGTCATAAGGTCAATTGATCAGTTAGGGTGGGGCAGTAACAGATCACAATGGTGGAATGTCATCTTTTGTGGTTCTTCAGTTGCTTTAGGTCATCTGGAGGTACACGTGCAGGTCACGGGGGTATGATGTCTTAGCTTGGGCTCAGAGGCCTGACATATTCCCCTAGATTTTCCCTGTAAAGCTTATGATTAACCTGTTGTTTCGCCTTACTATTACCCATCACAGCAGGCCACTAGGCAGCTGAAGTGTTATTTTTCCTCTGATTGTTTTTGGCAAAGGATCCCAGGAATAAGGCTATTTACATTTGGTAAGATCTGAATCTGTTCAAATAAAGGCAATTTTGCAAGTGGAATCTTCCAGGCAACTACCAGAAAGATAAAATAATGAAAATTATCTGAGAATACAGCTCCGAAGGAATTTCAACCCCAATCTGTGTTCCTCCTCACATCAGTGGTTGCTGGGCAGCTGGTTTTTACCATAAATTCAGACTTTTGGTTCTCAAGGTAATAATAGAGTTGGGGAAGGAGTACTGAGAATAGGGCAAATTAAAATGCCAGAAACCCACTCTTATTTTATTAAGTAAATGTGATCAGGCCATTATATGCCAGTCACCCTCACCCCTAAATTCTCAAAAGGTTGGTACACACACACAAACACACATGCTAATTTTCTTGCTCTCTTTTTGGAGAAGAGAATTATTGGAGTTCCTTACTCTGACGTTATTGCTGATGTCAATCTGTTATACACTTTGAAAATGTTGGATAAAATATTCTGTTATGATTTTGTTAACTTCTTTTTATATGTACCTATTTCTAGCATTATTGTTTTTATTTTATAAATTGTATCAGGCTACATAAATTTTTTCCAAACAAGTCTCTGCTTTTGTAGTTTTGAATTCACTTATTTATAATTTACCATGTATGTTTCCTTTTTAAAAATGTTATTTCTTGTGATTTTATTATTTCTAGAAAGCATAATTTAATTCATAATACACAAACATACACAAATATTACATTTGCTTTTGGAGCTACATAAACTAAATCTTACACTTTCATATATGTAATACATTACTCTCATCATTATCTATTTATTGCATTTTTAAATTTTGTTCCCTTTTTGACCAAGATTGTTTTAAAATATTTTGACTAACTTTAGCAAGGACAGGAATTTATTGTAAAAATATTGGGAAGCTCATGCACTCGCCTGGAAGGCTAAAAGATCAAGGTTCCAAAAATGAGTGGGAATCAAGATAGGGGAGCTACAAAAGAGAAAGAGTTCTCTGTGCGGTCACAGGCCGTGCTGATCTGAACATTCTCTTTTAGGCATTTCTATCATATTTCCTGTTTTATTCTTTCATTTTTATATCGCTATTCAGTATTTTTAAATGTGTGCATTTATTCATTGTAATGCAAATTGTCTGCCTGGTTGTACAATGATATGCATCACCTGAGAGCAAGAACTATTTTCTTTGATTAAACATTCCCTAATGCAGTTTTTTGATTAGTTGATCTTATGTGCTAACCTAGGTTTTGGTTTTGTGTTTAGTTAACTGATTTATTCTCTTTCCCTCAAAGATACCTTGAGAGGCTATTAAAAACTTGATATACATATATATATACACACACACACATATATGTATATATATGCCTATATATACACACATATGTATATATACCTATATATAGATATATGTTTATTATATATGAAGTATTCTCACATTTCCCATATATATTCTTAGTATCTCAATAGTTGCAGGTACAGAGTTTAAGGAAACAGAATATAGGAATAAAGGACATGCTTCCACCCCAGGTATACTCAAGAATTGCAGGAGCTCTATTAAATGTTCTTTCATATCATTTACCAAACTGGGAGTATTCCCATTATTTTCCAGTTATTCTCACCTCTAAACCTTTGCTTTCATCTGGTCAATTGCTTCTTCATATAGATTAAATCAAGATTGATTTTCTCTCCCTATTTAGATGGTCTGCATGACTTAATACTTCTTTTCCTTTTCAAGATGAAATCCATTTTCAGTAAACCTTGTTGATGTTTCATCTACTTGCCTAAGATTCCCTTGCATTGGTCCCATGCTCCTCTCCCCAAGTTTCTGTGGACTTTTGCTTTGAATAGCTTGAAACTGTGACTCTAAATCAAAGACAACCCTCAGGCTATAGAGCTGTTTTGCTTCTGTTCATACCTGGAGTGGGCATTTTCATACCCCACCTACCACTCCCTTAGTCTGGGACAGCTCTTGGTTCATGAATAACTTGTGTGGACATATAAAAGTTTGTTTCTCAGAGCTTCCATTGGGTCAGGCTGGACTTTGAACCTGTATACTCTTAGTTCTTTCCTCCCTTTCCTTGCCTCCCTTTCTATCCTCTCTCTCCATTCTAGTTGTATTCTTTACCTATGTTACTGTTATCTAAATCTTTGTTCATTAATATCTACTGCTAAATTTATGCAGTTCTCATGTTCAGCTGTATTTTTTGGTCCAGAATTATCTTTCATTTAACTTTCACATTTCTCATTCTCTCTTGAAATATTCAATCTTAATCTTTAACTTCATCAAATATGTTAATCTGATTTCATTCAGACTTCTGAAGATACTGATCTATGTCTCTTTTCTCATTTACTTCCATCCTATGTTGTATTGTGTGGCTATTTTTAATCACAATTTTTGCTCTCCATTGTATGGCTAATTACTATGTGTGACTTTTTGCATGTGAAAAATGTAGGAATAACTAGAAGTCAAACTAATTTCATTTTTTCCTCAGAAATTCTTTCTTTTCTTCTCTGATACCTCTTTAGCACTCTGGTGCCTTTGAATGCAACTTTTATATTTTTTCGAGCTGTTCTGATTATTTTCAATTAGATAATAAAATGACCTAGTTTATAAATAATCGTTTAATCACTCATCTATGAGTTATTGGTTCACTGTACAATTTATGCACATTGTAACAGTTCTATACATGTTTATTAAATTGTCATTGCAAGATCAGTTTATTAATCTTAACTGAGAACAAACTAACATTGGCTAGGAATAAAGCCAGAGAGATCTGAGAAATTTAATAAATGTTCTAAGCAGACAACAGCATCCAAAAATTATGAGACACAACATGGTTATTGTAGCCCAAAAGATTTGGGATCACACCCTGCTGCTGCAAGTTCACTAGCTCTCTGAATCTGTGCATGTGTTAAAACTCTAAAGTAATTTTTTTATATAACATAAAGTCATTCCAATGAAAAAAGGAGTTACTGGACATAACTTAGCACAATGAGTGATGCTTGAGTGCTCGAACATTGAACTTTTTATTATTGTAATATTATCACTTGATAGATGGACTATCTTAGTGATACAACTCCGATGACTGGGGAACACCAGGGTCCTTGGTCTCACGCTGATTTAGATAAAACGACACGGACACACGTGGAGTGGTTTTAAGGAGCAGAGAGTTTAATAGGCAAGAAAGAAGGAAGAACCTCCCCAGTACAGAGACAAAGGCAGGGGGCTCGAAGCCGAGAGAGGAAACCCCCAGTGCAGCAGAAAACATCCAGTTATACGATGAGGCTGGAGGAGGCAGTGTCTGATTCGCACAGGGTCCAGGGTATTGGTTTGACCAGGTATGTCATTCACGTAGACTGTGAAAAAACTAGCCCTCCCACCCTAACCTTTTAATATGCACAGGCAGGGTGCCATGATGTTCTACACACGTGGGGATATGTGGGGGCGGCCATGTTGCCAGGCACATGTGGGGACAAGAAGAAGACCATATTTGGGTGGACCCAGTTTCTAATGGCCTGCATTTGTGTATCAAAGCTTGCCGGCTGGCACTAAGAGCTGGGGCTTTCCTGCTAAACAAGAAACGTTTTTGGAGCTGCTTTAAAATAAAAAAAACTTCCCAGGGATCCGTTTTCTTCTCTATCTGCCTAAAATAATTTAATAACTCCTATAACACTAGAACTTACCCTGTAAGTATCAAGTAGCATGTCTGTAGGAATTTGGGATGAGAGAATCAGGCAAATTTAAAAGGCTCAGAGATCAAATTATTTAAAATTACTAAATAATTTATAATATTTATCTTACATAGATTAAATTTTATCTGATTCTTTCTCACAAGTCTTAATCTGTAGTCATTGAGAATTTTTCCTGTTTCTCTCTGGAAACTTCTCAAGTGTTCCTTGTCCCGCTTTTACTATATTCTAGACAAGTAAGAAGAAATCGAATATAATGAAGAATGCTTCAGAATTCCTGAATGACTTTTTTCTATTTATACCCTCCCAAATATACTAGCAGCTACAATTTTACCTTTTGATTGGCAATTAGTAAAGACATACAAGCCAAAGAACCAGTATCCCCCAAAAAGTGAATAAACCTTTGTAATGGGCACATGTTTTGCTGCTCAGTATTCAACCATGGGCAATTTTGAAGATGTTTCCTGTGAGTCTGGGGGGAAAAAATCTTCACTTTCCTCAATAGTGTTACAGGAGTGAAGTTTGTTGTTGTTGTTGTTGTTTTTCCCCGTAAGACCTTAAAGTTTTAGCCCACAGAAGCTTCTGGCAACCAACTGATATTTATGAAGAAACTCTGATGAAGAAGTATTTTGAAGGGTAAAGAGAAAAACCGGAAAAATGTGTGTAACACTTGCAGTCAGATAAATTGATACCTAACAATTTTTGACTTTGTATTTAGATGAGCAAATCAATTATTATACTTAATTTGGCTGAATTCATTTTTTATAATTTCCAAATAAATTAATTCTAAATGACATATATATTCTGTTCCTTTGACCCATCTATTTAAATATATATACATATATACACTTAAATATATACACACATATTATATATATATATATATATATATATACATATATATATTTAGATAGCAGGTAAATACCTTTGATTTTTTAATAAGCAAAAGCAATGATTTAAGAATGATTGGAACAAGTATAAACTTCTCTATACAACTGTCATTTTTTTAAAAATGAAAGCTTTTATTGTGTACATTTATTTCTGATTCAGTAACATTAATTTAATTTCTAATTATACATCTAAATAGTGGAGTTATTATTTTAACAGATATTTATTGAATCCTATTTGTGCCAAGATTTGTTCTTAGCCTTGTAGATACATTAGTGAACAAAGATGAAACCCTTGTCCTTTCACCTTGTCAGTGTGGGTGTGAGGAGGAGGGGAGGCAAACAGTAAATAAATAAGCAATTAAAGCATGAAAGATTTCACATGGTGATACATGTTATAAAAGTAATGTAGGCAAAAAAGAAAAGAGAACTTTTAGTCAGGAGGAGGCATTTTAATTATTATGGTTGAGAAGGCCACACTAGTTAAATAGTATTTGAGCAAAACATGGCATGTCACATGCTAGCTTTGTTTAAAATTTGGTTGGGATGTACAATATGATTTAATTTCTTACACTAATATAGAAATTAGTTTTATTAAATATATAAGCTCTCCTTTCCCTTCCACCTTCTTCAGATGTCTACATATTGGTTTTTGATGTTTTGTTTTGTTTTTTCAGTAAACCATGTTATCTATCACCTTGAATTTTCAGGTATTTTTTTTCTGAAATAACTGTTAATTTTCATAAAAACGTTGAGGCAATAGCCACACTAGCATAATGAAGGTAATATATTTAGATGTTAAGAACTGTGGTTTTTCTCACTGATAACTGTCTTTCATTGGTATGATCCTCATCCTACCTTTAATTAATCAAATGTTACATTAAAGTTGCCAAAAAAATCATTTTGTTGATGAAAGACTCAAGACATATATCAGCTACCATCAAGCGAAGATTGTTTCCCTGTAAATTGTTCTTGGCAATGGTCAGTTTAAATGTGTGTATTCAGTGAGTTTTAAATATTTGTGTGTTTCTTTCAGAAATGAATCCAGTCTTCCACTAGTTCTTATCAGTCATTCATGCAGAGTTGCATAGACATTAATTATCTGTTGCTACTACTGGGCTCATAGAAACTTTTGACAAAAATGAGAATACCATCCAAGTTGAGAAGATAATTATCACAGTCAATATCCTGTGGGTATATCAGAAGAAAAACAGTTGTCAATGATGTCACCCAAGAGCTGATGCCTCTTTTATTACACAGGAAAAACCAATATGGTATTGCAAGTATTTATTAATAAATGAAGTTTGTTTTAAATCTCTCTCTAGAGCTTAAAAGTAAGAGTTGTGATTTTTCCTTGAAGTCACTAAGCAGAATATAAGATGAACAGCATTGTATCATTGCACATTGTTTAGTGTTCATGAGTAACACTCAAAATATAATGTAACTCAAAGAACCAGAGAATAGAATGGTGATTATCAGAGGGTAGGGTGTTGGAGCAGGGATCAAGAAATGATGATCAAAGGAAAGAAAGCCTCAATTAAACAGGAGGAATAAGATTTTTGTTTACTTTGAGATATATTGCACAGCATGGTGAATATAGCAATTAATTATATATAGCGTATTTCACAATCACTGAGTAAAATCCACATGTTCTCACCACAAAAAGTATTAAGCATTTGAGATGAAGAATATGTTAATTAACATTCATATCATCATCATTTTATACTCATATAAACATATATACATTTATACTTTGTCAATTTATAATACAAATAAAAATAAGTAAAAATATAATGCACAATTGGAAAATGTATCTATTGCCTCAAACAGTCCAGAGGTATTCTGATTACATATGTTGTTTAAAATATTTAAACAAGGATGACATAAAACTTAGTAAAATTGAGTTGATGAAACTTACTCAATGTTACTTCTGTCAGCAAAGTAAAGTGGATACGATGAATTGAAATTTACAGTTCAAATGATTTAGCAACACTTTTCTGGCATGGGCTGATCCATTTCTCAGATGGTAGAACCAGAAGCAGGTACTATATACGATGTATAAAGAGAAACTCCAGGGTCTGTACATTGTTAAATCTAATAGGAGAGAAGATTACAGTTAATTAGATGATTAAAACAGCAAAGTTATATGAATAATACTCTCTTACTGATATCTGCATGGATTCATTTAGAAAGATGAATAAAATTCTTAATTTTTTCCTATGTCTGGGCATGAAACTGGTAATACCTCTTAATCTTTGTTCTAATAGATAGGGGAATAGGAATTATTGGTAAGCCCATACTTAAAAGTGAATGATGCAATTGTGAATGGGAGTCCACTCATGATTTGGCTCTCTGTTTGTCTGTTGTTGGTGTGTAAGAATGCTTGTGATTTTTGTACATTGATTTTGTATCCTGAGAATTTGCTGAAGATGCTTATCAGCTTAAGGAGATTTTGGGCTGAGACAGTGGGGTTTTCTAGATATACAATCATGTCGTCTGCAAACAGGGACAATTTGACTTCCTCTTTTCCTAATTGAATACCCTTTATTTCCTTCGCCTGCCTAATTGCCCTTGCCAGAACTTCCAACACGATGTTGAACAGGAGTGGTGAGAGAGGGCATCCCTGTCTTGTGCCAGTTTTCAAAGGGAATGCTTCTAGTTTTTGCCCATTCAGTATGATATTGGCTGTGGGTTTGTCATAGATAGCTCTTATTATTTTGAAATACCTCCCATCAATACCTAATTTATTGAGAGTTTTTAGCATGAAGGGTTGTTGAATTTTGTCAAAGGCTTTTTCTGCATCTATTGAGATAATCATGTGGTTTTTGTCTTTGGTTCTGTTTATATGCTGGATTACATTTATTGATTTGCGTATATTGAACCAGCCTTGCATCCCAGGGATGAAGCCCACTTGATCATGGTGGATAAGCTTTTTGATGTGCTGCTGGATTCGGTTTGCCAGTATTTTATTGAGGATTTTTGCATCAATGTTCATCAAGGATATTGGTCTAAAATTCTCTTTTTTGGTTGTTTCTCTGCCCGGCTTTGGTATCAGGATGATGCTGGCCTCATAAAATGAGTTAGGGAGGATTCCCTTTTTCTATTGATTGGAATAGTTTCAGAAGGAATTCACAATTGCTTCAAAGAGAATAAAATACCTAGGAATCCAACTTACAAGGGATGTGAAGGACCTCTTCAAGGAGAACTACAAACCACTGCTCAAGGAAATAAAAGAGGATACAAACAAATGGAAAAACATTCCATGCTCATGGGTAGGAAGAATCAATATCGTGAAAATGGCCATACTGCCCAAGTTAATTTACAGATTCAATGCCATCCCCATCAAGCTGCCAATGAATTTCTTCACAGAATTGGAAAAAACTACTTTAAAGTTCATATGGAACCAAAAAAGAGCCCGCATCACCAAGTCAATCCTAAGCCAAAAGAACAAAGCTGGAGGAATCACACTACCTGACTTCAAACTATACTACAAGGCTACAGTAACCAAAACAGCATGGTACTGGTACCAAAACAGAGATATAGATCAATGGAACAGAACAGAACCCTCAGAAATAACGCCGCATATCTATAAGTATCTGATCTTTGACAAACCTGAGAAAAACAAGCAATGGGGAAAGGATTCCCTATTTAATAAATGGTGCTGGGAAAACTGGCTAGTCATATGTAGAAAGCTGAAACTGGATCCCTTCCTTACACCTTATACAAAAATCAATTCAAGATGGATTAAAGACTTAAATGTTAGACCTAAAACCATAAAAACCCTAGAAGAAAACCTAGGCATTACCATTCAGGACATAGGCATGGGCAAGGACTTCATGTTTAAAACACCAAAAGCAACGGCAACCAAAGCCAAAATTGACAAATGGGATCTAATTAAACTAAAGAGCTTCTGCACAGCAAAAGAAACTACCGTCAGAGTGAACAGGCAACCTACAGAATGGGAGAAAATTTTCGCAACCTACTCATCTGACAAAGGGCTAATATCCAGAATCTACAATGAATGAACTCAAACAAATTTACAAGAAAAAAACAAACAACCCCATCAAAAAGTGGGCAAAGGACATGAACAGACACTTCTCAAAAGAAGACATTTATGGAGCCAAAAAACACATGAAAAAATGCTCACCATCAGTGGCCATCAGAGAAATGCAAATCAAAACCACAATGAGATACCATCTCACACCAGTTAGAATGGCAATCATTAAAAAGTCAGGAAACAACAGGTGCTGGAGAGGATGTGGAGAAATAGGAACACTTTTACCCTGTTGGTGGGACTGTAAACTAGTTCAACCATTGTGGAAGTCAGTGTGGCGATTCCTCAGGGATCTAGAACTGGAAATACCGTTTGACCCAGCCATCCCATTACTGGGTATATACCCAAAGGATTATAAATCATGCTGCTATAAAGACACATGCACATGTATGTTTATTGCAGCATTATTCACAATAGCAAAGACTTGGAACCAACCCAAATGTCCAACAATGATAGACTGGATTAAGAAAATGTGGCACATATACACCATGGAATACTATGCAGCCATAAAAAATGATGAGTTCATGTCCTTTGTAGGGACATGGATGAAATTGGAAATCATCATTCTCAGTAAACTATGGCAAGAACAAAAAACCAAACACCGCATATTCTCACTCATAGGTGGGAATAGAACAATGAGAACACATGGACACAGGAAGGGGAACATCACACTCTGGGGACTGTTGTGGGTTGGGGGGAGCGGGGAGGGATAGCATTGGGAGATATACCTAATGCTAGATGATGAGTTAGTGGGTGCAGCACACCAGCATGGCACATGTATACATATGTAACTAACCTGCACATTGTGCACATGTACCCTAAAACTTAAAGTATAATAATAATAAATTAATTAATTAAAAAAAGTGAATGATTATTTTAGAAACAAAACAATGTTTTATAATGGGTAAACATTTAAAAATTAGCTTTTTAAAATATCATATATACTTTAAAAATATGTCTTTGAAATTGAAGACTGATTTTAATTTTGAAATATGTGTTCTTTAATGTTGTAACAAAATATATTAGAGTAAAATGTTAAGATTATATTAAATAGAAAATATAAACATTGTTACACAATAAATTTTGTCACACATATTCCTATATCTATGCATATAGGAGTTTTATTTGTATATTTTCAACATTATGAACGTTTGGACTAGAAAAAAATCAAAGACACTTTCTCTAGGGTTGAATAATTAATAATTTACTTAATATTGGTATGTTTTGATTATGTTATAGCTAAATGTATCTCCTTTATTATTTTATTTTTTACCTGAAAGTGTGGAAAGAGCAAATGATACGTGAAACAGCAAGACTTATATATATAACTGTCCACTAGGAAGCACTTCCTGCTTTACACATTTTACCATAAATGCCACCAACTCACATGCACACACACACAAAATGCACTGGGTTGTTAAATATATTATCCTTAAAGTATCACTATGTATGTGTCATATGTCTTTTCTGCCACATAGTAGAATACTATAGGAACTTTAGCAACACAGTGACAAGATGAGTATAAACTAGAGTAAAATCAAACTCTCTATTCTTTAGTAATTGCAATGTTAGCATATTTCTTATAGTTGAGTTGTTTTTTCTATTGTCTATTATATACACACATATAAATACATACAAATACACACATATATATCAACACTATTTCTTGAAGAGTGACATTTAGTTGATTAGTTGCCTAAAGACATTGTCTTTATAGAATGTAAATTTCTATTTGTATATGGTAAAATATTTGTGCCATGCCATTTACATCTATTGGAATTTTAAAGCAAACGTAGATGAGGACTAAGAAATGTTTCTGCCCTATCAATTTTTTTTTTTTTTTTTTTTTTTGAGACAAGGTCTTGCTTTTTCACCCAGACTGGAGTGCAGTGGTGCTATCTCGGCTCACTGCAGCCTCAACCTCCTGGGCTGAAGTGGTCCACCAACCTCAGCCTCCTGAGTAGCTGAGACTACAGGCATGCCCCACCATGCTTGGCTAATTTTTGTATTTTTGTAGAAATGGGATCTCACTATGTTGCCCAGCTGGTTTTGAACTCCTGGATTCAAGTGATCCGCCCACCTTGGCAAACCAAAATGCTGAGGTTACAGGTGTAAGCCCCCTCACCCAGCCTGAATCAGTACTTTTATAGTATTGATCTTGATTATTATCCTGCCAATTTCCTTATAACATTGACCTTTGAACAACATGGGTTGAAACTCTGTAGGTCCACTTTACGCACAGATTTCAAAAAATAAATACATTGGAAAATATTTTGGAGATTTGTAACAGTTTGAAAAAAATGAAGATGAAATATGTAGCCTGCAAATGTCAAAAAATTAAGAAGTTATTTATGTCATGAATAAATATTAATGTATGAAGATATTAATTTATTTTATCATTTACTAACATAAATATACACAAATCTATTACTAAAACTTACATTATCAAAACTTACACGCAAACTTTAGACCTTATATGGCATCATTTTCAGTTAAGCAAATATAAACATAAGTAAACATGTACTATTAAATCATAACTGCAGTATACATTGGAATACAGTAATGATCTTGTAGTCACCTTCAGTTGCTATTGCATTGACCTTAATGCTAGCTGTTTCCTAGGTAAATTCTGGAGTCCTTCAGAGTAACCATAGCATTATTATTTATTTAATATAAAATTATTTTCTTAAGTCAACCAACTTCAGGTCCCATAGCAATATATACAATAATTATAATTAATATATATTAATTATATATTATATATGTAGAAGACTGCTATATATATGTACTGATGTACTGTACAATTATATAAATAGAGCAGTATACTTATACATTATACCATAGAACCAACTCTAACAGCAGCAGATTACTACTTAATTTTGAAAGATATGCTAATAAGGCTATCATATGTTACACTAGTAGTTCTTCTATTTACTTGAATATTACAAGATGCACTGGGCATTGACAAGATATAAATTATGTATTACTGTAAAACACTGATCGTTTATGAATTTCTATTAAGCCCATTTTACTCTGTTTTATTAAACTTGAGAGATGTGACCTATCTAGAGATTCTAGTTAAATTAAGCTAATTAAAACATGGAAATAGCAAGGGTGAAAATGGCATACATGTAAATTGCTTAATGCAAGTTTAAATTAATGAGTAAAGCAAATTTTGAAGTGCCCTGTTTTTATGCAATTTATACAGAGTTGTATCTTTGCCAATACAGTAAAGTCACAATTATCATATCCATAAAAGGTCAATGATTTTGAAACCTTGTTTTATACATTTTTCTATTTGGAATGTCAAGGTATTTGTAACAAAAATACTTTCTCTTGAATTTTCGTGATGTACTGCTAATTTAGCATAGGTCTACATGTTACAGTATTTATTTTGTTACACAGTTATGCTTTTATTTTCTGTGAAATGACATTGAATTTTTGTTTTACATTGTTTTCTTCTAGTACACACACATATATAGTACATATATGTGCTTAAGAAATAAGCACATGGAGAAAAGAATGTATTCAAATAAAATAAATTAAGCTGATTGAAAAGGATGTGGAGGAAAATGAAGGGGAGGAAAATGTAGATTAAGAACTAAAGTTGTATTCTGATGTTGTCTTGGATATTTGTATGTGCACGCACAAATACATACACGTCATTTAAGTATATTTTCATAATCTAGACTTCTGTTAGCAAAGTTTTGAATTAAAGAAAAATAACCTAGGGTGACAACATTAAACATGAATTTCTGAGATCAGAGAATTTATTTTCAGTGTTTTTAGTATATGAAAAAAAATTGGCCATTGAATTTGCATTACAGGCAAGAATAATTATCTCAAGCCTATGTGATCTCATTCATTGTGAACCTTTGAAAAATAAAATCCTCTCAATGCCTTTCTAATTTCCAAATCCTTTCAAAAGCTCTTCTTTCGAAACTATCTGCTAAATTATACTTTTAAAGATACACACCGCACTTGCCAACAGATCTTAACTAGTCATGTATTTGCTTAAATCATATGTGGTTATTGACTTAGTACATTTTATTTTGACCTTTTATTTCAAAGAAAATAGCAATAATATGTTTAGGGCTGGGTGCAGTGGCTCCCGCCTGTAATCCCAGCACTTTGGGAGGTCGAGACATGCTGATCACAAGGTCAGAAGTTTGAGACCAGCCTGGACAATATGGTGAAACCCTGTCTCTAGTAAAAAATACAAAAATGAGCTGGGCATGATGGAGCATGCCTGTAGTCCTAGTTACGTGGGAGGCTGAGGCAGAAGAATTGCTTGAGCCCTGCAGGTGGAGGTTGCAGTGAGCCGAGATCATGACACTGCACTCCAGCCTGGGCGACAGAGTGAAGACTCTGTCTCAAAAAAGAAAAAAAAAAAAAAAAAAGGAATAATATTTTTAAATGTAAATAATTCTTTTGATACTAATTGATTTTACCCATAGCATCCTGTGTTAATTACAATTGTCATGTCATTATTTTAAATTGTATAGCAATTTTGGCTTAGAAATATTTGTAATGTTTTTCTCTGTTCCATGTTTTCTGCTTCCGCTGATGTTAGTTGTCTTCTTTATTCTATGTGTGCCTCTATCTGATGTGGGTGTTTTATCACACCTCTGTGTATTTGTTAAGAAAGCCATTTTTATAAATTAAGAACCACGTGGATTATCATAGATTGCTCTAGTAGACTCCTTTTGAAGCTATCTTATTTTTCTCTTAGATTGTGTGAACATGACCATGTATATTTTATCAAATTATTTTTATCAATAAAATGAAGAATCTATTACCTACTATGAATGATTAATGTAAACCTTAAAATTATATGTTAATATTTTTGTTTCTATTTTTTAACATCTCTGCCTATATTACCTTACCCTTGTATTATCTTTATTGTCTTCATCCAGGAATGAAGTGTAATTCTAACATTAAAAGTATTTTTTCCCTTTATGGCTAAAATATCGTAAAGCAATCAATGATAGAAAATATACAAATGTTTCTGGATAAAAACCTTAATACCAATCAAATAGTTTAGGTTTTTATTTGATTTTCAGTTGTTTTATCTTATTTTTTATTTTATTTTATTATTACTATTATTTTTTGAGACAAAGTCTCACTCTGTCACCCAGGCTGGAATGCAGTGGCGTGATCTCAGTTCACTGCAACCTCCGCCTTCCAGATCAAGCGATTCTCCTGCCTCAGCCTCCCAAGCAGCTGTGGTTACAGATGTTTGCCACCACGCCCAGCTAATTTTTGTATTTTTAGTAGAGACAGGGTTTCACCACATTGGCCAGGCTGGTCTCAATCTCCTGAACTCAACTGATCTGCCCACCTCGGCCTCCCAAGGTGTTGGGAATACAGGCGTGAGTCACCACCCTGGCCTAATTTTTACTTATTTTAAATACCTTTTGAAAACTATTTTATCACATAGTAATAAAATATATTCTTGTTGCATGTTTTTATATGCAAAAATCCAGTTAAATATATTTGTCTTATATTTGATTTATATTCCAATAGGATTTCTATAAATTTATGAACAATGGAATTTCTTATAAATCTATATTTTAAATAACAAATATGGAGAAGATACAGAAATCCTAAATAGTATTACTGATCTCAGAATCATGGAGCAGAACATTTTATCAAAATTAGAAATAGATATAAATACTGAAGGATGTGCATAAAGTAAAGAATGATCAATATGCAATTATCTTAAATAATTGTTTATCAGGTGAATGCTAGAGTTCAAATACATTGCCAAATGATTAAAATTTCACTTGGAAAGTTTTAAAAGCACCTGCTAAGAAAAATTAAAAGTGAAAACTAGTCACCCTGCACTTTCTTTCTCAATTTGGTAAAATACATTTAAATGAAATGTAAAAACGAAATCAAAATCTTACACACTTCCTTGCTATGTAGAGGATAAGTAAAAATGCAAAGGGCAGAACCTCAGGAGGTGCAATGCATTTCAAATTAGATGCAGGTTTTTTATGTCTGGAAAGTGAACAGGCTTGACCCACTATTTCTTAAAGCTCACCTTACATCTTATAAAAATTCAGAAACTCTATTAAATGGAAAAAGAACTACTTTTCCCGTTACCATTCTAACCATAAAGCCAACATCTTAGTTCCTCACTTAAGAACATTTGCAAAACTTATCTACCAGACTAATACTATCTAAAATACTTATAAGTAAATACTTTTATTAATTAAACAAAAAACAGGACTTTAGACCTTTAGTCCTCAGGAAGACCTAAAATTTTTCTTATGTCTATCCAATGGCTTCATTTCATAGTGGTAAGAAAACTACAGGTTTTCCAAAATGTATTATGTGCTTTTGTTTTATTTTTATTTATGAAACATTATAAATATTCTTAGATGTCTAAGAGGAAATATATTTGAATTAATTTGTGCATTTTAGTAATTTCACGTTTTAGGTACGGCATTGTAGGTTTTTCAGAAAATAGCCACTATATTTTTATCTCATTTGATTTTCCCATAACTCTGTGAAGTAAATAGTTATTATACCGTCAGAACAGTTAAAATAATTGCTAACAACAACAACAAAAATATTTTTTTTTGTTACACAACATATAAGCAATAGAACCAGAGCATACAATATATTTTTTGGCTACTATTCTTTGTGAGAATAGAGCACTAGGCAGAGTCCTGAGGCCCGCTATCCAAGCACTAGCTCCAAAATTGTGAAAACTTGAATCAAGAAAAAAATAAATAAGCCTGATCCCTCAAAAAGTTAACAGACTGTGTATTCCAATGTAAGAATAAAGATGAGGGAGATATAAGTGATTTTCTTTAATTATTTTTATAGCTTTAACGTATATGAATGCCTGTAAAGCAAAACAACAGAGACTATGGCTACAGTTAAGCATTTTAGAAATATATGTGCACACTAAAAGAACTGTGCATTAGAGAAGTTGAGATAATTACCTCCATAATCAGGTACCTACAAATGTGACATACTGATTTGTGTCAATTAGCTACATGTCAAAATCAATTTATACATATTACTCAAATATTCTAGATCAGGACTCTCAAGAGATTTCATGCAATTTAGAAGGTATATAGCTGAGTAACAACATTGCATACTTAATGTGCATAAACTAATACAGAAAGAAATTGGCAAAGCCAGAAAGAGGTAGTAAGTTATTGGCACATTTATCAGGTAAGGTTCTTTATAAATGAAACAATCTAAACTTCCTGGCAGTGGAAAAAAATGCGTGAACATCAGCAGGCAAATCAGCTTGCAAAAGGGATTGCTAAAAAGAGCTTGATGCCTCAGCGTTTCTCCTCTCTGAGGAAAGAGACCTATTCTGGAATTAAAGCTGGCTAAACAGATAAAGGTTGAACTTTTCAACTGCAAAGTAGATATAGAAATTGGTCCCTTTTTAACTGAGACAAGCAGTAAAATTTTACGACACGTCACCAATTGGGTTTTTCAGCATTAAATACCAGAAAGTCTATTGTGTGGCTGTCTGCAATATAAATGAGGACTGGAGAGGTAAATAGTAATCTAAAATGGTTCCTATGAAGATCTACAATCAAAAAGTGGTGAAGCACCTGTTTTTCTTTGATGAGGTTTCTGACTCTTTGATATTTCAACTTTCATGAGACAAAAGTACACTAAGTTATAGGAGTGGAAAAGAAGATTTGAATGAAAATTAGAAAAGTAAAAATTGGAGTTTGTATGGCTGGGCCAGATGTATAAAATCATTAGTTTTATCTCAGTGACAGAATTTTATGGAAAACAATAAAAGCTACATAAAAGAATGCTGATAGCATCACTTTACTCTCTATTAGCATCAGTTTAGATGTGTATGAGAGCGAATGTGCACCAGGGAGAAGCAACTATGGAGAATTTTTTTTTGGCCATTAAGTTAATGGAGCTGATAAATGGAATTGTAACATTGACAGTAAGTGACAGTCTTGTTCCTTTAAAATCTGCTGTTTCATTCTAGTTACTTCAACCTTGAATTTCTAATGTGTACAGCTATTACATTTAATAGTTGTTTGGTGATTTTATGTTATTCAAAAGAATAATAAAAGGAACACAACCTCTGCTTGAATAAAGAAAGTTAAAACACATTAGTGAAATTTCAGATCTATATCTACATATGACTTCAACAATTTATTCACAATAAAATTAATTTTATTTTTCTTTCAGACTGAAGGTTAGAAAGAATGGTGTAATATAGCCAAGGAAGATGACTTAAAAAAATCAGGGTAGAAAATAAAATAAAATTATATGTTATTGTTTTCACAAAATTGTTCTATTCCTAAGAGGACAAAACACATTCATGTGTACATTTCTAGAGAATCAAGTAGCTACTTTCTATACCTTTTCATATGCAAACCTAACATACATAAAATGAATAACTGATGCTTATGGTATATGTATTTTAAAGTGAAGAAGAGGCCAGGCACGGTTGCTCACACCTATCATCCCAGCAATTTGGGAGGCCAAGGTGGTAGGATCACCTGAGGTCAGGAATTTGAGACCAGCCTGGCCAACATGGTGAAACCCCTCCTCTACTAAAAATATAAAATTAGCCGGGCGTGGTGGTGCATGTCTGTAATCCCAGCTACTCAAGAGGCTGAGGCAGGAGAATGGCTTGAACCCGGGAGATGGAGGTTGCAGTGAGCCGAGATCGCACTGCTGCACTAGAGCCTGGGCAACAAGAGCAAAATTCTGTCTCAAAAAAAAGAAAAAAAAAAGTGAAGAAGATAACTATAACATAATTTTGATAGAGTATAAATTACATTATCTTCATCAACACAGTTGATAAAAATGTGTTGTTAGAAGAAAAGAATAAAGGCTGAGTATTCTTTTGTAAAATCTTCCACCCAAATTCCAGTCAATTATATTGAATCAGGCATATTATTTTTGAGAAATCTAAAATTTTATCAAATTATTTATCTCCACAAAATTATTTAAAATGAGATGATTATTTTAGTAAAATTGGCAAAATAATTATGTCAATCTTTTTTTTGCAGGGAAAGTTAATCATGAGTCTGGGGAAAAAAAGTTCATGGTTTTATGGTTAAAAACCAACAACTCTTTTTCAAATAAACCAATAAATAAATAAATACATATAAAAATAAACAGATTAAAACCCAGTTCTTGAAATGATTCATGAGGTTAGGTTTCTTCTAATTATGAAATTTTAGAAGTTTAAGTTTTTAAAAATATGATATTGAAGGGAGGCAGAGCAACATGGCTGAATTGAAGCCTCCAGCAATTGCCTCCTTGCAGGAGCATCAAATTTAGCAACTATCTACACACAAAAAACACTTTCATAAGAACCCAAAATCAGGTGAGCAATTAAAGTACTTGGTTTTAATATTATATTAAGGAAAGGGCACTGAAGAAGGTAGGAAAGGCAGTTTTGAATCACTAACAATATCCGCCCCCCACCCAGTCCCCCAGCAACAGCCTACGAACTGGGTTCGTTCCACCGTAGTTCCATTAGTTCCATCCCTCTAGAGAACCCTGACTAATACAAGCACATCTCAGGAAAATATCCTTCTAACATGAAGGAGAAATAAAGAGTTTCCTGCACAAACAAAAGATGAGGTATTTCATCAACACCTGACCTGTCTCAGAAATGAAAAAATGCTAGTGTTCTTCAATCTGAAAGAAAAGGATGTTAATGGGCAATAAGAAAAAATCTGGTGGTACAAAACTTTGAGTATTAGAATGTACACAAAAATACAGAATTATATAACACTGTAATTGTGTGTAAACTACTCAGATCTTGAATTGAACAATGAACTTGAGAAAAATAATTACAACTTTTCAAGACATAGACAGCATTATAAGATATAAATAGAAACAACAAAAAGGGCAGGGGGATGAAGTTAAAGTGTAGATTTTTTATTAGCTTACTCTGTGCTTATTTGTTAGTTTGGCTATTTGTTTATGTAATAAGTATTCAGTTCTTGTCAGTTTAAAATAATATAAGATGTTATTTTCATTGTTCACAGTAACCTTAAATAAAAAAAAAAATACAACCAACATACAAAAGATAAAAAGCAAGAAATTAAAATATGCCATCAGAGAAAATTGCATCTCCTGAAAGGAAGTCAGGAAGAAAGGAAAGAAGGAAGAGAAGAGAATAAAACTAGCTCCCTATCGCTTGCCATATACAAAAATAAAATCAAAATGGATTAAAGACTTAAAGCTAAGACCTCAAACTATGAAGCTACTACAAGAAAACATTGGAGAAAATCTTCAGGACATTTGTTTGGGTAAATATTTCTTAAGTAATTAATATCCCACAAGCGCAGGCAACCAAAGCAAAAACAAACAAATGGCATCAAATCAAGTAAAAAAAAAAAAAAAAATGGCTTCTGCACAGTCAACGATACTATCAACAAAGTAAAGAGACAACACACAAAATAAAATAATATATTTGCAAAGTATCCATCTGGCAAAGGATTAACAACCGGAACATATAAGAAGCTCAAACAACTCAATTCCAAATAGTCTAATAATTCAATTAAAATATGGGTAAAACATCGGAATTGACATTTCTCAAGAGAAGATATACAGGGAAAAAATAGGAAAAGATGCTCAACCTCACTGACCATCAGGAAATGAAAATCAAACTGCAGTGAGATATCATCTCACCCCAGTTCAAATGGCTTTTATCCATAAGACAGAAAGTAACAAACGCTGGTGAGAATTTGGAGAAAAGGGAACCCTGTTATAGTTAGTGAGAATGTAAATAAGTACAACCACTATGGAGAAAAGTTTAGAAGTTCCTCAAAAATCTAAAAATAGAACTACCCTGTGATCCAGCAATCCTATTGCTAGGTGTATACTCAAAAGAAAGGAATTCGGTATATTGAAGAGATATCTACATTCCCATGTTTCTTACAGCACTATTCACAATAACCAAGATTTGGAAGCAACTTCAGTGTCCATCAACAGATGAACAGATAAAGAAAATATGGTACAGATATACAATGGAGTACTAGTCAGCCATAAAAAGGAATGAGATCCTGTCATTTGCGACAACATTGATGGAACTGGAAGTCATTATGTTAAGTGAAACAAGCCAGGTACAGAAAGACAAACTTCACATATTCTCACTTGTTTGTAGAAACTAAAACTTAAAACATTTGAATTTATACAGCCTAGAATGATGGTTACCAGAGGCTGAGAAAGAGAGTGGGAGACTGGGTAGAAGTGGGCATAGTTAATAGGTACAAAAATATATTTAGAATGAATGAATAAGAGCTAGTATTTAACAGCACAATAGGATGACTACAATCAGTGCTAATTTATTGTACATTTTAAAATAACTAAGAAAATACAGTTGGATTGTTGGTAACACAAAGAAAAAATACATGCTTAAGTTTATGGTACCCCATTTACCTTGATGTGATTGTAACACGTTGTATGCAGGTATCAAAATATCTTATGTAACCCATCAATATATATTCATACTATGTACCCACAAAAATTTAAAGAAAGAAAGGAAATAAAGTAATGTTGACAAAATAAATAAATAAATACAGGCATGTGTCTGAAAGAAACAGTTATTTATGAAGAATTGCCTCTCCCATACCAAAGAAAACAGAACAAAAGATTACTTCTGTGAAGTTATCATGTACAAAAATGCTTGGGGAGGGTGAGGCAGGGAAGAGTTATTTGAAATTTATGTTCATATATAAAAGGGAAAATTGAAACTGTTGATTTCACTGTTATGACTGTAAGTAAATAAGATACATTGTCATACATCATTTTATAAAACAACATTAAATAAACTCACTAATGTTGGCAGAGTGGATTGATAAGTAAAAGTTCAAATTGACTAACAATATTGTCTTTTTTTAAAAGGACATATAAAATTAACTGTAATCCTTAATAGTAAATGTAGCTAGCACAAACAGATGACTTTACAAGTTATCTTGTGTTGACCAACCATGAACAATAGTAACTCTGGTTGTGTTACCCTCTGTTTTCAATAGTGCTTCTCTATGGTGCTTTTGTTTAGAATATCTTTGCTAGACAGTCAATATATTTAGGTTAAATACTGGGACCTTGTTCATTCTTTCTTTCACTTAGTCATTTGTTTATTTATGTATTCATGTATTTATAAACTCTCAACATGAGTCCATAAGGGATTGAGTGGAGAAATAGTAACCAGTTTTGCTATTACAGTAAGTCCTCATTTAATGTCATTGATTGGTAACATGAAGTTAAATACTTCAAGTGAAGTCTAACTTTACTTTAACTTCAACTTGACGTGAAATGACTTATAGCAAAACCAATTTTGCCATAGGCTAATTGATTTAAAGAAGAGATAATATCCCAGGGCATATTTCTAGTCATGAAAACATCACAAAACTTCTAAATAAAGACTAAATCTTTTCTAATATTAAAATAAATGAAAGCCGTACATACATTTTAAAAGATTAAAAACAGTAAGCTGGGCCGGGCGCGGAGGCTCACGCCTGTAATCCCAGCACTTTGGAAGGCTGAGGCGGGTGGATCACGAGGTCAGGAGATCCAGACCATCCTGGCTGACACGGTGAAACCCCGTCTCTACTAAAAATACAAAAAACTTAGCCGGGCGTGGTGGCGGGCGCCTATAGTCCCAGCTACTAGGGAGACTGAGGCAGGGGAATGGCATGAGCTACTAGGGAAGCCGAGATCGCGCCACTGCACTCCAGCCTGGGTGACAGAGCGGGACTCCGTCTCAAAAAAAAAACAAAAGAAAAAAAAAGTAAGCTGAATATTGTGGTCCAGGGTTCCAGGTGGCCAGAGCCTATCTCAGGCAGCTCAGGGTGCCAGGTGGGAATCACTCCTGGCCAGGACACCATTCTATGGCAGGGTACACTCAAACACATGCTCACACTCACTCAGACTGAGACCATTTAAACACAACAACTAACATAAGGTGCACATCTTTGGAGTGTGGGAGGAAACCCGAGTACACAGAGAAAACCCATGCAGACATAGAACAAGACAACTCCACATAGACTGTGGCCCCAGCCAGGAACTGCTTTTTTTGTTTTTGTTTTTGTTTTTTTTAAATTAACATTACAATGAAACAATCTTAAAAGAAATTATGTTCCTCAAGAACCTGCTGTATTTTATTCAATAGTGTTACTCAAGAATCTGATGCATAGCAAAAAACTGCGAACAATAGAGATGTAGTACAACAACCATTTTTATTTTCTATCATTATGGTTTAGTATGGATTGAGATTAGCTGGGCTACCATTATGGTGTTGCTTCTTTCAGCTGGAAGGTGAAGACTGAAATCAGTGTACTGGTGCACTGGGTGACTGGTATACTGCGTTAAATAGTATTCCTGTCAATGCATGTTCACTTAGAACTTCAGAATGTGAGCTTATTTGCGAATAGAGTCCTTGAAGATGCAGCTAGTTAGGATGAGGTCATCCTGGACTGGGGCGGGGGAGTAAATTCAATAAGTGGTATATTTCTAAAAGAAAGAGAGAGATTCCTACGTAGGGACAAGAGACACAAAGGGAAGAACACCATTGAAGACTGAGGCAGAGTTTGGAGTGTTGTACATAATGCCAAAGATTGCTGGTAACCACCATAAGCTAGAAGAGAGGCATGGAAGAGATTCATATATTTATATGCCTCTCAGCTTCCAGAAGGAACAAGCCCAGCTGACACCTGATTTGGGAATTCTAGCCTCCAAAACTGTGAGGTAATAAATTTGTGTTCTTTTAAGCTTCCCAGTTTGTGGTAATCTGTTACTGCAGCCCCAGGTACTTCATAGTAGTCATCTCTTTTTCTCTTCAGGTAGTCACAGCATCCCTCCTTCTCCAGTGCCTTTGCCACCACATTTCTCTACACGGTCCCTCTAGCTGGGTAGATAGACTTCCTGCATGCATGCTTACAGTGCCAAAAACCCAACAGCAGAAGCTGCCAGGGTTCTAAAGGCTTAGAACTGGAAGACACATAGTGTTATCTCTGCTGAATTTGAATGGATAAAGAAAATCTCACACCACGCACACATTCATTAGGAAGGGACTATAGCATAGAATAAGCACCAGGAAGTATATATAACTCACTGGTGTCCTCCAATGTCAACAATGTAGTAGTCTCCCTTATACAGTTAAGGATAACAAATGACAATAAGGTGGTATGGATGAGAATACGTTATAAAGCATGAAGATTTTACATTAAGATAACTAGGAAAGAGACATATTGCGAGAAAAAAAATCAGAATTTAACAGATTTCCCTTCTTACTATTTCCATATCTTATTAATATCTATTATAATGGGCCGGGCACGGTGGCTCACGCTTGTAATCCCAGCACTTTGGGAGGCCGAGGTGGGCGGATCACGAGGTCAGGAGATCGAAACCATCCTGGCTAACACAGTGAAACCCCGTCTCTACTAAAAATACAAAAAATTAGCCGGGCGTGGTGGCGGGCGCCTGTAGTCCCAGCTACTCAGAGAGGCTGAGGCAGGAGAATGGCGTGAACCCGGGAGGCGGAGCTTGCAGTGAGCCGAGATCGCACCACCGCACTCCAGCCTGGGCGACAGAGCGAGACTCGGTCTCAAAAAACAAAAAAAAAAAAACAAACAAAAAAAAAAAAACAAAAAAATCTATTATAATGAAAGCGTTTTTTCTATTTGTTATGCATGTATGGAATCTCCAAATTCTGATGACGTATTACTAAGGACAATCCAAGTTCCATTGCCTTGGCTTAATTATTCATGCCTGGCTTTAGAGCTTCTTTGTGACAAGACCAAACTCAGTGGAAACAAAAGTTAAATTCTAAGAACTTTCTCAACAACTCACTTGGAGAAAGTACTGTTATTGTTAATTATGGAATATGAAGCTTTATAGGAGAGTGGAAATATGTCATTGAAAGATAATTTTCTTCTATTCATAAAGCTTTTGATCTAGTGAATGATATTCCAACATACCATTGGAAAAAATATAACACAATTCTAGTAGTGATAATAACTATGATTAAAAACAAAGCAGAGTAAGTCATGAAATGTTAATTGGAGTGCACAAGGTTTTTCTGAGATGATAATTTGAAAAGAGACATGTATTAGCTAAAGGAGTAAACCACAAAAAGATTTTAGGGGCGTGGCAGACATAGAAACTAATGAGAATAAAGGCACATAGGCAAGAAGAAGCTGGTACCAATTTCAAGAATTTGGGTAGCAAAATTTTGATACTTTTAGTTTGTTCCAAAGATGATTTATTTCATGCCTTACTCTTTCCGGAAGTGCCAAAAATCACACTGACTCAGCTGAAGCTGCTATAGAAATCCTTGTCGATTAGCTCACCATTTAACAGTACCTTGTGACGGCACTAGAGTTTAGTGATGGCTTTTAAATCTTTGCTGCCAAAGAAGATTTACATCTTTAAGGAGTTCTTGGCAAAAATTGATGCATTACTCCCATGAAGCTGGCCTCACAACTCAGAATCAACAGAAAGAAATCATATGTATGCCTCAAAAGCCGATCATTTATCTCAATACCACACGTAATATCCTAAATAAAGGTTCCTAGAACTTTTTGGAAGCTCACATATTACAGAAGTGTAAAACCTATCATAAAAGTTGGAATTACTATCTTATTTTAAAACCACCACAGCACTGATGTGCTTTCTCTATCTCACTACCTCATTAAATAGAAGTACATCTCAAAGAGGTTGCTACATTGTATACCTCCCTAAAAACTGTTTATTAACAAAAGGCATCATTGAGTTTATTTTGCCAACGTTAAAATAGCTATGAGAAAAGAACCAAACAATTTCAAGTGCATTTTTCTGCCATCTTAGTCAAACTGATCTTGAGGAAATGCATTTTCTTCAACAACTATATCACTTCCTTTTATGTGGCAGACATCATTCTAAGTGCTTTGGTATTTTGTTTGCTCATTTGATTAGTTTCCCCAAATATTTCTCTTTACTTTTTGCCTTGGACTCAGTGTATTCCGACCACTGAAATTATCTTGGCAAACAATGACTGCCATCTTTGGGAAACTGTTCAATAAGCAGCAGCAGAGTCGCCAAAGACCAGATTCTGCCCACTGGCAGTATTCCTTAGAAATGCGATGCTTTTCTAATTGAAATTCAGGTCAATTAATGTATTTGTAAAGTTATTATTACCATCTTTTCCTTTAAACTGGAGTTTATATTTTATGTTATTTTGATATGCTTGCGTTTAAATCTATGAATTTGATATTTGTTTTCTATTCATCTCACCTCTTCATTGCTATTGCCTGTGATTCTTTGTTTTGTTATTTTAGTGGTTGTATAATATACTATAGCCCTTTAATTTATCACAACCTGTATTTGAGTAATATGATATCATATCATATATTATAAGAATATTGTACACAACATAGTACATTTTGTCATTGTCTGGCCTTCATGCTTATAAGACACTTTATCTCTCTCTGTATTAGAAATATCACAAAATATTGTTTTTTATATTTAATCAGTCCATTATCATGTATGGAGGTTTATAAAACAAAAAGTATCTTATATTCCCCCACATTTGCTGTTTCCAGTGTTTTTTATTCCCAATGCCATAATTTTCTTTCTGTTGGAGGGTTTTTATTCAGTATTTTTTTCTGATACAGGTGAGTGGGTGATTATTTCAGCTGTTGTATATCTGAAAATAAGTCTTTATTTTTCCTTTATTTTTGAAAGGTATTTTTTACTAAAAATAGAGCTCTAAGTTGGCAGGTTTGTTTCTTTGTTTGTTTGCTTTCCTTTCAGTATTGGAAAGATGTTGCCTTCCTTTTTCTGTTACTGTATATGTAATGTTTTGTGTGTGTGTGTGTGTGTGTGTGTGTGTGTGTGTTTGTGTTGTGTATATTTTGGCTCCTTTTAAGAGTTTCTCTTTACGATTGGTTGTAAGCTATTTGATTACACCATGGCTTAATATAGTTTTCTACATGTTTTCTATATGTTTTTTGGTAATAGCTTCTTTATAAGTTTATTATTTTTATCAAATTTGTAAAATTTTCATCCATATTTACTTAAACATGTTTTTCCTTTAACCCTATTTCTTTCTTCTCCTTAAGGAACTCCAATTTGATCTATACGAGGCTGCTTGAAGTAACACAGCTCACTGATGCTGTTTATTTATTTTTTGGATTTTATTTTTCTTCCGTGTTTTATTTTGGATTGTTTCTAATTCTATGTTTTCAAGTTTCTATTTTTTCTCTGTAATTGTTAATCTGTTGTTAATTCCATGCAGTGTATGTTTTTTATCTTAGCTATTGTGATTTCCATCTCTAGAAGTTTATTTTGGGGCTTTGTTATTGCTTCCATATTTTTACTAACATGCTTAGTATTTCTTGTGTCTTCTTGACGTACAAAATGTAATGTTAATAATAATTGTTGTAATATTATTGCTTGCTAATTCACTGGTGTCCTCCAATGTCAACAATGTAGTAGTCTCCCTTATACAGTTAAAGATAACAAATGACAATACGGTGGTATGGATGAGAATACGTGATAAAGCATCAAGATTTTACACTAGGATAACTAGGAACCAGACAGAAATGAGTCATTTCTAGGACAGGTTGATTGATTATCTTTTCATTGTGGGTTTTATTTTCATAGTTTTCATCTGTAGATGATAACCACCCCCAAACTTCTATTCCAGAAAAAGATCACAGGTGCAACACAATTTAAAAGAGCAGAGGCATAATGATATTGAAAATGTTCCAAATACTTTATATGCAGCAAGCGTAGTATATTTATAGATATTCAGAGGTTATAAACTTTGGTCAGAAAAACTATAGCATAAACTCATTTATAGATAGGAATATAATACCTGAAATATATATTAGCCAACAGACTGCAATATCACATAAAATTATGCATCTCTGCCAAGTGTAATTTATTCTAAACATGCAGATGATTCAATATTCGGAAATCAATTAATATAGATACCATATTAATAAGGTTGAGAAAGAAGATCACATGATTAGCCTCACTGAATTTGCAAAGGACTCAAAATTCAACACTTATTTCTGTTGAAAATCACTCAGTAAATTAGAAGTTAACATTTAATTTAAAAATATTAAAATATTCATACTTAAGGCCAAAAACCTTAATACAATTTAATAGAAAAATATTAGAGATAGTCTTATTAAGTCACAGCTGCCCATTTCATTCTCTATGATTGAATTAAATGCATTAGTTAATACAATTAAAGGCAAGAAATTAGACACTATGCATTAGAAAAATTGAGTAAAATTATCTCTATTTTTGTAAATTATATATAGATTACCTGGAAATCCATGTCATTATCCAACATGTTTTTATGAAATTAGAAAAGTGATATAGGAAATTCTAGGTAAAGGAAAGCATGGGACACTGAGAAAAAGATAAAATTAGAAGTAGATAGAGAACAGTTAAGGACACCATCTGCAAATGGGACTGTTTTGAAATTATAACTAAGCAATCTTATTCTTAGAGAGATGTAATTTGAACCTGATTTGTAATGGTTTTCCCATTTAAGTATGGTGCATTTAAGACAAGTCAGTCAGTAATGCTGCCTCAAATCAGGCTTTAATAAAATTAATTGGGAAAAGAAAAATTGATTTTTATGTATACACATCACCTTTCAAAGGAGATGTTTCATATTTTAAGAGCAAATTAAAATGCATCTGGAATCAGAACATGTATGTAAATGTCCTATTAAAGAAGATCATCTGAAAAATATTATTGAAGGTTCTTTGCTTTCAAGAGACTTTGAAGTTTATTAAGTTGACAGGGTTTTGAGCTGTCATTGTAGCCCACTTTGGACATTTAACTTTGGTAATAAATGGTTTCTGTAGTCATCACACTAAACATTTCTTTGATTTAAAGAGTATTTGAAAAAGTTTCCTGTCTTTTAAAGAAAAAAAAAATAAATGCTACAGGTTATGAAACTGCAGTTTTGCTTCTTCTAACTTTTTCTTTCATGTAGCATACCCTTAGATTGTCCAAATATATTCACTTCAGCATAAGCCCAAAGGAATTATATAACCTTGTAGATGAAAAATTTT
Source organism: Homo sapiens (assembly GCF_000001405.40). Classification (NCBI taxonomy): domain Eukaryota; kingdom Metazoa; phylum Chordata; class Mammalia; order Primates; family Hominidae; genus Homo; species Homo sapiens. The sequence continues at coordinate 188,539,761 of NC_000001.11, read as the reverse complement.
GCTACCGCTGAAACATTATAGAATAGATACAGAAAACACACACACACACACACACACACACACACATGCACACACAAAAATATAAAATTATAGAATTTCTTATCCTTTCATGAGATTAATATAGTGATGATTTTGGAACATTGAGAAAATTGGACTCACTTTAAATATTTATTAACAAACATCAATTTATTTTGAAAGTGTAATTTAATAATGAAGAAATCATCTCTCATTCACTTTTATTTCTCAGACTCAGTTTTAAGGATTGAATTAATGCTGAATGAAATTATCTGCCATTTTTCAGCAAATAGGTTTATTTAGTTGGAAGAGTAAGAATATTGTGAAATTCCTGATGTATTTGCATTCAAAAATTACCTCTTGAACATAATATATTGGTCTGACCTCTTTTCTACTTTTCTAAAATGAGAAATGTCACATCAGTTTTATGAAGAAAAATGAATACCTGTTCTATTATTTTCTACACCAAATCTGAAGATAAAATAATTTTAACAGACCCCTTGTTTGTGTATGTTATTTAAGAAAAATTTGCTATTTCTCATCAATCAAAAAGATGCAGTGAAAATATAAGGAGAAATCGTGTATCAATAAAAATTATTTCAGATCTTTTTCAGATCCAGTGATCCCACTGTTGGGTATATATCCAAAAGAAAGGAAATCAGTACATTAAAGAGATATCTGTACTCCCACGTTTATTGCAGCAACCTTGACAATAGCCAAGATATGGAATCAGCCTAAGTGTCCATCAACAGATGAATAAAGTATAGTACATATACACAGTCTAATATTAGCCTTATAAAAGAATGAAGTTCTGTTGTTTGAAACAACATGGATGGCACTGGAGAACGTTATGTTAAGTGAATAAGCCAGGCACAGAAATACAAATATTGCATATTGTTACTTACATGTGGGAACTCAAAAAATAGATCTCAAGAAGAGAGAAAATGGCTACCAGAGGGTGGGTAGATAGCAAGGGAGGGGAGTAAACTGGCATGCTTAATGGGTACAAAAATTCGGTTAGGTAGAAGAAATAAGATCTAGTGTTTGGTAGCACAGTAAGGCAACTATAGTTAACAATAATTTATTGTATATTTCAGAAGATCTGTAAGAGGGGAATCAGGATGTTTTAACACAAAGAAATGATAAATATTCAAGGTAAAAGATATCTCAATTATCTTGATTGATCATTATACATTGTATGCCTGTATCAAAATATCATATTTACCCCATAAATATGTACAAATACTATGTATCAATAAAAATTAAAGATTTAAAAAGAAGCAAACATTATGAAAGAATTAAAGCTCCAATATTCCATTTATCAATCTATTTCACAAATATTTATTCAGAGGAAATTGCAGTCTTAAATTTGGAGATTCGCATGCATTGTTTAAATACCTTGACTATATTTTTATTCTTCTTATATTTAATATTGTTTACACAGTTTTGAACTATATATTAAGTTTTAAAAATTTGTGGGTGAAATATATGACAGCTCAGGAATTACTGCATACTTTAATGATTGAGCAAAAAAATTTCTCAAATATTATACTTATGTTAATATATTTTTTAATTTGCATAGTTTTACTAAAATCCTTTCCATTTTATACAACATATCATTTATCAAACTCTCCTTGTTTCCTTTACTACTTGACTTATATATTTATATTATCCTACTATGTTTAAAATATAAATCACAGTAATTCCCAGAAATTTAGAAATAATTTGCACTTTTTACAAGGTTGCTAGAATTGTTATAAAGCATGCAAATGTTATACACCTTGTGTGTATTGACTAGAGCATCCATTTTCAGAAATTAAAAGAAAATCTCACATTCCATCCAATGAAATACTGTAGAATTAGTAATTCTGCTGACATGGAAGATAGATACTTACATAATTTAATAGCCAAGAGCAATTAAAAAGACAATGCATGTAAGGTGAGTCTGTTACAGTTCTTCTAAAATTGCTTTTACCTTTGTCTTAATGAACGATCTTTTTATCGCAGGGTGTGTGTTAAATACTAATTATTTTAAGGTTTTTGAAGCAATATGGATAATTATGTCAGCAAACACAACCAAATTATCATTAAACTCGTCTTATTTGAAAGAAAACTCCACACAACAATTTCAATTATTTCTCTGTTAGCATGGCTTCATCCAATATTATAGAGAAAAAAGTGGTTATTACTTGGTTGCACTGCCTTGGACAATTACAACTAAGTAGTTTTGACTAATGAATAGATCAATATGAAAATAATACAGTTCATATTTTTTAGAATTCTCTGAAGTATCGAATATCCCATAAACATGCTAATACATGATCAAAGAACATGATTAAACACACAAAAATTATCTTTTGAATAGATTTAATGCAGAAATAACAACAAATAGAGGTTTAATATTTCTTCTTTTCTTTTTCACATAGCCAGCATTTACTCACCCTTCAATCCTCATGACAATACTATAACATGAGTAATAATCAATTTTCTGATGCCAGACACCTAGTTAGTGTCCTGCAGAATAATAGTTTGGAGCAGTGCCAGTTTGTAATGGAGTTCATAATGTAAGACAATAAACTAAGCTTTTCATAAAGCTTAATGACATCAATTTAAATGAAAAATTGTAAATATGTAGAGCATATCACCTTTTCATTTTTGTTGTTGCTTAAATTTTATAGTAGATACTAATGGTAGCAAATGTAAGTGATTTTTTATTTTTTCTTTTCTTCTTCTTTTTTTTTCAAGACAGAGTCATGCGCTGTCTCCCAGGCTGGAGTGCAATGGCACGATCTCTGCTTACTGCAACCTCTGCCTCCCGGGTTCAAGAGATTTTCCTGCCTTAGCTACTGGAGTAGCTAGGACTACAGGTGCACACCACCATGCCCGGCTAATTTTGGTATTTTTAGAAGAGGCGGGGTTTCACCATGTTAACCATGCTGGTCTCGAACTCCTGACCTCAAGCAGTCAGCCCACTTCAGCCTTCTAAAATGCTGGGATTACAGGCGTGAGCCACCGTGCTGGGCAGTGATATTTTATTTTCATATTTCAATGTAATATTTGGACAACATATTAAAGAAAATTTTGAAGATATAAAAGTAATTTAGAGGAAGCATATTTCCATACCAATTATCCTTTATCCAAAGTATTGACTGTAAAAATATAAGTACATATAGCTGACCACTACAAAGAAAATAAGAGCCAAAATGTAAATCAAAGGTTTATTTCAAGACAAAATATAATACTTTTTGCTCCACTGATGTCTATTTTTTCAATCCCTCATAGATCACTGGAGAGTGGTACACATCTGTGTCAGCACATGCTCCCCCTTTTCATCTTCTTGTTGGTTCTCAAAGATGCCGTTGTTCTCCACAGAATGTCATGTTATGTTTGCTAGGTAATCACAGCAGTTCCCACCCTCGCATCTTTTCAGCTTCATCTACCAATAAGCTTTCTTTTCAAGAGTCCAACCAATGATGTAGCCTGGTACCAGTTGGCTAATATTGGTCATAAACTTGCTTCTCATTTACCTGAGAGGTGGCTAAATTTAGGCGATGAATCCATCCAGTGTCCTTAAATGTTGGGATCCACACTAATCAAGCAACAGGGGAGGAAAGCTATTCAAAGAATATTTAAAACACTTATTCTAGATCCAGGAAATCATCAGTGAGCAAAGCAAAACAACAACAACAACAAAAAATGTTTCTGCCTCTAGAGAATTTGCGCTCTATTGGGAGAATTTAGATAATTACTTTTAAACACAACAACATTTAGAGTATATTGTATGTTAGAAAGTATAAAAACTCAAGATAGTGAAGATCAGGGGTTCAAGATAAGTATAATTTAAGCAGGGATGTTTGAAATAAGTCCAGTCGAACAGCAGATACTTACATAAAAACATGAAGACAATGATCAAGGTAGCAATGCACGTATCCAGGGAAAGGCAATCCCAGGCAGAGAGCACAGTTGGTGCAAAATGTGTTCACTGTAAGAACTACAGGTTTTAATTGAGAGAAATGGGGAACCATTAGAATTTTTGATTACAGAAATTATAAGATCTCATTTTAGCTTTGAAAAATTACTCTGGGTTTAGTTTGTGTTGAAAATGAATATAAATGAGCAGAGGTGGAAACATGGAGACAAGTTTTGAGTCTCTTGCAGGAATCCATACAAAAATTGATGGTGGCTTGAAACAGAGTGAAACAATGAAGATAATGAGAAGTGGTTAGCTTATGTATATATTTAAATGCAAGCTCAATGAGAACTTCTTATGGACCGAATGTCAGGTGAAGTAAAGAGAGAAAAGAGGCAAGGATAACTCCAAGGCATTTTGCCTGAGTAAATGTAAGGATGAACTTACCATTAGTTGGTATGGTAAAAAGAAAATATGTGTCCTGAACAAATTTTCTCTGGAAATTCAGGAATTAAATTTAGGACATGAAAATGTCAAGACGCCTGCTACAAGTGCTAGGTAGTGATGACACTTAGTTTGAATATATATAATTGACATTCAAGGGACATATTTAGAGTATAGATATAAATTTGGAAGGAGTAAAGATATATATTTTATTTAAAGATTTGATAATGCATGAGATCTACAAGGAAGTCTGTGTAGAATGAAAACGTAGAGGAAAGAAGAAGAGAGACAATTTTCAGGGAATGAGTACCAGGGCAGTGGGAGGTGGGGAAGGAGAGGATGATTTGCCAAAAGAAAATGTAAAGAAATGTTTGGAAAATTTAGTTGGAGGTAAATTAGATGACTATGATATCCTAAAGGCCAAATGAAAATGTATTGAATTCCTATGATATATCAAGTAACATGAATACTTTTAAAAGACAATTATGTTTAGCAAAGTGGAGACCATTTGTAATTTACAAAATACTTTTGCTAAAGTTATGGGCTGCATATATGTGTGTGTGAGCATATATGTGTGAGTATATGCTGACGGCAATCTTTTAGTAGAGTGAGGAACATTTTGAAATGTGTCAAGAGAAGGGAAAATTTCTAGAACAATGTCTGTAATGAAAAAGAAGTAATGGCATCTAGTGCATAAGAAGGGGGACTGAAATTAAATGGAACAAGGGATAATTCATGTAAATCTAAAGAAAAACAGGGTAAAACATATGGATAAAAATGGTTAATATATGAACACTGGGAGCATATAGAAGTTCTTTTTTAATTCCTTCAAGTTTCTCAGTGAGTGAAGTTACTAAATATTGTAGAAAAAAAGAGAAGAATTAAGTAGTCTCATCTTGATAAATGGTTGAGTAAATGGAGTAGGAAAATACGTGTCCTGAGGCATTTTGCACCATGGAAATAGTGGTTATGAATTGTTAGTGAAGGCCATAGTGCAAATCTCTTTCTTTTAACTGTTCTTGGAAAAACACAATATTCTAGATGTGATTTGTAACATATAATAAAAGTAAATAAAAGAAATTCAAACAAAGGTATCAAATATTTTTAAATTTTGAATCAGTTAGTATTTTTCAGCATGTTTTACCGAGTTTATTATAATCATATCTGTAGCTCTGTTCAGATGGAATGTTTGAAGTGGCTTTAGTATAATTTCTTATATTTATTTATGTTTTCCATAAGGAAACTTATTTTAAATGTAAGTAATTATAACATCTAGTATTGAATATTAGAATTAAGGATCAACTAAATTATTTGTCATGTTAAAGAAGTCAATTCATGGCATGTTAAACTAGACACCCATTCCATTGATGAGAATCCAGGTCCAGGTACATGACCTCAACCTAATTGCAAAGGAGGCTTGAGAATACAAATGTTTTTGCTGAGCACCTAGTTAGTTTGCTATTTTCAGCCTTTGCCCCTTACCACAATGTATGCCTCCTTTCGCATTTTAATAAAAATAATTTTTATATTATTTTTTATTTTTTTAAATTGAACTCTGAAGTTAATCATCACATTATAGGAAACCCTATATTGCATTATAGGAAACCCATGTATTTCTAAAACATGAATCAATAATTCTAGATTGTGCACACTTAAAAATAAATACTGACCAAGATGGCCTTAACATTTCCCTCAGCTTAACTAGACTTTAGCCAAACTTGGCCCCTGATCTTCCTCTCACTCCAGCCCTTACAGAATCCATATATCCTAACCATAGACACCCTTTCTCTCCCTTTTCCTGAAACATTTAATTAAAAAAATTATGACTGTACATTCTTTCTCTGACCCATTGAGTTCTAAATTTTTCAAAAAGCCTCTTTTGCCAGTTTTACAAGCCAAGACTATTTTCCCCCAGGTCCTGAGGACAATTTCTTTGAAATGAAATCATCAAGAAAGATAGCACCCTTATCCCCTAGTCTCTGAGCAACTTCAGTGGCTACCTTGCTTCTGTTGGGAAGGCAGGACAGAGCTTGCTTTTCTTCTGGGTAAGTGCAATTAGCACATACAGACGGCCTAATATCTTCCCAACTCTGCTTTTAAAAATTCTGCCCTTTGTTTTAGCTGAGTTAACTTCAGACTATGTCATCTTCTTTCTCACTGCCTTGAATAAAGTTTTCCTTATCTATTTAATTTTGTCTTGTGCTATTTTTTATTTGACATTACCTAGTGTCATTTGGTTTTGTGACATGACAGTTTCAAAAAGAACTATAGGATGGAAAATACAGATGAATAATGCTAATTAGAAATAAGCTGTGTTAGAATAGGCTTCTCTTTGTTTTCTGCAAAATGGCCTTAAGTAGTATACATTCATACACCTTTCAACTCTAAAACTAGATACAGTAGCTTAAAAAGGTTGAACTAATAAGAAATTTTCTTTTCCTCACTATGACTGTACTATGAAAATTGTGTTCATTTAAATACTTCTGATTTAATGCATAATTACTGGTATTTTCCATGGATGTAAATCAAATATCTTGTACTAAAAATCAATAATAGCAGTTTTTAAAATAATTTTCTATTGATGGGATTCTGCTTCCAGAAAAAGACTTAGCCCACAATTTGAAACTTCATAGTAACATGAAAACAGTACACAATTACTGTAATTTAGAATTTAACTCACATTCAAATTGAAATGGGAAAAAAATAAATCCCTATATGAAATTGTTCTCACTGTCTGTGTTTTGAAGCATCTTTTCAAAATATAAAATCAACATTGCTATTCTAGTCACAGCAAAGCATTTTCCAAAATGTCATATTGAACTCATTACTGGGAGAATGACAAGGCTTTCTAATGTGATTGTTCTTTCCTCATAATAAAGGCAAAAATTGCCAGTGCTTGTGAACTAAAATAAGATGTGATTGGAGTTAGATGAATTAGTTCTTATGAATATGCATTTCAAATGGTTATATTTAAAAATATATGAGTGAGTATGCTTTAGTCTCCATTTCAACCTGTATTTAGACTACATTTTTATTTTGAATTCTTCATATTAACTTTCTTGAAATCCAAGCTACTGCAGAGTTTCATTTAAAGATATTTAGTAGACTACATTTTTACTTTGAATTGTTCATATTAACTTTCTTGAAATCTAAGCTACTGCAGAGTTAAATTTTAAAGAAAAGTTTGACACAAGGTTATAAATTAAATTTTTTTGGCCCTCTTTTTCCATCTTTGCTATTTACTTTTATCTTATTTGTACTTTTATCATATTTTATCATCATTTTTAATCATACTTTCAGCATATTCTCCATCATTCTGGATCATATTTCCTTGGCTCGTTTTTAGAATACAATGGTGATTTTCCCTTTGCTTTTAATGAAATGTTAGGTAGTAAAAAAAATTGATGGCTACTTCTGGAAACACACGAAGCATGTAAAACAGAACTCCACATATTTTAAAGTAAATTATAAGGGGCAATTTTCAGTATGATATGCCATCATATTTCAGCTGTGCCTGCAACTGTTATGCTAAATAACAATTTTTATCATAACACTCTATGCTATTAGCACGTATCAGAAGATTTAGGCAAATGATATAAAACATTTTTAAGTAGAAAGAACATTTGAAATAATACATGCATTTTAGTTTAGAAAGTTAAGTTTTCTTTCTATTTTTTTTTTTTTTTTTTTTTGAGACAGGGTCTTGCTCTGCTACTCAGGCTGGAGTGCCGTGGTGGAATCTCGACTTACTGCAACCTCCGCCTCCCGGGTTGTTCAAGCTATTCTCCTGCCTCAGCTTCTTGAGTAGCTGGGATTACAGGCGCCTGCCAGAACATCTGACAAATTTTTGTATTTTTTACTAGAGACGGGGTTTCACTGTATTGGCCAGGCTGGTCTCGAACTCCTGACCTCAAGTGATCCTCCTGTCTCAGCCTCCCAAGGTACTGGGATTACAGGCATGAGCCAGCACACCTGACTCCCTTAGATAGTTAAGTTTTCAAAGAAGCGTGTTTTTGCTCATAATTTTAGTTTATCTTCAATAGCTACTGAGTGAATAGTTACATTTCTTCCTCATCCCCACCTCTTTTTGAAATTACTTTTTTTTTGACTTTTTTCTTCACCACTCCACTGAAAATTACTTTGCTCTGGTCACTCAAATCAAATTTTTCACTTTTCTTGGCCTCTTTAGCGGCATTCCAAGTATTTGACCAACCTCTAATTTTTTAGATGTTTTTTGCATTTAGTTCTTCACTGTATAGGTCACAATTATTTCTCATAATTTACCACTTTATTCTAAGTTGCATCCCTTGTTGAACTATAATCTCATACCATAAATGAATGCTGAAGTTCCTGAGCATGTGGCCTTCATGCATTTTTTTCTTTTACTCTTCACTTTCTGCCTAGTCTGTCTGCTTCCAAGTATGGTCAACATTGAATCAACTAGGGAAAATTAAAAATATGAAAATTATTGAGCTACCTCTCCAAATAATTACTAGTAAAATGACAAACAATATAGACTCTCTCCCTAGCTCTTGGAGTGGATATGTAGACAGAAGTCCTGCCAGAGCAATGTGATAATCGAGGCTCTAGCTTTCAGACTTGCAGAAATGACTGGGGAAGTAAATTATACCCAGAATTTTCCTTGACTAAAGATAAACGCAAGTAAGAACTTCAAAACTACCAAGTCTTGGTATAATACAAGTTGCTGCCAAGAATTGCCAGTTTTATTTAATGAAAGAATAAGTTGGATCTGTGCTTTGTACGTATATAGGCATATAACATATGTCTATAGACCAAATCTGAGTTTTGCACATATGTAGGCAATTTTTCTCTAGCATAACAACTATTCATATATACATAGATTAATATATTTAAATATATGGACATATAAATGCATATATTTTGAATATTTATTTAAAGTATATTTATCAATGCACATATATGAATATTTCTTATGCTACAGATAGACATATATATGCAAAGATAGATTTATGTATTATAACGGAAATATGGAAGGCCAGAAAACAGTGAATAACATCATTAATTGTTGAATGCTGGAATTCTGTGCTCAACAAAAAAATTCTTCAAAAGTGAAATTGAAAGAAATAATTTTTAAATACATTAAAACTAAATTTAACACCAATCAGTCATTATGATAAAAATAATTGAAGAAATGCTTCAAGATAAAATATGATTCTGAATGTAAAATACCAAATGAAGAAAGGTGAACATACAGATGTTTAAATATGTATATAAATCTAAATATTGACTATTTAAAACAAATTTTAGCTCTTGAAATTTAACATTGATTAAATATAAGATTCATGAAAACAATAATCCATTTTTAATGTTTCTACTTTTTGAACCTTTGAAACTGAACATAGTAATAACACATATTTTAATGTCTTTCTTTGCAAACTGCAACATATGCCTCATTTCTCATTTAGTTTTGATTGAATGATTACCCTCATCGTTGTGAACCATTTTTTTTTCTGCCTCTTTGGATGCCTCATAATGTTTGATTGAATATCAGACATTGTCTATTACACATTTTCAGGTTCTGGATATTTCTATATTTCTATAAATAATTTTTGACCTTCTTCTAATGTATAGTTAAGTTACCTGGAAGCCATTTTGTTCTACTTGATATTGGTCTTATGATTTGTTATGTGGGTGTAGAGCAATTCTGAGTATTTCCTCCTACTCAGGCAAGATTTTATAGTTGTCTCTCCAGTTCCACATGAATTATGAATTTTTATAAGGTAACTGCTGGGAATAGGCCCTGTTCACGTTACACATTATCTGTGTAATGGAGCTACTGTCCCTTATAATATGTGTTTTTTTAACCTTAGTATTATAGACATTCTGATATGGGTAATTCTATATTGTGGGGAGAGTGGCAGTCCTGTACATTGCAGGATATTTAGTAGTATCACTGTCCCCTACAGACTAGATACCAGGAACATTTCCCCAGTAGTGTAAGTCAAAAATGTTTTCAGACATCGCAAAAGTTACCTGGTGGGGGTGGGAGAGAGTGGTGGTGAATATCCCCTGGTTGAGAATCCAGTACTCGAACTCTCCTCATCTCCCAGCCATGCATAGTTTTCTTACATGCATACATTGAAAACGATTCTGCTGAATTCTTGAAGGATCACCTCTGCAAATTTTTAGGGTTTTTTCCTCAGTGTAGCCCTCCCCTATCAGAATCAGAAAATTTTCTTTTGAACTCTAGTTGCCTTGCACTTCTCTAAATCTCAGCTCCATCTCTGCAACTTAAAAAGCCTATTGGACTCTCTCAGTTTCCTTTCCCTATCCCGCAGCCAAATAAACACAGAAAATTGTAAGATTCATCTCCCTCAACCAAATTTCTCAGATAATACTGTCCTTTGTTGTCCAATGATTAAGTTCTCAAAAAAGGATTGTATCAGGCATTTCGCTTGGTTGTTCTTGTTGCTTACAGGTCGGAAGGCAAATCTCATTCCATTACTCCACAGTGATTAGCAAAGGATGTTTCTCAACAAGTGGAAGAAAATATACAACATTAAAGAGTTCAGGGATCTATACATGAGTTGGAAATTTAAATTCTCAGGAGGGTCTGCAAAATCATAAATGCATGCTATCGTCTCTGGAGTAACTGTAGGAAGCCCAGCAATGGCCACCCAAAGATATCAGGTTCTATCTCTTTACCTATAAATGTTTCCTTACAAGGAAAAAGGATTTTTACATATGTGGTTAAGTATCTTGACATACAGTGATTATCTGGAGTTGCTGAAGTGGGCCCTGAATCCAATTAGAAGTGACTTTATAAGAGGAAGGCCGAGGGAGATTTTATGCACAAAACAAGAAGAGGTGCTATGTTCACAGAGGCAGAGATTGCAGTGATGCAGCCACAAATAAATAAACATCAACAGTCGCCAGAAGCTGGAAGAGGCAAGAAATAAATTCTCTAACGGGCCTTCAAGGATTAAGGTCCTGTTGGCACCTTGATTTTGAATCATGTGAAACTGCTCTGGCCTCCAGAGCTGTGAGAATAAATTTCTATTGTTTTTAAGCCATGACATTTGTTATAATTTGTTATGGCATCCACAGGAAACAAATAGAGAAACAAATAAACAATAATAAAAGTGTGAGTAACTCACAAATAAACAATTGATTGGCTGAAGAGAGAAAAAGTAACGAGAAAAAAATGTAAAACAAATAGTAAGATCAAGGATTGAAACCCAAATACATAAGCAGCCTGTTTTGGGGGCAAAACATGCATTATCACAATTTTGCCCCATGTTTAGTACTGGGAAGCCCCAGAAGAAAGCTACCGTGGAATGTCAACTTTTATTTTGCGCTTTTTTTTACTTTTCAATGTTGTCACCTCTAATCTTAGTTATCTCAGTAACCCTCTAATAATTACTGATTTTACATTCATATATATGTGTATATGTATATTTACACACACACACAGTTATGTATATTCACATGGGTGTATGTTGGTGCTGTTAATGCATTTTCAACATAAGCAGTCAGTTTTAAAACTATAAATATTATTATTAAAGAATATATATCTGAACTAAAAGTATTTAAATGAAAGTTGGATCATTATGCATTTTCTAAAGTTAATAATCTAAATAAATATATAGGATGATCATTAGTATACGAATATAATTTACCAAGATTAAGTCCTTCTCTTACTCAAGAGAGTAACTCACATTAACCCCATTACTTTTTTAAAGTTATTTTAAACAGGAATATCTTGAGTTAATGGAGACAAATAAAATGATTCAACAAGTCAGATAATGAACTGTTAGGCATACACAAAAATCAGAGTGTGGCAAGTTTCAAGATCATTTGTAGACTTTAGCCTTTGTTAAACAGAAACTTATGAATTTGAGATATGTTCTAAGCCAAAGGTAGTATGAGTTGTCAATAAATGTAATTAACAAGGTAATTAATAATAACTAGATTATAATAGACATCATATTGATATTAAGATACATAAAATATTTATACTTATATTATCCTAATATAAATGTCAGTCATATATTTATTAAAAGTCAACTTGTTAATTTTATGGCCTTTTAATACTCAGAAACAATCCATTGATAATGTTATTTAAATCTCAGTTTCACACTTTCAAGACCTACCTTTCAGAATATTATTGAAGACACAGTGAGACAAAGAGCTTGCCTTATTTTATTAGCTGTAATATGTGAAAATACAGAAATGATTGTCACCATATTTGAGAAGGATAGTTAAGTAGTAGGAAAATAGGGATTGAACTTTGAAAATTCATCTGATTAAAAAATAATAAACACTGAATCAACTAAATTATGTTCTCTACAAAATGTTGTACCGTAGTGTTCCAGATAGATTTATCCACTTTTCCTCATATGTTTTCTGACATTTATTTGTAGTTTTAAAATAAACTTATTGTTTAATATTGGATTTTCATTTATTTATATTTATTTTCCCAAACAGTTAATTGTTCAAGTCTATGGACTACATGACTTTAAAATATTTCTGTTCTAAAAGCTGAAATATTCTTTAACATGAAATCATAACTGTCAGACAAGTAAATTTTCTTTATTAACTTGAAATAATTTCTGCAGAATGGTTCATCATTTCATTAGATAATTTAATTTTTTTTCATGCAATAAACATGGTATGTCATTTGTCTTTTTTCCCTTCTATTGCAGAACAAAAATTTACATTTTTATCTACTGTGTTTGTTTCCTCATTGAATGAGGACAAAATATATTTATTTTTATATTTTCTAAAATTCTAAAATTGCATCCAGCATAAATACTGAAATATTATGTCATATAATAAAATATCCAGTTTTCACATTCCTATGTGAATGCTTTTTCTACTCTTGCTCTCAAGTAACATGGATGAATGAAAAGAAAATCATCAAGAATGTCAAATGATAATTTTGTCTCTTAAAGGCTTTCTCCAAATATAATCACACACTGAGCAACACTGTCCACAAAAAAATTTACATCATTTTCAGATTCAAACCAGGACAAGTGGCAAAGATATTACACAATTCTACTCATTTATATATAAAATAAGTTATACTTACGATTATTCACTATTTAAAATATTTTTTACAAATAAGTCAATGAAAATTGGTGTTAAGAATTCCTCCTAATGATAAAAGAAATGTGACCCATGAAGCACTTTCTTGATTCTAAAATGTTCAGATATGTAAGCATACATTTTCTTCATGTAAGGAAAACAATTACTTTTGTAGATGGTGAAACATGATACATGTTGAGTGGTGTTTTCAATATTGCAGTAGAATAATAGAAAGAACAGATGTTAAAAAAAAAAAGAAAAAAAACCAGGGCTAATGATGTAAAAATTCCAAGAATCATTCACGAGATAAATACAGCTCAGTATGCCTATGTTGTAGCTTGGCAGTGAGTTCAGAGCTTCCATTTTTCATTTAAAAATGCATTATAATGAGGATTTCTTTCAGCTCTATGAAAAATTCAACATTTTTCTAAAAATGAAGAAAAAATATCCAGTTCTGTTCACTTGATATCTGGGTTTTTATGTTTTTTTACTTCTCTCTTCTCTCTTATAGTATGTACAATTCAAATTGTGCTTTTAAAATCGATTATATTCTCAAGAAAATAATCTTTATTGAAATTTCTAGGTTTTAGTGAGTAATTTCCTAAGGCATCATTACTATCTTAAAAAATTCAAATTAATTACAGAATTATTCTTTTACTTTACTTTTTACAATTCTCTAAATATATTTAATGTGATTATGGGTGAGAGGCACTATCATAATGTCAATCTCTTTATATATCAGTGCTTTCACCTCTTTGGCATAACTTGTGAAATGCCATTTTAAAATGTGTACTATGTATTATTTATACTAGCTTGCATATATTTCAGACTGTACTTAACTGTGTTAAATGTTCAATGACTAGATAAGGTAGCAAGCTACAAATGAGAAAGACTTTGTTAATTCAAAATTTGTAGGAGTGTTAAAACTAGACAAGAAAAAAATATATATATATACATCTATGTTCAAAATTGTGATATTTCTGTTTTCAGATTATTTAAATATTTATCTTTATTTTGATATCTATAGGCATTCACTCAAAAAGAAGAATATATATATATATACCAAAAGTGATTATTTGAATTACTTAATATTTCAGTTTTCTCAGCCAGGAATTAAAACTACCTTTGCTTGAGACTTATGCCAAAGAATTCATGATTAGTTATGACACTAATATTAAGAATGATAAGGAGCTGAATATTAAGATGACAGTCTAAGTACACTTATTTTTCAAATCTCTTGTGGGAAGACCACTATAATTTTTCCTTTTTTAGTAAAAATTTTGACATTTTTAAACATAACTAATTATTTATATTTGTTTAATGTATCAATACCAAATATGAATTATCCACATCTCTTAGGACTTTAGCCAGAAAAGTGATTAACACAATATAGGTGGTACCAATTAGTCCTAAAAATTCAAAATTCTATGAGGTAGAAATTTAGGGTTATAGTAGTATCCCAATTTCACATATAAAAAAATGAGAGTTTGAAATTGTGACTTGGGCAAGGTCAGACCACTGTTTACTGACGTATTACTCAGGGTTCTCTAGAGAGACAGAACTAATAGGATACATATGTGTGTGTGTGTGTGTGTGTGTATATACACACACACATATAGTGTATATGTGTGTGTGTATATATGTGTGTGTGTATGTATACATAGAAGAGTTTATTAAGTATTAGTGCACATGAACACAAGCTCCCACAATAGGCCACCTGTAAGCTAAGGAGCAAGAAAAGCCAGTCCAAGTCCCAAAACTTGGAGTCTGTTGTTCGAGGTCAGGAAGCATCAAGCATGGGAGAAAGATGTAGGCTGGGAGACTAGGCCAGTCTAGTCTTTTTACATTTTTTTTTTCTTTCTCCTTTATATCCTAGCCTCCTTGGCAGCTGATTAGATGGTGCCCACCCAGATTAAGGGTGGGTCTGCCTTTCCCAGCCTATTGATTAAATGTTAATCTCCTTTGGCAACACCCTCACAGATATACCCAGGGTCAATACGTTGCATGCTTCAATCCAATCAAGTTGACACTCAGTATTAACCATCATAAGTTCACCCATTATAAGTTGACCCATACACATCTCCTGAGATTATACATAATCTTCAAATAAATACAAGATTATGGTCCTAATTATACCTAACATAATACAACTATCCTTCACACAACCAGAAAAGGATACACAAAAAATTGTGACTCCAATCCCCAACTCAAATGCTATTGCATAAAGTTATCAGTACTTAAATGCAGATAGGAAGTCAAAAAATCTTATGTCCCACGATAAAGGAGAAAGGAAATAAAATGAAGATATTTTCTTAGTACAAGTGTATACATGCACAAACGTGTTTTTAACAAAAGAAGGAGGAAATACTTATGACAATTACAGTCCTCATTTCTGCAGGTGACCACGTGGTAAAAACTGGTATTGATGACTACCTTCTTCTTTCTACTACACCTTCTGTGTTCTCTTTGCCTTCAGCAAGTACCTCAGCAGGTCATGTTTTTGTTTTGCTTTGTTTTTCCTGGTGCAGCGATCCAAACCTTCATTTCTGAAGGGTCTAGGTCATTTGTAGTCCTGCCTGGATTGGGTGGTTGTAGTTTCCCATTGACCTTAATCACAGGGCATGGTAATAATAAGAGGTGCCCTAATGGATCTCATGTATTCCGTGCATACCATTCCTTACTTCCATTGTGGAGCAGTAGATTGATTTCATCTCGATAGTCTGGGCCAATCACCCCAGCCAACACTGTAAATCCCTGCTTAGCCCGTTGACTTAAATGTAGGAGGATCCAAAAGTGTCCAGGTGTCAATCTTAACTTTCAGTTTAGTGGAATTGTAGTTGTGTCTCCTGGTGGCAGCATTCCTTTCTCCGGAACTAAGGCCTCTAGGCCAGCAGAATGGAATGCCGCAGGATCAGGAAGCAAAAATTTTGGTGGTGGATCATTAGGAGTGATGGTGAGTTGTGCCACTTCCACTTCCACCCCTTGATTCCTGGACCCATGAATCCTGGCTACAGGAGAAACAGTACCATATATTGGATGCTGATTCAGAGCATACACGGCCTTCTGGAGAACTTTGCCTCAGCGCTGCAAAGCATTTTCACCTAGTTGGCATTGTAATTGTGACTTCAAAAAGCCTCCCACCATTCTATCAATCCAGCTGCTTCAGGATGATGGAGAACATGGTAAGACCAGTGAATTCCCTGAGTTTAAGCATGAGCCCACTGCCGCACTTCTTTAGCCAATGAAAGGTTGCCTTTTCATTCTATTGATTGTTTCTTTTGCTGTGCAGAAGCATCTTAGTTTGATGTAATACTACTTGTATGTTTTGATTTTGTTGCCTGTACTTTTGGGTTATATCCAGAGAAATCTTGGTAAAGACCAATGTCAAGCTTTTTCTCTGTTTTCTCTTTTTTTTTTTCTAATAGTTTTAGAATTCAGGTCTTATGTTTAAGTCTTGAATCCATTTTGAGTTGATTTTTGCATATGGTGTGAAATAAGGGTCCACTTTCATTCTTTTGCACGTAGATATCCAATTTCACCAAAACCATTTATTGAAAAAACTATCTTTTTCCCATTGTGCGTTCTTGTCATGTCACCTTTGTCGAGTATCGATTAACGATAAATTTGTTGGCATATTCTCGGGCTTTCTATTTTGTTTAATTTACCTATGTCTGTTTTTGTGCAGCACCAGGCTCTTGATTATTATCAAATTATAGTAGATTTAAGATCAGGTGGAATTATGCCTTCAGTTTTGTTTCTTTATGCAAAGATGCGACATTGTTTCTGATGACAGGTGACAAGATTTTTCATATAGAAAACCTTAGACCCTAACAATTAACTGTTAGAGTAAGTGAATTCAGTAAAGCGTTAGGATATAAAATCAATACACAGAAATAAGAAAATAAGTAGCATTTTTTACACCAAAAACAAACTGCCCCCAAAAAATCAAGAAAAAAACCTCATACCATAGCTACAAACAACAACAACAACAACAACAACAACGACAACAACAAAAAACTTAGGAATAAACTTAACCAGTGAGGTGAATGGCCTATGTACTGAAAACTATAAAATATTGATGAAAAGAATTGAAGTTGATAAAAATAAATGGAAAGATACACTGTGTTCATGGACTGGAAGAATTAATATTACTAAAATGCCTATACTAGTCAAGCAATCTACAAAATTCCAGTGTTAATTTTCACAGACATAGATAAATAAATTCAAAAATCTGTGTAGAACCAGTGAAGACCCTGAATAGTCAATGGAGACTTGGGAAAAAAAAGCTGTTAAAGGTCTTTTTGCTCATTTGCTTTCATCTAGTGTAAAAGAAACAAAAAGAACAATTAAAATTTTCATTGTTACATATACTACTATTGATACAGTTTGAATACTGAAATTATTGCACCCTTCGAAAATATACAATTAAAATTTTGAAAAATTATTGGGCCCAAACAAAACAACAACAAATTGCAGCCCATGGAAGTCAATGTAAAGAAATTTTACATTTCTGTCATCTTAAGTCGATACCAGATTGTTTCTGCGCATAAGGGCAGAGCAAGTTGGGACATTATTGATCATTTAATGTATATCTTAGCTCAATTTATGTTTTATTGTATTTTAAACTTTTGTTTTTAGTAGATTTTATCATCTCTTTTTAAAAAATTTGGCATGTAGTCTCCTTTTTTATCCTATTTTCTTAGTTTTTAAGTTGTTTCTTACCTTTTGCTTACTGCAAATATAAATTAAATTTTAGCTTCACTCTATTTTTCATTTGGTTTTAGTCATTTACTTCAAATATTTTAATTTGTTTTTATCATTCTCTTACAAGCTAAGCTATATGTTTATGTGGGTGTTCTGTACAATCAATAAAAAATACTTTTTTCCATCGTGTTAATTTTTTAAGTAAAGTTTCTCTTTCCTATTTATTGAGTTTAAATCTGTTAGAACTACTAGCCCAGTGCACCAACACATTAATGTGGCCTTTCCCCTAAGATAGTGGCAAGTCTGCTGGTGTGTTTCAACAGCTCGTTTCTAAAGTTAGAACTCTGCTTTACCTTTATCTACTTTCTTACCAAATACATCTGCAGATTAACTGAAAGCAGAAATTGAAGTTATTTCATTCCAAACTAAGCTGAAAAAGAAAGAAAGAAAGAAAAAAAGAAAGAAAGAAAGAAAGGAAAGAAGGAAGGAAGGAAGGAAGAAAGACCTGCTACTCCCTCTTTGACCTTATTTCCTATTATTTATTTCCCGTCCTCTCCATTGCAGAGACACTGGCCTCCATGCTGCTTCTACAAAACACCTTGGACATTTCCACCTCTGGGCACCTGTACTCACCTTTTTAAAAAAATATTCTTTCTCTACATATGCACATGGTTGTCTATCCCACTCTTTTCAGATTTCTACTCAAAGTTATCTCTCAAAGATATTTCCCTTGGTCAGTCTTTGGAAATGTACCAGCACATAAATTCTTTTTTTTTTTCTGTATCAAACTACATATATGTTTTATTAATAGAGAGTTTAATAGAATCATGGGTCTGAATAGCACATATTAGAAGACTTGAATTTTAGTACAGTCATAATAAGTAATTATTATTATTATTTTTTATTATTATTATACTTTAAGTTTTAGGGTCATGTGCACAATGTGCAGGTTAGTTACATATGTATACATGTGCCATGCTATTAATTTTAAATGTAAATGGACTAAATGCTCCAATTAAAAGACACAGACTGACAAATTGGATAAAGAGTCAAGACCCATCAGTCTGCTGTATTCAGGAAACCCATCTCATGTGCAGAGACACACACAGGCTCAAAATAAAAGGATTGAGGAAGATCTACCAAGCAAATGGAAAACAAAAAAGGGCAGGGGTTGCTATCCTAGTCTCTGAGAAAACAGACTTTAAACCAACAAAGATCAAAAGAGACAAAGAAGGCCATTACATAATGGTAAAGGGATCAATTCAACAAGAAGAGCTAACTATCCTAAATATATATGCACCCAATACAAGAGCACCCAGATTCATAAAGCAAGTCCTGAGTGACCTACAAAGAGACTTAGACTCCCACACATTAATAATGGGAGACTTTAACACCCCACTGTCAACATTAGACAGATCAACGAGACAGAAAGTCAACAAGGATAACCAGGAATTCAACTCAGCTCTGCACCAAGCGGACCTAATAGACGTCTACAGAACTCTCTACCCCAAATCAACAGAATATACATTTTTTTCAGCACCACACCACACCTATTCCAAAATTGACCACATAGTTGGAAGTAAAGCTCTCCTCAGCAAATGTAAAAGAACAGAAATTATAACAAACTATCTTTCAGACCACAGTGCAATCAAACTAGAACTCAGGATTAAGAATCTCACTCAAAACCGCTCAACGACATGGAAACTGAACAACCTGCTCCTGAATGACTACTGGGTACATAACGAAATGAAGGCAGAAATAAAGATGTTCTTTGAAACCAACGAGAACAAAGACACAACATACCAGAATCTCTGGGACGCATTCAAAGCAGTGTGTAGAGGGAAATTTATAACACTAAATGCCCACAAGAGAAAGCAGGAAAGATCCAAAATTGACACCCTAACATCACAATTAAAAGAACTAGAAAAGCAAGAGCAAACACATTCAAAAGCTAGAAGAAGGCAAGAAATAACTAAAATCAGAGCAGAACTGAAGGAAATAGAGACACAAAAAACCCTTCAAAAAATTAATGAATCCAGGAGCTGGTTTTTTGAAAGAATCAACCAGCACACAAATTCTTATCTATTTCCTTAATTTCTTCTACTTTGCACAAGGTTTTATTTTATTCATAGCCCTAGTTCTAGCTTCTAGAACGTTGTTGCACATAGTAAGCACTCAATATATATCCATGAATGGGTCAATAAATGATTGAAATGATCTCTATGCAAGTAACTTAATCTAGAAAGCCCCAGACATCCTTATCATAATTAGTAATTCAGCATCTTAGCTCCAGAAAGATGGACTCTTATACACAATAGTATGGTCATGTAGTGACTTCACATTCCTGAAATAATAAACTGGAAAGGTAAATGCTTTAATTTTCTGTAAGAAATTAGCTCTCTGGAAATC
The DNA here is from genome assembly GCF_000001405.40 of Homo sapiens. Lineage (NCBI taxonomy): Eukaryota > Metazoa > Chordata > Mammalia > Primates > Hominidae > Homo > Homo sapiens. Next base: position 188,519,210 of record NC_000001.11, on the reverse strand, counting down.
AGTTCTCAAATCTTATACTTCACTGGAATAGTAAAAAATGGGGTTATTAAATAAGGTGGATTTGAAAACCAAATAAATTTTATTTAAGAAAAAAATTATGTTTGTTACTTTCTAGCTTATGATAAATTATAGATAAACATGTAAAGTATTGCACTATATGCCTAAATTTTAAAGTTTTATGTTCAATTTGTATACTATGCTTTGTTTCATGTATTTAGTTTGTATTACTTGAATAAATTTCTTTTGAAAATAGATTATTTAAATATAACACGAATATTTATATAACAGGTAAATAATGCTTTAAGTAAGGTTTTTAAAGGAAACACGGTTATTTTCCTTTATTTTAAATTAGGATTTTATCTGATTCTGTAAGACAGTTAATGTTTATTTTATTTCCAATGTGAGTAATTATTTTCTGTATTTCCAGGCCAACATTTTGTGGTGGTGCTGGGCTGAGAGCAGCCTTCCCTTCTCTGTACTGTCACCTGTTTGGTAGATTATCACCAAGGAGTATAACATGTCTATTTTGTTTCAGTTTAAGCACAGTGAACTTTTGTTAGGTCAAGGTACACCGCTTAGGTTAATTCCCCTGAGTATAGTTGTTTCTTAGAAATAAATATTATATGTTTTGTTTAAAGCTAGTACCTCTGGGTATTTGTGCTTTGGGCAGTTCAGCACTTAAGTGGATAAAGTTGCGCATTGGAATCTAACTTATTCCTTTGTTCTACCGTGGTTGAAGGTCCCTACTATTATATGCTTCTTATTTTTGTTGTGATTAATATTTTCCCAAACTGTTACATACTGATACCTTTCTAAACTACAATAAATGAACACATATACACCATGGAATACTATGCAGCCATAAAAAATGATGAGTTCATGTCCTTTGTAGGGACATGGATGAAATTGGAAACCATCATTCTCAGTAAACTATCGCAAGAACAAAAAACCAAACACCGCATATTCTCACTCATAGGTGGGAATTGAACAATGAGATCACATGGACACAGGAAGGGGAATATCACACTCTGGGGACTGTGGTGGGGTCGGGGGAGGGGGGAGGGATAGCACTGGGAGATATACCTAATGCTAGATGACACGTTAGTGGGTGCAGCGCACCAGCATGGCACATGTATACATATGTAACTAACCTGCACAATGTGCACATGTACCCTAAAACTTAAAGTATAATAAAAAAAAAAAGAAAATAGAATAAGTATGTAAAAAACACAAGTTTTTTAAAAATATTAGATTCAATGGACAGGAATTTACTCTATTGAGTCATAACAACATTTGTAAAATATTTTCTCAATGTTTAAAATTATTGTATCGCAGACAAATTATAAACAATTTATGGGCTGGCATTAGTTACCAAAACCAATTTTAGTAGCACTAATTTAGTGACAACTGAACTGGGAATCATGTTTTCCACCAGAAGAAGAAAATACTATTTAAAAAATATATAGTTAGACAGTTGATCATATTTACAATGTTGTACATATTACAACCTTTATTGTCTAACTCACTGAAGACAATTGGCATGGTCTAATGATATACTGAGTGTTTTGAAGGACTGATGTGGCTAAGACAATGGTCTGGGATTGGCAATAAGGGTTAAGGAATGTAGCTGCCTGATTGCAAGCTCATTCCCATGTAAGAGTGGTGGGGACGCGGAAAACAAAACAAAATACAGCCACTTGGGAGGTCTTCACCAAAAGCAATATTCTCAAGAGAGATTTGGATTTCAGTTAGTGGCAGCAGTTGAAAGGAACAGTGAGAAAAAAGGTTAAGATATAGTACATTTTAATCATATTGGCATTGAGTATAATTGAACTTGAAACAGGACGCATGTAGCAGATTAGGAATGTGCAGAGCTACTTAGGAAGGGGACTGATGGGCAATGAGTAATATCTTGGCAGTTTTGTATTTCTTGTGGTAGTTGATAGAACAAGGATGGAAGTGATGATGGGATCTGTCTTGATTGTTTCTTAGGCAGACTGGGGTATTTGTGGCTGAGAGTGTTTGCCTATTTGCAAGTAGAGTGATACACATAGTGAGTGCTCTTTTCCCCTCTCCTCAGGAGAAGCCATGTAGCAAGGGACACACAGAGTTCAGTAATCTCATTCTCACTCCTGCTGATGGTGTCTAAGAGATGAAAAAAATATTCCTGGGATCATCATGAGCTTTGGATGCTCTTCACTCCTGCCTATGCACTGAGACAGAAAAGGCAGACTTGCCACATACAGTTTCATAGATATAGTACTTCTTATACTTTTACTTTTCTGTTGATCCTGTATATTAATTTTACTTACTGGTAGTAACATATTAGCAGTTTGAACTCTTTTAAAGCTTTGGTTATGTATTTAATAATGTTGATGCTCACTAACAGAGAGAATCAGCATTTTGCCTAGCAAACTTTTCACAAAAAGTTAAAATGTTAAAAGCGTGATGTAGATCTAGAAGAAAATGGTACCAGGAATCATTATTTACCTAGAGTTTTTGTTTCTCCTCCTTCTTCTTTTCGTCTCCTCCTCTTCCTCTTTATCTTGACCATGTGCAATACAAAGTTAATTAGAGAATTATATAATTACATTTGTTATTGTTAGAACATGATTCTAATGAGAACATTAGTGTTTTGAAGGAAACAAATGAAAGAAATCACCATAGAAAACACAAAATACAGAAGTTTTTTGTACAGTGGAAACGGTAATAGAGACTGAAGTTTGGGTGTGGTACCTGAATACTACCATTCAACACTTGTATTCTAAATGTTAGAGTCTTCATTCATAAAAACTGAAAGCACAGACTCATTATTCCTGATGATAAGCAAATCCAAGAGTTTAAGATGAGTGTACACTATCTTTCCTGAATAAACTCAAATATCTGAAAATAAAAGGTTAATTGGATTTTTAATAGCTTACCAATAAAATTAGTTTTTCCTACTATTCCATCACAAAAACAATGAAATGGTCAAAAGAGAAATGAAAAATATTTATGAAAATTACACTACTTTCCTATTGTGAAAAGCAATGCAAGTCTCGTGTCTGTGATTATAAGGGGAAAAAAAAATGAGATACCACACCATTAAAAGTTAATGGTCATTTGAAGAAAGTGAGAAATATGAAGTACAAATTTGGGCTGAACCCAAATGACTATGGCTTGCTTATATATATCTAACAATTTACAGAAGCAGCCCAGAAAACTCCAGTTGCTTTCTCAGAGTCTCTAAAGGAGTTAATGCTAATGGAAGGACTACATATTTGGTTTATTGCATGGCATTTTCAATCCACTTGAATTTCCCTTGATACGAGGCTGCATACAGCTGGTAGAATGCTAAAATTAATATAACTAATAACAAACTTTAAGTAAGTGTTTGCTATGTGCAAGCACTTTCAATGGATAATGTAATTTAATTTAATCACCACATCAACCCAATTTGATTAGGATTACACAGCTAGTAAGTTGAAGAGCTGCTATACCATCCTAGGGACTCTTATTCCACAAGCTGCTTTGCACCAGTGTTTCCCAGGTCAGAATGACACAGTGTGTGTGTCAAACCAGATGGTATAGGTCCTGGTGTAAATTGTACTCACTTCTCATTTTATAAGGTTGCTAACTTTATAAACTTAATTCATTTCAAAGTAGGTTAAATTATTTGACCATGGCCTTTTGTGGCATATTTCAGCTACATAAACATGCTAAAAGGCAAATAATGAAACAAATTCAACGTGAGTTTATCTAAGATTTGTTCTTGAAATCCTGCTGTGGGCTTCATAGATGAAAAATGGTTGAACTAATATGAAACCTGTAATGGTTTAAATATACATCTAAAATTTTCTATAATCATGGGGTCAAGCATAATGCTCACAATTATATAAAAATGCTTTTCATAATTTCAAAATCATTGAAGGATCATATACACTGTGACAATCTCAATCAAAGTTAACTTACTGGTAATGTGCTTTTAGCAAAACAATGAGAGGCCCCTGGGGACACAAAGGACACCAATCTGAAGGATTCCTGGAATAGGCATATCCGCATTAGGTTTGGCAGGGTATGCACAGCGGGCGGTTATTTTCAAAGCCAAATCAAGCAGAAATAAATTGAGTGTAAACCCTGGACTGCACATATTCCAGATCAGCTACTACTATTTGAATAGGCTGTTGAATAAAGGGTTTTTAAAAAGTTATTCCTGTGGTTAGCTAATTTTAAAAATACCTCTCATCCATTAACTTTATATGGGGCAGGAAGCCAGAATGTACAATGAGTGTAAAGAGAGGGAAATTGAAGTATGTCATTTATTAAATAACTACTGGAAATCTATTTTCCATTGTATTTTGTAATTCTACCTGAATATCAGTACCATTTTTCATCTTTTTTTAAAGAAAAGGGCCCACAAACGTGGAAAAAATGCTAAAACAATCTGTTCTTATACCTTATAAATTCTCAATAGAAAGCTTGTTTGGTTGGTTTCTTACAAGGATTTTTTTCCCCATATCTTCTTTTTCCTCAAGGAAAAGTTACTTTTTTTTCTTTAATGGTAATCTCTCTCTCTCTCTCTCTCTCTCTTTTTCCTTTCTCTTTTAGTTTTTTGCCAACATATCAATAATATTTTAAAATATTTTATAACCAATTGTTTATCTATAGTATTGTGATCTGTAAACCACTTTCTTAATCTTATTATTATATTCTCTTAAGTAGAATGTGAAAATTTTCTCTTAAGTGGAAGATGAAAATTTTTATCACACAACTTTTATTGGGGATTTTCAAATTTCAAGTTTTTGGCATAAATTTTTCTTGTTCTCAACTTTCAACTAGTTGGGGGAGATAGAGCATGAACACATATAACTGGAAGATACTATATTTAATCTATGTTACTTTTAAAAAACTAATGTTATTTTAAAGAAAATTTAAATTTGTTATACTAAATGAGAGTTAAAGGTACAAAAAGATGACATTCAATATCAGAGGAAATTAAATCTTTAAAGTAGAACAGGAAACAAACAACAGATACCAGTGGAGTATATGCTTTCATTTATTCAACAAACATTTAATTGAATATGTAACATATGCCACACTCTATTCAAGGTTCTAGGAAAATACCTAACTGTCAAAAAGACATAGTCTCTGCAGTTGTGAGATGTAAAAGCTGTTGAGACTCAATGACATGAGAAATATGAATATAAATTAGAGAAGGGAGAACAAGGAAAAGTACACACATGGGAAGGCAAATACATTATTTAGAGCATAACAATAATATAAAGTTATGGTGCACTTCCTAACTTGGACATAATGTGATTGATCAGAAAAAAGATTTGAGAGAGCACAGTCTGTCAAATAAGTTAAGAACAAGCTTAAATCCTGGTTTGTTCTGTTGACAATAAGGAAATATTGATAGTTTCTCAACACGGCAGTGACATATCAAATAAGTTTAAAGGAAAAATGTTGGTCTAGGATAGGTTTTTCATAAGAACCAACTTAATCCTCATACAAACACTGTATTGCATTTTAAGCATGAGTAAAGAAACAGCAAAAATAAAATTTTCTTAAAGAGATAGTGTAGAGATTCAGATCCAGATTTATGTGAATAAAATATTCATGGATAGGGATGGCAAATAAACATAAGTAAAGATGCTTAATTGGGGACATGTAAATAAAACCACAATGTGATACCACTATGTACTCATGAGAATGGCCAAAAAAGTGAGAAGGCAGGAGGGAGGGGAATAAATAAAAACACTGTAAAAGGTAATTGCTGGGGAAATTTTGAAGCATGTGGAAGTCTCATGCAATGCTGGTGGCAATGCAAAATAGAACAGCCCCTTTGAAAAAGGGCTTGGTGGTTTCTTGTGAAATTAAATGTGCTCTTAGCATGTGATCCAACAGTCCAATACTCCTGGTATTAGCCAAGAAAAATATGCCTACATAAAAACTTGTAAGTCAATTATTATTGACAGATTATTCATAATTGCCAAAAACTAAAAACAAATTCACTGTGGTAATTATTTTTGTGTGTGTGTTGGCGGGGTGGTGTTTGGGGACAGAGTTTTGCTCTTGTTGCCAAGGCTGGAGTGCAGTGGCTCAATCTCGGCTTACTGCAATCTCTGCCTCCCAGCTTCAAGCGATTCTCCTGCCTCAGCCTCCTGAGTAGATGAGATTACAGGCAGCCTGCCACCACGCCTGACTCATTTTTGTATTTTTAGTAGAGATGGGGTTTCACCATGTTGGTCAGGCTAGTCTTGAACTCCTGGCCTCCAGCAATCTGCCCGCATTGGTCTCCCAAAGTGCTGGGATTACAGGTATGAGCCACTGTGCCCGGCCATATATGGTAACTCTTATAATAAAATACTACTGAGCAATGAGAAAGAATGAAATACTGAGATATTAAAAAAGAGGTGGGAACTAAAATACATCATGTTAAGTTAACAAACTAGGCATATAAGGCTATATATCCTGTGATTTCATTTATATGACATTCTGGTAAAAGCAAAAGCATAAGAACTGACATCAAAATAGTGGTTTCCAAGGGCTGGGATGGTAAAAGGGGATTGATTATACAGGGGCACATGTTTTTTTTTTTTTTTGATGTTGAGTCTATCTTCATTTTAGATGGAGGTTGCATGACTGGATACACTCGTCAAAGTTCATAGACTTGTACATATGAAGGGATAAAATTTATGGCATCTAAATAATGACTCGATAAGAAACAAGTAAAAATCCATGGACATGCCTTGCAGAGTGATGGATAATGACGATGTGCTCTTTGGGGTAAGAACCCTAGCTATTAATATCTATAGGCGTTTGGGAATGAGGTTTAAGTATGACTTTCATTTTCTACAGCTTAAGCTCATAGTTTAACCTCTATAGGCTTTAGTTTCCTCATCTATGAGATAAGAATTCAAGTGTTCCTTCATTCATCAAATATTCATTAAGTGCTTATTATTTTGAGGCATACACTTTTAGATTGAAAATAGATTAGTGAAAAAAAAAAGACTAAATCTCCAATTGTTGACCCTCTTGGAACGTTCATTATATTGAGGACAAATAGAAACTAAAATAGTAGTAAGAGTACTTAATCCATAGAATTGTTATTAAGGCTAATTATTATTATATATTTAAGTTAAGAAAGATATATATACATAGCACATAGTAATATAGATATTTAGTAGTAATATAGATATATACATAGTAAAATAAATATGAATATGTGTAACACATAGTATAAATATATATTGCTATTTTGTAAATAGCTTTATTACTTGCTCAAGGATGAATATTCAATGTCATGCCTAAGCAGATGCTTGGCTGCCATCATTCTGTGAGGCAGTGATAGAAAGTCCTGAGCAGGGTGTTGGGGCAGAAGGGAGGAGTCTCACTTAGAATGAAGGTCATCTCTCCTGTCTTCAGTAGCTAACTTTCCTAATGCCTTTGCTTCTGAGTAATGTTGACAAAAATAAGTGTAACACTTTAAGATATTTGAAGAGATGTATTCTGGGTCAAATGTGAGGACCATGACCTGTTACACAACTTCAGGAGGTCCTGAGAACATGTGCCCAAGGTGGTTGGGTTACAGCTTCGTTTTGTATATTTTAGGGGGACATAAGACATCAATCAGGTTGGGCACCATGGCTCATGACTGTAATCTCAGCTCTTTGGGAGGCCGAGGCAGGTGGATCACCTGAGGTCAGGAGTTCGAGAACAGCCTGGCCAACATAGCAAAACCCCATCTCTACTAAAAATACAAAATTAGCCAGGTGTGGTGGCAGACGCCTGTAATCCCAACTACTTGGGAGGCTGAGGCAGGAAAATTGCTTGAACCCGGGGGGCAAAGGTTGCAGTGAGCCAAGGTCGCGCCACCGCACTCCAGCCTGGGCGACAAGAGTGAAAGAGTGAGACTCCATCTTAAAAAAAAAATAATCAATACATGTGAGGTATACATTGGTTCAGTCTAGAAAAGCGGGACAACTGGAAGTGAGAGCTTACAGGTCATAGGTGTATTCAAATATTTTCTGATTGCCAGTTCGTTGAAAGAGTTATTATTTAAAAACCTGGAATCAATAGGATAAGGGGTTGTGGAGCCTGAAATTTTTATTAAGTAGATGAAGTCTCATAGGTGACAGCCCTTAGAGATAATATGGCAAATGTTTCTTACTCGGGACTTTAAAAGGAAGATAATATAATGGGGCATATCCAACTCCCAACTTCCCACCATGAGCTGAACTAGTTTTTCAAGTTTCTTTGGAATCTTCTTGGCCATCAGAAGGGGTCCATTTAGTCAATCAGTTGTGGAGTTTAGATTTTATTTTTGGTTTATACTACAAACTTCTGATTTAATGCCTGCAAGTCTTCTGATAGGATAAAATGTCATCATGTTGTGGAAGTGCAGGTGAGGGTGAGAGTCAAACAATGTCACAGCTTTTTAAATATATATGTATATCATTATTATTACTTTTGATTGGCATGTTATAGCTCTTTTCACAGGCTTTAGAGCTGTCATCCTATTTTCAGCTTCACATATCTTTCTCCTTCCACACCAATTCTTGAAATCTTTCTAACTTCTGTGATGTGAACTGATGTTTTCTCAGGGCCGTTCATTGTTTTCACTGACCTGTTAGTAACTTTTGTTGCTTCTGTCCCCTTTGCTTTCTTGCAAGTTTATGCTCTTTTCTCTCTTTACTGTCATTTAAGTGAGGTTTTAAAAGTAAGTTTGTTTGCTAGACCTGCCATAACAAAGTACCATGGGCTACATGGCTTAAACAACAGAAATTTATTTTCTCACAATTCTGGAAGTTAGAATTCTAAGAGAAAAGTAAGAGCAGGGTTGCTTTCTTCTGAGACCCCTCTACTTGGCTTACATAGGGTCGTCTTCTCCTTGTATCTACACAAGGTCTTCCCTCTGTGTGTGTGTGTGTTTATACTAATCTCTTCTTATAAGCACGTCGGTCACATTGAATTAAGGCCTACTAATGACCTTATCCTAACTTGATTACTTCTTTAGAGACTCTGTATCAGAGTATAATCACATTCTGACATAACAGAAGTTACGACTTCAGCATATGGATATCGAGGGGGCATAATTCATCTCATCACAGGAGGTATTTGAAGGTAGCTATGTCTATTATAAAGAATGCTCTTAGGCATTTTGCATTTTATATACTACCAGCTATAAGTAAATTAAAAAATGAACAGGTCGTTTCACACTGATTGGGTATAAATATCCAGAGATTATCTTCAAAAATTGTTAAATTGGATTTGTCATTGGATCTAAATATACCTATGATTCTTATGAACTAAGACATTTGTAGTAATTTTTAACCATGAAATCTAAATCTGAATGATCTATATTTGAAAAACTTCTCTGGAGTCATATAGATAACTGAGTTATGAAAAAATATATATATATATATAAAATACGTATTCATTAAGTGAATAAGTGAATAAAAAACTTAAGCTGTGCACTTTGGGGCTACAAATTCTGCCTGGATTTTACTTAAGCATGCAAATTAATCCACAATCAATTACAACTTTGTTTCCTTCTCTGCTCAAGACCCCTTTGAAATGACAAAATGGCAATGTTTAAAGAGACAAAGACTACAGGACGATATACATCGATAGGAGATATTCTAGCTATTTATTTGGATTCCTAAAAGAGAGGATATGTGCCAGGGTCATTTTTCTCCCCTAGAGAAACTAAATATTTGAATGAAAAATCCTAATGGGTATGAGATTTGTGTATCTTAACAAAATGCTGCCAATAAAATGCTGCCAATCTTAACAGTATGATCCCATATCATACTAGATCAGTAGTTCTCACCTAGGAACAATGTTGCCCCTGGGAGATATTTGGCAAAGTCTATTTTTTTTAATATGCTGACAACTGAGGAAATGAATGCTACAGGGATCTAGTGGGTAGAAGCTAGTGATGGTGCTAAATATCTACAATACACAGGACAGCTTCCTGCAACAAAGTATTAACTGATTCTAAATGCCAATATTGCTGCTGCTGGGAAATCCTATGTTAGATAAAACTTACCATTTTACACAAACTTTAAATCAGCTTTTAGCGCCTCATTATTAAATATTAATTTGGTGCTTGAAGACAAGGCATGTTATATAACTGGGATAAAAAACAATTTTTAATCCAGAAGGAAAATAATAACACCAAGCGTTATTGTCTAAGTGAGAGTGGGAGTGATTAGTAGTGCTCCCTTCCCTGCTGATAAAACTTAAGAAATAACTCTGAGAGTTGACAAATAAGCAATTAATTTTTTACCTCTCTTAATAGCTGATAAAGGTATTTCTGAGAAATTCAACTTAGATATTAGGTAAATGTGTTTCCTAGTACAAAATCTAGGAATAACCCAGATATGGGAATGTGGACCAGTGTTATATATAATCCTCTTCATTCCTGTCTCTAAGGGACAAACCTTGTAAGTGGAATACAGCAGCATGTGTGACCTAGAGAAGTCACTTGATTCCAAGACACAAATACACATATACAAAGGCACAGAGGTATACATGCTTATTTCCTCCTCCAAAACTCACCAGTGGATGAGTTACTCCACTTGCTCTGTCTTATAATGTTAGAGGGCCAGTGAAAAAATTCATGTAGGTTACGTTATATATTTTCTTCTATACCAAAGAAATGATGAAGAGTGAGGAATCGGCATTCTCCCAAACATAAAAACAAGAAGAAAACACATAAGAAAATATAAGATGCTTTTAGAGAAATTAGAAGATTATAATATTAAAAAATAACATAAAAAGAAACACATGAGAAGAAAAGTTATTAGAAATTGTACATACAATACATAAATAAAAACAATAATTTGAAGGATTAAAAGATAGAATTAAAGGAATACCAGGTGAAATAAAGAGGAAAAAAAAAAACCAAAGATACAGAACATAAGAGACTTAACATAAGAAAACTGGGCTGAATCTAGGTAATTGTTAACTACACCAGGAAGAGACAATAAGAAAAATCTGAAGAGAAGAAGTAATCAAAGCCATGAGGCAAGAAATCTCAGAATAGCATGTATCTCCAATTAAAAGCTTCACCAAGGAAGGATGGTTAATTACAAAAATCAACACATTTTAGAAAGCTTTATTTTGACATTTTAGAATTTCAAGAATAAAGGGGAAATTCTACTATGTATCAAAATTGAAAAAGTTATAAAATATACTATATGAAGATAGCTAGGTGGATAGTAAAGGTGATAGAGAAGAGCTTAATCCTTGACTATTATAATAGTAAATCAACACAACATATATAACATTGAAAAATCAAGCAATGCCAATATGAATACAAGGGCAAGATAAATTTATCACAAAGTAGAGATGGATTATTTTGGGGACTCCAGAATAAAAGTTTCAGAAAGTTGAGGAAGAAGACTAATATTTTTTATTATAAGACTCTTAGGAATATGCCATGAAAAAAAACTATATGCATGCATTATTTTGAATAAATAAAGAAACCGTTTGCTCTCTTTTGTTAATTCATTATGTACAGATTCTTTACATTGCACTGATTCATGCAATGGTAATGCTCTATAGTTGCCTGTAGCTACTAAAATCTGAGACAGTAACATTGTGGTGGAATTAACCTCTATTAGCATGTTTGGGTACATATTACAAAACAATTTTATTGACATTTTAAAAATATTATTTTTAAAAAAGATATTATTTATTCAATAAATAATATTATTTTGAGTTACTTTTCTACAGATATTAACTCTCATAAGTGATACAATGAGTAAAGATGTATTTCATGGTATATTCTCCTTTTGTAAATGAGAACAAGAAATTTCCTTCTAATTTTGATTAGAAAAGAATGTCATCCTAAGCAGTTAATACACATTAACTATCTCATAGAAATCCCTCTAAACATTTATTTATGTTTTAGCTAGCATAAAACTTTGTAGTCTCCACATACAGAAAAATAACTTTAAGCTTTGGCATCCTTAAAAGAACAGTCAAAACCAAATCTGAAATAAAACTTTTTCTTTAAATATGTTTATTATTATTTTGCATACAAACTGACAGTTAGTGACGAATTTACAAAATATATAAAATATAGGAAAAACTGTAATTAGCATGCTAACACATATTATTTTTTTCTTTTTCCATACTAGAAATCACTAGTGTATACTAGTATATACCAGAGATACTTATATATTAGAAATATTTATATGCAATTTTTACTTCAACTTTGGGAATATATAGCTCAAATGATTTGCTGCCCTTTTCTAACTAACCTACAGATTTTAAACTTTTTCCTTATCACTGATAATTATTGTGCAGTATACATTTTCATAACAGAATAATAGTCCATATTTTTGTATGCCATCATTTTTAAAAAACATCTACACTCTTTGGGAAATGCCTGGCAAATAGTATTATATCTATTTATCATATAACTAATGGATAATTAACCTTTTAATTGCTTTCTTTCTTTACTTAGTTTTCTTTTACTAAAATGTGTTATAAACAGCCTTATGCTAAACTCTTGTGCACCCTACTAATAATTTTTTAGTCAAATCAATAGAAATAAAATTTCAGTTTAAAAGACAAAAACATATTATACATATTAACAGTCCTTACCAAATTCTCCTTCAGACCATTCTTTTCTATTTTCAATATACCAATGGTCCAAGAAAGTTTCATAACAATTCACTAAAGTTTATGTGGAAAGACAAAAGTCTTTTAATAGCTAACATTATTCTAAAAAAGACCGAAGTAGGAGATCTAACACTATCTGACTTTAAGACATTATGAAGCTACAGATATCGAGACAAAGTGATATTGGCAAAACAAAAGAGAAATAGATCAATTGAACTGATATGAGAGTTCAGAAATAGATCTATGCAAATATAGTCAACAGATCTTTGACAAAGGAGCAAAGACAATGGTGGAAGGATAATACTTTTAAACAAACGATGAACAGCTGAATATCTATGTGCAAAAAATATTAGACAAAAACTGTATGTCACAAAAGTTCAAAATGGATCACAGACCTAAATGTAAAGCATAAAACTATCAAAATTTGAGGAGGTAACAGGATAATCTAGGTTACCTTGAGTTTGATGATGACATTTTACATACCACACCAGAAGCATACATAAAAAAAAATTGATAAATAGTTGGCAATTTCTGCTCTGTAAAAGATTTCATTCAGAGAATGAAAGAACAAGTCACAAACTAGAAGAATATATTCACAAAACCTTTTTCTGATAAAAGACTTGTGTCTGTGTTTCTAAAATATAACAAGAATGGACAATATATATTTAAAAAAATAATAAATGAGCAAAATATATAAACAGACACCTCAAAAAAGATATACAGTTAGCAAATAAGCATATCAAAAGATGCTAAACATTATATGCCATTATTGAATTACAGATTAAAACTTTAGGCTATTACTACAGACCTATTAGAATGTTTAAAAACCAAAACATTTGACAAACCCAAATGCTGGCCAGAATGTGCAGCAACAAGAATTCTTATCTATTGCTGGTAGAAATGCAAAAGAGTACAGTAACTTTGAAACATATTTTGGCAGTTTTTTAAAAGCTAAACCTTACCATATAAGTATAGGAACCATGTGTCTAGGTATTCACCTAAATGAGTTAAAAATTACACTCACACAAAACCTTACACACTAATATTTATAGGAGCTTTATCCATAATCATCAAAACGTGGAAACCATCAAGATGTTCTTCAGAAACTGAATGGATAAAGATTCTGTGGGACATTCATATAATTAAACATTATTAAGGGATATAAAGAACTAAGCTGCCAATTCATAAAAAGATATGAAGGGACCTAAATGAACATTGCTAAGAAAAGAAAAGCCCGTCTGAAAAGACTACATACCTTATGATTCCAACTATATGACATTCTTAAAAAGACAAAACTATATAGAGTAAAAACATAAACCATAGGCAAATGTTGGGGAGAGGAAGGAATTAATAGGTGGGACATGGGAGATTTTAGGCAGTGAAACTGTCTACATGGTATTGTAAGACGGGGTACAGGACAATATATACTCATCAAAACCCACAGAACTGTACAACACAAAGGCTGAAATAATGTAAACTATGGTATTTAGCTAATAATAATGTGTCATATTAATTGATTAATTGTACACACTCATAAGAGATGTTAGTTTTAGGAGAAACTGTGGGAGGAGGAGTAGAAGTCTATGGGAATTTTCTGCTCAATTTTTCTGTATACCTCAGCTCTAAAAAGAAAGTCTACTAATATTTGTAAAAGTATTATTTTATTTCTACATGTATGGGACTTCCCTACTACAAAATAATATATCTATGTGGAAATCCATAGTAAATGGCTTGATGAAATTATTTATTTTAAAAGATTCAGAAAATAGTATTACAATTGTTTTCAAATACTCATAAATACAGACATGTATCGCTTAATAATGGGGATACATTCTGAGAAATGCATCATTAGGAGATTTCATTTTTGTGTGGACATCATAGAATATATTAACACAAACCTAGATGGTATATATAGCCTACTGCACATCCAGGCTATAGGCTATAGACTGTTTCTCCTAGGCTACAAACCTGTGCAGCTTTTTACTGTATTGAATGCTGTAGGCAACTGTAAAATAATGGTAAATACTTGTGTATCTAAACATATCTACACATAGAAAGAGTAGAGTAAAAATGCAATATAAATGGTCAAAAATGGTACATTTGTATAGGTCCCTTACCATGAAAAGAGCATATAGCACTAGTAGCTGCTTTGGGTGAATCAGTGAGTGAGTGGTGAGTGAATGTGAAGACCTTGGATATTACTGAACAGTATTGTAGACTATAAATACTGTATAGCTATGCTATACTAAATTAATACAAAATATTTATATTTCTCCACTAGTAAATTAACCTTTGCTAACTTTTTTAGTGTATAAACTTTTGTTTTTTTAACTGTAACACAGCTTAACACACAAACATTTTCACAGCTGTGCAAACATATTTTCTTTATATCCCTATTCTATAAACTCTTAATTTTTTAAACTTTTAAATTTTTGTTAAAAAAGACACAAACACACACATTAGTCTAGGTCTACACAGAGTCATGATCATCACTGTCTTCCACATCTAGTTCCACAGGAAGGTATTAAGGGGCACAAACACAAATGGAGCTGTCATCTTCTAAGATAACAGTGCCTTTTTCTGGAATACCTCCTGAAGGTCCTGCTTGAGGCTGTTTTACAAGTAACTTCCTTTTTTTTTCTATATAGAAGAAGTACATGCTAAAATAACAATGAAAAGCATAAACTAGTGAACATATAAACCAGTAACATACTAATTTATCATCATTATCAAATACTATATACTGTACAAAGTTAGACGTGCTATACTTTTATACAACTGGCAGCACGGTAGGTTTACTTATACCAACATCACAGACATGTGAGTAATGCATTTTACTGTCACATCACGAAGGCTAAAATATCACTAAACAGCAGGAATTTTTCAGCTCCATTACAAACTTAGGGAACCATAGTCATATATATGGTCAGTTATAATCTTAAGGAAACATAGTCATATATGTGGTCAGTTATTGACTGAAACATCATTACATGGCACATGACTGTACTTTTATTCATTTCTTTCTGGCATTAAGGCACTCTCAGTGTAAAAATTTAGCATAACACTTTGGAGCTTTCTTCATGTTTTTTGTTTTGTGTTTCCGTGGGTGTGTTAGTATGCTTCTAATTTAAACAAAACTGATACCTATTAAGCATTGCTTATTTCAAGCAAAACTATATGCTTTTTCATCCAAAGTAGATGATAATCCCAATCTTTTATTTATTGATCAATTGGAACCAAATGTTGCATACTAGTATGAATCATGAAAATTGCTTGCACACTTCATGATTCTTAAATCTATGAAATATTGAATGTGTAAATGAAATAATAGTTGACCTAATACAGTTCACATGAATAAACTAAATATATGGTTAGCAGCATTGCCAAAGAGATAGTAGATTTGCAGACCCTCCCTAAATTACCAGATTACACTATTTTATTTGACTTTGTTTTATTTTATTTTATTTTATTATTATTTTATTTTGATGGAGTCTCGCTCTGTCGCCCAGGCTGGAGTGCCGTGGCGCCATGTTAGCTCACTGCAACTTCCACCTCCCAGGTTCAAGCAATTCTCCTGCATCAGCCTCCCTGGTAGCTGGGATTACAGGCATGTGCCACCACACCCAGCTAATTTTTGTATTTTTAGTAGAGACGGGGTTTCACCATGTTGGCGAGGCTGGTCTCGAACTCCTGACCTCAGGTGATCCACCCACCTTGGCCTTCCAAAGTGCTGGGATTACAGGCATGAGCCACCACACCATGCCTACACTATTTTAATATATAAATAAAAGAACACTCACCTTTAACTAAGCTTTATTATACAGATATTTTGATGATAAAAAACCTGACTCTAAAGTCAGAAAATTATAAGTCATTCAAGCAGCATTTATTCACTGATTTTCTAATGTAAAGTCAGTGATAAAAGTTTAAAAAAAGACTATAGTCTTGTTTCCAGTTTAAGATTTTATAGTACATGACATCATATTCTCAGATTTTCTATTTCCCTAAAAGCCATAGAGATAGGTAAAATATAATGTTCTCCTGCAATAAGTGTAAATACTAGAATGGAAAGCCTCCCTTTAATTCTCATCTATATTAAAGTATCCTTGGCAAAGACAAGACTTTTTAATTCTTTCACATTTTAAACTTAGTTTCCAAGGCAGTTTTCTTTGAGATGACCAGCCTCCTGGAGAAAAAAACTTCTTGGGGGCTCTCGACTATATCATGTCCTCTTTTACATTGTTTATATCCAATTTTCCATTTTTTTTTGGTGTTTCTTGACTCTCCTATGTTGGAATCTGCACATAAATTTAGGTAAGCTCAACACATCACTTGAATTCCACAGTAAAAAAGACAATTTTACGAATTACTGATAAACATTTAATGTGTCTAGGTTTATTTCATTTTGGATAAAGAATTGTATGCATAGCCAACAAAGAAACAACATTTGTTTTTGAAATTCTTAGTCCTGGTTTAGGTTGAACTCTACTTTTATAGCTCTATTCCTATTTATATTCATACTTTAAATTAAATACAGTTGCTACTGAAAGAAGAAATAACGTTTTCATTCTAAATTCAGTTCCTGGATGGGCTCAGATTCCTTGGAGCAAAGCTAATGACAATGGCAACATATTTGGTAACATTTGATGACTTGTTTTCTGTGATTTATTAAATTGGACATTCACAGAATAGCTACTTTAAAAAAAGAAATTATTTGGCAAGTACTATAGGCCTCACCTTTTATTGTTGAACAAGTTTATGGTTTTGAAATTGTTTATCAAATGAATCAGCAAATCAGGAAATAAAGAATATGGTGTTTATGAGCAGAAAGTTTCTACCTGCCATTATCTCTCAATTCTTTTAAACTGCCCTTAATTTGAAGTGTACTGACAAGCTGACAGACTAGAAAGTTCTTCATCCTCCTTCCTGCTGTGAATACACCAATTCAACAATTCATAAACAAATTCACTTTGTTGGAAATCCAAAAATTCATATAGAGGTTCCTGCATCCAAGGTGAGTAGAAAAACTACCTACATTGAAGCCAGAAGAGAGGTTTGAGACAAGGTACTCTCTTTGACATAATCCTACCCCCATCACAGTGCCATGGATTGTAAAGAATCTCCCCACTCAAGCTTCTTGCCTGTCTCTGAGATGTGATAGATGTAGACTACATGCAAAATGGCCCAAATTTTCATAGGGCTATGCACAGAACTAGCTTCTCTTTTGCTCTTCTCAGAGTGCTGAGGGAACCAGGCATAATTAAACTGACTGTATCCAAGAAGAACTGAGATGACAGTTTGGTATAGCAGTAACCCTAGCACAGTAATCCCTTTGCCTTGTTAAGCACAGAGAAAGTGAATGAAAAACTTCAAATGCCAGTTTCTTCCTTCACAGTTAAAGAGTTGGACTGAGCATCCAAGAATTCAACTTTTCTGAGAGCTACTTGAGGAACTAGATTCAGTCTTTTTCAGCTCAGAGAAGTGACAGGACCTGTCATAATCTAAATAGATGCCTGGGGGAAACTAAGAAAAAAGAAAACAGGTTGGAGTAGCAGGAGTGTTGGAGAAAAAGCCAGAATTCCTGTCCAGTATAATTAATGAGTTTCTTCTCATGTTCAAAGCAAGTTTGTGAAGACTGGGAGAGATAATTGTTTTAGCTAATATGATGATTCCAACATAGAGAGTTAAAAAATATGAAGAAACAGGTAAAGTATTATAAACAAAAAATCAACTAAAAAATCACCATCCTAAAGATACTTATTGGATTCAGGAAAACAATGCCTAACAAAGTTAGAATTTCAAAGGATAGGAAAATATTAAAAGTTACCAAACAGAAATCATGGAGATAAGAATATAATAATTTGTATTAGTCTATTCTCACATTGCTATAAAGACCTGAAACTGGGTAACATATAAAAGAGGCTCACTAGGCTCACAGTTCTGCAGGCTGTAGATAAAGCATAGTGGCTTTTGCTTCTAGGGAGCCCTGAGGAAGCTTCCAGTCATGATGAAAAACAAGGGGGAATGAGCGGTCTCACACAGAGGAAGTAGGAGCAAGAGAGAGTTGGGGGGAGATGCTGCACACTTTTAAACAACCAGATCTTACAAGAATTCACTCACTATCATGAGAACAGCACCAAGGGGATGGTGTTAAATCATTCATGAGAAATCCATCCCCATGATCCATCCACCTACCACCAGGCTCCACTTCCAACACTGGGGACTACAATTAATTCAACATGAGATTTGGTGAGGACACAGATCCAAACCATATCACTCTGCTTCTGGCCCCCTAAATCTCATGTCCTTCTGACATTCTAAACGCAATAGTCTCTTCCCAACAGTCCTCAAATGTCTTAAGTCATTTTAGCATTAAGTCAAAAGTCCAAAGTCTCATCTGAGACAAGGCTAGTATATTTTGCCCATTAGCCTGTAAAATAAAAAACATGTTAGTTACTCCCAAAACAAAATGGGGGTATAGGCATTGTGTAAATACTCCCATTACAAAAGAGAGAAATCAACCAAAAGAAAGAGGCTATTAGCCCCATGTCTAAAATCCAGCAGGGCTGTCATTAAATCCCAGTCTAAAACCCAGCAGGACTGTCATTAAATCTTAAGCCTCCATAACAATCTTCTTCAACTTCTTGTTCCATATCCAGGGCACACTGATGCAAAGGGTAGGCTCCTGAGACCTTGGACAGCTCCATCCCTGTGGCTTTGCATGGTTCTGTCCCCAAGGCTGCTCACAGAGTTGGCACTGAGTGTCTGGCTTTTCCAAGCTGAGGATGCAAGCTGTTGGTGGATCTGCAATTCTGAGGCAGACACAGTGGCCCTCTTCTCATAGATCCACTGGGCAGTGCCCCAGTGGGGCTCTTTGTAGGGGCTCCAACCCCACGTGGTCCTTCTACATTGCCCTAGACAAGTTTCTCCACGAGGGCTCTACTTCTTTCTTTCTTTCTTTTTTATTATACTTTAAGTTCCAGGGTACATGTGCACAACGTGCAGGTTTGTTACATATGTATACATGTGCCATGTTGGTGTTCTGCACCCATTAACTCATCATTTACATTAGGTATATCTCCTAATGCTATCCCTCCCCTCTCCCCACCCCACAACAGGCCCCGGTGTGTGATGTTCCCCTTCCTGTGTCCAAGTGTTCTCACTGTTCAATTCCCACCTATGAGTGAGAACATGCAGTGTTTGGTTTTTTGTCCTTGCGATAGTTTGCTGAGAATGATGGTTTCCAGCTTCATCCATGTCCCTACAAAGGACATGAACTCATCCTTTTTTATGGCTGCATAGTATTCCATGGTGTATATATGGAGGGCTCTACCTCTACAGTAGGCTTCTGCCTGGACATCCAGGCTTTTTCATACACAATCTGAAATTCAGGAAGAGGCTCCCAAGCCTCAATTTTTGCACTATGTGCACCTGCAGGCTTAGCATCATGTGGTAGCTGCCAAGGTTTATGGCTTGCACCTTCTGAAGCAGTGGTCCAAGCTGTGCCTGGACCTCTTTGGGCCATGGCTAGAGATGGAGACACTGAAATATGGAGAGCAATGTCCTGAGGCTGTCCATGGCAGTGGGGCCCTGGGTCTGGACCATGAAGCTATTCTATGCTCTTTTCTTGATTATTAGCACTTGGCTCCTTTTCACTTATGCAAATTCCTGCAGCTCACTTAAATTTTTTCCCTGTAAATGGGTTTTCTACCACATGGACAGCATGTAAATTTTCCAAACATTTACAATCTGCTTCCCTTTTATATATAAGTTTCAACTTTAGATCATTTCTTTGCTCACACAAATAAGTTGTTAGAAGCAGCCAGGCTGCATCTTCAATGCTTTGCTCCTTAGACATTGCTTCCACCAGATACTCTAAATCAACCCTCTCAAGTTCAAAGTCCCACAGACCCCTAGGGCAGTGGCACAATGCAGGCAAGTTCTTTGCTAAGGCATATCAAAAGTGACATTTACTTCAGTTCCCTATAAGTTACTCATTTCCATCTGAAACCTCATCAGCCTGGCCTTCACTGTCCTTATAACTGCCAGCATTTTGGTGATAACCATCCAACCAGTCTCTAGGAAGTTCCAAATTATCCCTCATCTTCCAGTCTTCTGAGCATGCCAAATTCTTCCAACCTCTTCCCATTATCCAGTTCCAAAGCTGCTTCCACATTTTTGGGTATCTTTAGAGCAAAGTATCAATTTTCTGTATTAGTCAGTTCTTGTATTGCTATAAAAGAGCAAGGGAGAATGAGGGGAGAGGTGCTGCAAACTTTTAAACAACTAGATCTTAAGAGAACTCACTCATTATCATGAGAACAGCACCAAAAAAGGTGGTGCTAAACCATTCACGAGAAATTTACACTCATAATCCAGCCACCTCCCACCAGGCCCACATCCAATGCTGGGTATGATAATTTGACATGAGATTTTGTGAGGGCACAGATTGATACCATATCATACTGAATTAGAAATTCTACTGGAGATTAGCAGAAGACTAAATAAAGCAGAAGAAAAAAATTAATGCATTTGAAATTAAATAAAATTAAACAAAACACCCTTAAACAACCCATGGGACATAAAAGAAATCAAAAGGGAAATTAGAAGATACCTTGAAACAAGCAAAAACAAAAACAAAATCAACTTATAAACTATAAGATATTTTCCTTAAACCCTATAGTAAACACAAATAAAATACCTGTAGAAATTACACACAAAAAAAGATAAAGAAATCAACTCATATTAATATGGAAAGTTAAGAAAACACAAAGAAATAGCAAGAGAGAAAACATAGGGACAAAAGAATTACAAGACAAATGGAAAACAATAAACAAAATGCAGCAGTAAATAATTCCCTATCAACAATAACTTTAAATGTAAGTGGCTTATGGTTCCTGATCAAAGACATGGAGTGACTGAATGGATTAAGGAAAATAAGACCCAACTAGATGTTATCTACAAGAAATAAACTTCAGCTTTAAGGACATGCAGAGGCTGAAAGTAAAGGGATAGAAAAAGATATTTTTTGGAAATAACAACTGAAAGAGAGCAAAGATGTATATACCTATATAAGACAAAATAGATGTTAGGGAAAAAGACTGTCATAAGAGACAAGGAAACATATATTTAGAAAGTGTCAATTTATTGGCAAGATATTAATTTAACAAATTTTAATATGTAGACACACAACATCAGGTATATAAAACAAGCTGAATACATAAAACAAACTGACAGAACTGAAGAGAGAAATATACAGTAATACAATAATAATAGGAGTCTTCAATACACTACTTTCAATTATGGAAAAAACGCCTGACAGAAAATCAACAGAAATGACAGATTTGAAAAACACCATACACCTAATTGGTCTAACAGATGCACACAGATCATTTCACCCAAGATAAACAGAATTTATCTTCTTCTCAAGCACACATGTAACATTCTCCACTATAGATCACAAGTTAGATCACAAAATAAGTCAAAAAAATTGAGAAGATTTAAATTATACCAAGTATCTTTTCTAACCAAAATAAAGTGAATTAGAAATCAATAACAGAAGAAAAATAGATTAAAAATTACAAATATGTAGAAATTGAACAAAACATTCTTGAACAACCAATGGGTTAAAAAAAAGAAATCAAAAGGAAATTAGAAAATATCTCAAAACATGTGAAAACTTAACAGAACCTACTAAAACTCACAGGAAGTAGCAAACACAGTATTTAGAGGGTAGTTTATAGTGGTAAATGCCTCCAATTGGTAAAATGCCTCCATTGAAAAAATAAAAGAATCTCAAAAAACCTAACTTGATATTCTTCCTGCTATTCAAAGTTAAGACAACTGTCAGAATATGTCACAGAGGCTCTGAACAAAGTGCACATACAGGGAAGGAACATATGTTCCCCAAAGGGAACATTTCCATATGGAATGGGACTGTTCCGCTAGTACTCCAGGCCCAAGACAAGAACATAAGGATTCATTAGGTGGCCTATTTTCAGCACAGAATTTAACTCAAAGTTCAGCAAGTCAGAATCTATTTTGAGTCTGATTTCAACCACCAACATGCTTTTTTAAAAAGTACTGAGCTGTGATTGTGAAGTAATGAGCATAAATTTGCATCCCTCGCATGTGGTACCTCTGTGGCCTTGGTTGTATCAAGATAAGTAAGAGTATTATCACCTCTGCATAAGTATTCTTTCCTCTATGCAGTTTTGTCTTTTATAAAAACATGTTGTGACACGATACATGCAAAATTATTATTCAGACTTCAGAATTTAGAAAGAAGACTAACCACTTAATAGGATGTAAGGTCCAGATGATGTCAAGAAAAAAATGTATTATGTAACCTGATATTAAGGCAATAACAGCCTTGGCAATTAGAAAGATTAGTATTGATTTACATTTCACATTTAAATAAATACATAGCATAGATTTCAGGCATTTTTAAAAAACTGAAACCAACATTTATGTATACTTTTTTGTTCTATATAAATTACATACATTTTATTTGGAGAGATAAAAATGTAGATTGTTTATTAGCCACATTTATTATTTCTTCAAATAAAATGTATGTAATTTTGTTACTTTTTGCCTAGGTGCAAATATAAGAAAATGTTCATCTTATTCCACACATCTTTTGTTAACTGTGAACAAAACTATAATGCAGTCGCAGAACTAACTGCATGACCATTCCTAGCACAGTAAAAGAAATGCTAAATAGAAAAGTATCCCTTAATGACCAACCATTACTCCATTATAGGTGTTTTAATTCTTTTTCATATTTTTTGCAGTATTAAGATTTACACATTAAGGAATTCTAATGTTACTCATTACCAAACAGACATATTTTGCCTTCAAGATATAAAAGTAGTACTGCGTTCCAGTATTGTAATTTAATCAAGCAAGCAGGTGGTTAATGAAGGCATTCTCAAAATTTGAAACCATTTACAATACCAAGAATTTGAGAAATATAAGAATTTTTAACTATGTAACATCAAAATTTGTAGCAGAGAAACTTATTTGAGTTCCATGTAACTCTCTGGTAAATTTGGTCTCAGTAGAATATAGATTGATGATATTTGGCAAGAAGTTTTCAACTAAGCACTTACAAGATATTTCTTAAATCTTTCTTGCTCTGTCAAGTCAATTCAAAAAACAAATCTGTCCTTAGTTGAAATTTGCTCTAGATTGTCATTGAATGATATACAGCAATACACTTTGATTACAGTATCAGGAATTTTTATTTTTTATTGAGTATTACAGTGGAACAGAAAAATAAATGATTTATCAACTGTTGGCAAGCAGATAATTGTGGTTTGTTCAACTAAAATTGTCTATTTTTTAAATCCTTTGCAAGATTAACATATTAATGCCATAAGTCATATGTCAATGGGAATTTGATAGTCTTATAAGATCTACTAAAGCATGGTCAAATAGTTGTTTTGCTTCACTCTTATATATTTCTGTTAAAAGCAAACATCACATATCCAAGCAGCATTACCAGAATACTGTACAACTTATTCGACCAATGGCTTAGAAATCATCTGATAAGATCACTGTTTATTTAATTGTTTTGCCTTCAAGGTTTTAGACAGTAATCTGAAAGTGTTATCTAAAATAAAACCACTATGTTACCTAAATAAATGCTCATGCTATAGAAAGCTCACACAGTCCCAAGTTAACAAATTTTGAAGTTTTTCAAAATAATAGAAGGGACGTTAGTAAAACCAAGCTCTAAAGCAAATATAATTGTTGCTAATATAATATTATAAAATGACTTAAATAGTTTAAATGAGTTTGTGGATGCTGCAGTGCTTTAAAAATTTCTAAGTTTCTACGTGGTAGTTCAAAGTTACCATCCTATGTTTTCAAGAAATCTGCACTTCAGGTAATTCCAGTTGATGTAACTCTGTCAGTTAATTATAAGTAGGAAATCAACAAATACAATTTTGTTTCTTGTAACACATATGATATATGTACCCACAAACACATTCGTATATTTATTTATTTATTTATTTATTATTTATTTATTTTATTTTATTTTTATTTTTTTGAGACGGAGTCTCTCTCTGTCACCCAGGGTGGAGTGCAGTGGCGTGATCTTGGCTCAATGCAACCTCTGCCTCCCGGGTTCAAGTGACTCTCCTGCCTCAGCCTCCTGAGTAGTTGGGATTACAAGCATGCCACCACACCCAACTCACTTTTGTATTTTTAGTAGACATGGGGTTTCACCATGTTGGGCAGGCTGGTCTCAAACTCCTGACCTCATGATCCACCCACCTCGGCCTCCCAAAGTGCTGGGATTACAGGTGTGAGCGCATGCATTATATTGGACCAAAATGCATGAATAGATAGTTTTATTTGGTATTTTTATATTTTTCAAAATCAAAACTTGATCTTTCAAAATAACATGAAGTACATACAAAATATCACCTTGCATTCATTAAAGGAATTTAAAGAAAATACATTTTTATACTAACACAATTTTCTTTAGTCACAAGAATTATAAAACGCTACTCTGGTTTTATGAATTTCTCAAATCTGAGAAAATAAAGGACAAATAAAGAAAACAATTAAAGTATTGATGATTATTATTTACAAGTGATTTCATTTTAATCAAGTATATTTGTTTTATCAGGATTATTGGAAACATATAGCCAATAGAGACTGTCAATTTATACTTACTGCTAAGATGGGCATATGAAACATAGGTAGGCATGGCATATATTCATATAAATTCCTATGTAGTCATAAATATACATAATATATAAATATGCATATACAATAATTTAAATTTATTTAGATATTAGAGGTTGAGCATCTCAAGTCTAAAAATCTGAAATCCAGAATGCTTCAAAATCTGAAACATTTTGGATGCCAATGTAACACTCATAGGAAATGAAATTTGGGCATTTGGGATTTCAGATTTTCAAATTTGACATGATCAGCATTTAAGTATACTGCATGTATTTCAAAATCCCTAAAATAAAAAATTTGAAATACTTCTGATTCCTAGCATTTTAAATAACGGATATTCAATCTGTGCTATATGAATGAATTGGTAAAAATTGCCATAGGGAAATTAGGTTTCCCTATATTTGATAGATCTATATTTGATAGAGGATTGAATTTAAATGAATAGATTGAATTTAAAATTTAGGCCAATTTATTGCTCAATTGGGTGTAAGGTTTTATTAAATCCCTGCTATCATTGTTTACAAGTGATACCCCTACATCTGCACTGGCTTTTTATGTCTTCTTTATTCTTAGATTTAAAATATTTTTGTTTTTTTTCCTGATTATATAAAGAAAAATTATAATTAATAAAGTAATTACTTTTTTGTGTCTAATTCTAGATATTTGAGACAGGTCTCCTGAAATATTAATGGCAATGACAAAAGTTCTTAATTTGTCTCAGGCATTTTATTTATAAAATCTTTGCATTATCTTGAGAAAGTAAACAGTATCAGAAGAGTATTAATTCAATTGTCAATATTTATCTAATTGAGATTCAAAAAGATATGTCAATGTGTTGGTGTCAACTCAATCGTTTTAAACCCTTACTACTTTATAAAATACAGAATTTCCTTATAGAAAATTCTAGAATTTCCATTGTACACCTGTACATCTGCTTGTTTTTTTTTTCATCCAATTGTAATGGCTAAAACCATGTTAAGAGTAATTTTTTTTAGACCGAGTAGTTTTTTGGTTTTGTTTTGCTTTAAGTTTTATTTTAAGTTCAGGGGTACATATGCAGGTTTATTATATAGCTAAACTCATGTCATGGGAGTTTTTTTTACAGATTATTTCATGACTCCAGTATTAAGCCCAGTACTCATTAGTTATTTTTTCTCATCCACTCCCTCCTTCCACCCTCCACCCTCTGATAGGCTCCTATGTCTGTTATTCCCCTCTGTGTGTCCATGTGTTCTCATCATTTAGCTTTTACTTATATGTGAGAGCATGTGGTATTTGGTTTTCTGTTTCTGCATTCATTTGCTAAGGATAATGGCCCCAGCTTTATCCATGTTCCTGCAAAGGACATGATATCATTATTTTTTATGGCAGTATAATATTCCATGCTGTATATGTATCACATTTTATTTGGGTATTTATGTTGATTCCATGTCTTAATAGGTTTTAGAAATAAATGCCAAACATGAACAAAAATTAAACTATTTTTATATATAATGATGTAATATAGAAAACTAATACTTGGAGTATAAAAATTATGACAGAAATTGATTTTATAAATACATAGGAAAATTTATTATTGTTCTGTAATCCTTATTTATTTTGTTAAAACATTCAAAACTTTCGAACTGTTGATCATATTTCTATATGGAAGTGAAAAATAAAACTAGTGCAGCTAACAGATATTTGTTACACTGTAATTTTAAACAGAGAATTGTAGTGTTATTTTTCCCTGTTCCTATTTAAAGCCTTATCAAGTTTGAAGAATACTCTCCTCCTGCATTTCTCACCATGTGATTTATGATAAAATGAGCATCTTTCCATGCTTAGGCAAAATATCAGAACTTTTTGCTAAATTTGGATAAGATTTCAACATGTTACCCTTTGCAGTTTCAGTGTCTTGAAATATCTCTGAATTCCATTAATGGGAAGGTTTTTGCCCATGTCAATTCCTCTGGACATCATTATTTGTATTATAATCACTTTTCTCAATTGTATTGCTAAGATTGCCTTAACTAAGCCTCCTTGGCTGCATATTAGAATCATGGTCAGCTATTTCTTCTATCGTGCCATATATATTCAATTTAAATTTTACTTTCATTGTTATTACATTTATTGTTTGTTGCATTTTACCTTTGTTGGCCCATCTTTTTGATTTATTATTTATTTTTTGTAAAATGACATGTGGGTTTATCACATAATACAATAAAATAATATTACACATTTTGCTGTCTGTGTATGAGCAGAATAACAGATGAATAATCACCTATTACTGTCCAACCTTGATCGATGTGATGTGATTAGTTATTAATCATGATATACAGTTGCTATATATGTAGTGATTTGTAGAATAGGGAGCTAACCACAAACTTAATGCTATATGCAATTATCCACAGTTGATATATCACGGTAACTGAAATTTGTGCTGTGTGTTGTGGGTACTAGTGTTATTTAACTAAGCCATGGTAACAGAAATTTGGGCATACATAAATTGTTCATAGTGATGCTGCCTATATTTGCATGTTAATATATAACTTCAGATAAACCTGCCACAAGGTGGAAATAATAAAAAGTAATTTAATAATCCCTTTCATGATATTATAAACAGTTCAAATCAAACATTCAGAGAAAAACACACTTGTTCACGATTTTTATTGTTAAGTTTGTATTGTTCAATGATACGTATCAATTTGGTCCGTAATTTAAAAAGTGAACCTTAACTATAAAAAAATTCATTGACAGCAAAATAATTTTATCTATATGGTACCTGAATATATCAGTGCTTTCAAGCTGTTTACAAAACTAAATACTTTTATATGTTGATAAATTGATACATATTAAACATATAATAAATTGTTAACATAGCAAGATTCATAAAAACATCCAAAGTATGATTATATTTTTGTAAAAAGTAAAAAAAAAAGATTTCTATTGAACATTATATCTTTTGCTATTTATCTACTCTATCTAATCCTATGTATCTTTGCATAGCACACAGAAGAAGAACTCACCAGTGTTAACAATGGTTTGCTGGTGACTGGAAATGACAGTGTCAAGTAGAATGCATGTAATCAAAAACATGCATGGCTTTTATAATTTTAAATATTTAAAAATATATAGTTTAGAAACTGGAAAGAAACAACCATCAAGCATACTCAACTGAGAACAAATTTAATCTAATGCAATTGTCAAATTTCTATGGAGATAAATCTAATTTTAAACAAATTGTTTGGAAAATTCAATGCTCCTATATCGATTTAAATCATTAGTTTGCACCAAGTACCAAAATAAAACCTGGTTAAATTAAGTCAGTGCACAACCTGTCTTGATATAGGTAAATAGTATATTCAGACTGATGGAAAGATGACAGCAGACAATGGCAGGGATGCCCTGCATGCTGTTTGCATAAATCAACCAACATTCATTTAGCTAATGGATAGAAAGAAAGAAGTTAGTGGATCAAGGAATCAAGATTAAACAGCTGAATAATTAATATAATTTTTTAGGATGTACAGTATTTCAAGGTTTCAGGTCTCAAAAATCTTCACCAAGGGGAGATGAGCTACAGATGACAACACCTGAGTGAATCAGTGTCACATCTGTGTTTCACTCAAGTGCAGCTTCAAATAAATAAGGGTAAAACACCTCTGTGAACAGGTTATGCTACCTGTATGCTGGGAGTCATCAAGTTAAAAATTAGTTTAGATAATATTCAATGTAAACACAGTATACACTACATATAACATACAAATACATATAACGTGGGAATATATTACCACCAAATTTGGCAAATTCTTAATCTATGCCATCTATAAAAACTTTCAAAAGATTAAGACTGACATTAACCTCTTTTTATGTGACAGTCACTTTCATAAAAGTTATGCATGTACTATCTAATTAAGGAAGTGTATATTACAACCAGGGAATTACTCAGTCATCATTTTTTACCTTTAGCCTTCCCAGGCAGAGCCAGCCTAATATAAGTGCTTTCTGGTATTTAGAACAGTGGAAACAGAACAAAGGTCATTTATTAGTCAACGTAGGTTAACCACTATAACAAATCCTTTAGCAGCTTAATTGAAAATAATTGTTTTTTATTTGTGTTTGTTTTCTTCACTCTCACTCACTTCACAGTGCAATGCCCTCCAAAGCTCTCTATTCTGCACAATCATTCAGGAATTCAGATTGTTTCTATCTAGGGGCTCTACTACCCCCAGGGGTCATATAATCTGGCCAATTGTCAAAAGCCTCCAGGGAGGGTGCACAGAGGAAGTATGCAGGCAGTTTTACTAGGGGCATCCTGAAAGTGCCATCCCTCACTCTCCACCGACCAACCCCCATGCCTTTGGCCTGAACTCAGTCATACAGTGCCACCTAACTTCAGGATTCTGGAAAACAGAGGCTATCTGATTTCTCATAAGGAAAAAATGTGACTTTGTGACTATATTGCGTGTCACTGCCAGAGGTCATCTCCCCAGGCATCTCTGGAAGCCATATGAAGAGAAATGTAGAACAAATACAGAGCCTATGCTTCAAAAACACTACGCGTAAAAGAACACACACACACACACACACACACACACACACACACATGCGCACACACATGAACAACAAAAAATAGGTGAATATTTAATGGATTTAAGATGGGGAATAACTTCTCAATTTTCAATGAAGTACACGAAATCACAAAGAAATAAGCCAGTATTCTTTACTAAATGAACGTTTAAAATTATATAGAACAACATAATTAATAATTATTTTTGTGGAAAAAATTACTTGGGAAAACATTTCTAGTAAATATGAAAAGCGATTAATGCCTACTTCTTAGAAAAGTTCTCAAAAATTTAAGATTAACATTAACCTTTTTTAAAGTGTCAGGCATTTTCATAATGGTTGTACCGTTGACCCTTGAACAACACAGGGGTTAGGAATGCAGACTTTCCATACAGTCAAAAATATGCATAGAAGGTTTTACTCCCTAAAAGCTTTACCAATAGCCTGCTGTTGACTGGAAGTCTTATAGATAACATAAACAGTTAACCATATTTTGTATGTTTATACGCATTGCATAAATCACTCTTACAATAAAGAACGCTAGAGAAATGAAGATGTTGTTAAGAAAATCATAAGTAAAAGAAAATATATTTAATATTCAGTAATTGGAAGTGGATCATCATAAAGATCTTAACTTTCATTGTCTTTACATTGAGTCGCCTGAGGACTAAGAAGAAAAGTATGGGTTGGTCTTGTTGTCTCAGAGGTGGGCAGAGGCAGGAAAGGTAAAACAGGTGAAAAAGAGGCAGGAGAGATGGGCATACTTTGTGTGATTTGACAGAAACACATCATAATTTTTTCCAAGTTTCTGCTTTTCCATTTCTCTAAAAATATTTCTCTAGATTACCAATCCTTGTCACAGATTGCAATATATGGTACATATCAAGCAACTCAACTTTTTCTTGTAAAGTCATGATTTTTCTCTGCTTCTCAGGAGCACTTCCAGTATCACTAGTGGCACTTTGTATGAGTCCCATGGTGTTATTCAAAGTTTACTGTAGTGTACTAAGCATGATTAACAATAAGTGAGAATTGTAAGACATCACTTTTATGTTGATATGCAGTTAGAAAGAACTGCTTCCGTGGAGATGATTAGCATCACATGGCATTTTAAGTGGATACTTGTAACACTTGAGCTCACAGCAATAGGAACAGAAGGTGGCTACAACATTATGACAGTAGTAGAGTATGTACTACAGTTAATTTTATGCAGTTATGATTTAATACTGCATCTTTATGTTTGTTTATGTTTCTACTGCAAGTGATGCCATTTACACTCTGTGTTTGTGTATGTATATTTTGATAAATTTTAATGTTTTATAAGAGAAAGTGGATGATAAAATAGACTAGTATCTGTAGTAGCTACAGTATTATAGTATATAGATCTATAGACATTATAGACTAGTATCTACAGATACTAACCATTATAGATTATAGTATTATAGATAGTATAGTATCCATAGATACTAGTATATTTTATAATGGTAAAATAGTATCATTCATTAGATTAAATAGACTAGTAGTGAATGATAAAACAGATGAGTATCTACATATATTTTATGCATTCATGACATATATAATTTTTTAAGCTTTAAATACATATGTATAGACTATGCAGTATACTTGCTAGTTTTTCACATTGTCACAAATCTGGAAAAGTTTTTATAATATATTTATTGGAAAAAATATACACATAATTAGACCCATGCAGCTCAAATCCAGGTTGTTCAAAGGTCAAGTGTACATGTATTGTGTTACTTATTTACACTAAAATCTCAATAATTATTGAGTGTATTTTACTGATAAAGATACCAATTTTCAGAAAGGTCAAAGTAATTTTCCCAAGTTCACAATGTTTATAAGTTGATAAACACTCCAAATCATGAGAAAAAATACTCAAAAATAGCAATAAAAAGAGAAGTGTTAAAACTGGCAAATGAAAATGACATATTATCAAAGATTAAATTTATACTGTTCCAGCAGGTTAAGAAGGAAGAAACTAGGGGAAGGGTGGGGGGGAATGACATACTTAACATATTTATGCCCTAAGTTTCTGTGCATAGGCATTGCACAAGGAATTTTGGGCAAATGAGAAGGACAAATGCACAGAGGCATGCACCTACATATGTGCACACACATGTGCATTGTCTGTGATGTGCAGAGTAATGATCAACAATAATTGCCAATCTCCTAAAACCATGAAACCTGCAGACCTGTTAGACTGTATGGCAGAGAAAAATTAAGGTTGCTTCTTTTGATGGTTTATTTTATAAGTCAGCTTGGCTAGGCCAAGGTATCCAAATATTTGGTCAAATACCAGTCTAGATATTCTGTGAAAGTAATTTTTAGATGAGGATAACATTTAAATCTGTGGACTTTCAGGTAAGCTTATACCTTTCCATAATATGGGCGGACCTCCTCCAATCAGCTGAAGGCCTTAAGAAGAAAAAGACTGACATCTTCTGAGGAAGAGGGGATTCCACTCCAGACTGCTTGAAAACTGGAGCTGCAACATCAACTCTTCCCTGGGTCTCCTTCAGTTTCTTGGCCTATCCTTCAGATATCAAATTTTCCAGTCTCCACATTGCATGTGCCAATTCCTAAAATTAAATCTGTATCTCTGTAGATACACATATCTTATTGGCTATGTTTCTCTGGAGAACCATAACTAATACACTAATCAACCAGCTTCTTTAAATTATACCTTAAGTTCTGGGATACATGTACAGAGCGAGCAGGTTTGTTACATAGGTATACATGTGCCATGGTGGTTTGCTGCACCCATCAACCCATCATCTACATTAAGTTATTATCCTAATGCTATCCCTCCCCTTGCCCACCACCCCCTGAGAGGCCCTGGTGTGTGATGTTCCCCTCCCTGTGGTCATGTGTTCTCTTTGTTCAACTCCCACTTACGAGTAAGAACATGCAGGGTTTGGTTTTCTGTTCCTGTGTTAGTTTGCTGAGAATGATGGTTTCCAGCCTCATCCATGTGAGAGTCTCCTAAGTTGTCTAGGTGGGCCAGATGTAATTACAAGAGTTCTTAAAAGTGGAAGAAAGTCTGAATTGAAGGGAGATGTGATGATGGAAGATACCATCATGTTGCAATGTGAAACGAATTCAACCTGCCCTTGCTGTCTTTGGACATGGAATGAGAAGACTAAAACTCAAGGAATGCGAGTAACTTCCAGAAGCAAAAAAAGACAAGAGAACACATTTTCCTATAGGGCTTCCAGAAAAAAAAAAAAAAAAAAACCTGCTAACACTTTTATTTTAGCCCAATAAGACTTGTGTTGAACTTCTAACTTACAGAATTGTAAGACAGTAAATTTGTCTTTTAAGCCACGACGTTTGTGGTAATTTGTTTTAGCAGCGATAGTCTTACTCCTATACAAATCTAGAGATATGCAGCTATATTAGAAATACCATCACTTGTGAAGTACTCTTTTGTGAATTCTGAAGGTTCCTTCTGTATGTATTGAAAGTATTCGATCATTTATTTTGCCATAAATAATATATCTCTCTGTACATTACAATTATTTCAAGGATAAGGGACCATATAGGATGAAGTTTGCAGAATATTTTGTTACCGAAACCAAATACATCTGCAATATAAGCATGGCTTAATAGTAGACAAAATTTATATATGATATCCTTATATTTAAATTAATTTTACTGATAGTATTAGACAACAGTTCCCATCTTGTTCATAGAGGTTTAACATATACCTACTGAAAGAAATGACAATTAAAAATGCCGATAAATGTAAAATGTCAAGATATTTGAATTATACCTGTTTACTTATTTATGCATTATTGATTAATTTTTATTTGTTTTCGGGGAAGCAGAATGAGATATGTATAATTTTTCCATTATTTTGTCCCTATCTCTTTCCTGCCCATAATCATATTCTCCTGCCCATGGTGAGAGAGAATATAATTTGAAGATGTATCTCATCAAGGGGCATGATCACTTCTCACACTTTGTATTAGAGTAGGTGCCAGTAATTATATTGAAGGCTATCTATCCCTGCACATGACAGATATTAAATTCCTGATATGATCTATTTAAACTGTGGTCAGGTAATTACAAAACCTTTCCTCAGTGACAATGGGCTGGGAGGAAAGAACATAAAGAAACCGTTACCTGTTTCCAAGTATGCACAGAAACCATCCCTGGTATAGTAATTATAAGGATCACTTAATTTTCAGAGGTCTCTATTCCCATGTGAGCTGTGTGATCAGAAGAGGTCTACTAACTATCAAATATATAAAGCCTTCAAATAATTTCTATACCTCAGGTAATAAAGAGTACAGTGCATAGCAGGAATTGAGATTTTAAATGGATTAATTTTTATATGTGTTCAACTCCAAATAGCTTTAGACTTTTTCAGTATGTGCAGGGAAAATAAAAATGGAAACCAAATATTCTGTGAATAAAATTGTCTTAAGGAATTATTAACATCAACATAATAATTGTTCAAATAACAGTTACAATTTTAAAAAAATGATATCCAATAAAAATACTTACTTAGTATTGCACTGCAGATATCAAAAATTGTGAGGTCTGATGGCTTCTAAGCAAGATACTGCACTGAGAGCTTAACATATTTATATCACTTGACTCTTTTCACATCATTCAAATAAGTGCCATGGTTACTCTCATTTTAAAGATTTAAAAAACGTCAGTAACTTTTACAACTCATATTTCATCTTTCCATTTTATTGCAAATAGTCCTATATATTTTCCAATGAAATTCACTTGTTACTTTAGATATGTATTTCCAGTTCTATAATATTGAAATTGACTAGAGATTATCCATTGGTCCTTATGTATGTACCTTGTTTTGTGTGTGTGTGGGGGGGGGGGGGTGGATATGTCTTTGCAAACATCTAATCTGGTAAATTGGGCAGTGTAATGATTGAACTATAATTAAAAAATACATCTGTACCTGCAGTTTAAGTGATAGATTTGAAGGGAGCTCCATGACTTAAAGTCACAAAGGTACTGCAGTTTGAACATTTCACAAGCTTTATTTATATTGAGATGATTTCTTTTCTGCAAGGGCCTGTTGTTAAAGTGCTTGCTCTTTTTCAGTTGTTGAAAAGGCATCTAGAAAGAAATGTTTACTTTTAGACACAGCTTTGAGGGTAATGTTAGCTAAATTCTTATAGGAAAAAAATATCAAAATAGGAGGATGCATTGTTATTCAGTTAACAAGATATGTTGGATATATACTCAATATTGTCACACATCTGAAAATTTTATGGGGACCATTTTTGTGACTTGATTACCACAAGATTTCAGGTGACAGCACAAGAAAAGTGGAAGGTTAGACCATGAAAGTTTTAACAACTTTTCTTGTCAAGGTCTGCAAAAATTTTACAGTAGCATTTGTATTTTCTGTAAAAAAAAATGACATATTCTTGAGACAAAACTGATATTGGCAGGCCAGGGCTATAAATGTATTTGCGGTAAAAATTGTTGCATTAACTAAACTAACTGTTGCACAAGGAATACCTGATGGGCATTCATATTCAACTTCTGCAACGTTTTAAAGGGCAGCCCATCCTGATGTAGTATATTCATGAAAACTAGGCAGTATTTAATATCAGCAATCCCCAATATAACTAAAGAAAACTTACATGGAAAGAATTCCTTCTAAGAATAGCAAGAACTTGTTATTACTTGAAGTAGCATGTTTCTTTCCTATTTGCATTTTGCCAAACTCTGCCTACCTGACCATGCTTTTCAATATGTAATATGTTTCTTGAAAAACATATGGATGATAAAAGAACACAATGTTACATCTAGGTCTTTAGATTGCATTTACATTTTTGCTGAATAATTATTAGGTCTGGACAATATTTACTCCATGTGTTTTCCGCTAAGGTCAAAACTATTTAAAAACAACTATTCTCTTTATTCTAGATTTAAAACTTCTCATTTATTCTCATTTTATTTAGCTTTTCTGGTGGTAGGTTTTACTTATAACTCTAAGAACAATTTACTTCATTGGATAACAAACTTTCCAATGTCTATCTAGCATTGGTCATGATCCTTTTTAATATACCGCTAATAGATATATTCACAAATACAGTTTTTGAAACCTCTGATCATTTAGAAAACCATGAATATTTTGAGTAAAATAGTTGTGTTGTATTGGTGGAGGTAACTTTCATGTACAGGGAATTCTCTGACCCCTTGTGCTTCCCCGGTGAGGCGATGACTCGCCCTGCTTCAGCTCATGGTCGGTGGGCTGCACCCACTGTCCTGTGCCCACTGTCTAACGAGCCCCAGTGAGATGAACCCGGTACCTCAGTTGGAAATGCAGAAATCACCCATCTTCTGCGTCGCTCACGCTGGGAGATGTAGACTGGAGCTGTTCCTATTCGGCCATCTTGGACAGAATCTCTTCACTCCATTCTCATGAGAGAAAAGCTAACAGATTGAAAATCAACACCTCTTAATAGCTTCAGTCCTAGAATTTAGAGACAGGTGACTACAGAGAATCAAAATGCACAGAGAGGAGAAGGTGCAGCTGGGAGATACCAGGCCAGAGACTGGGAGAAACACTTGCAGGGTAATTGATTAATTGCTGGAGATGGAGTGTAATCTAGCTTGAGACATAGTTCATAGGTGCCACACCTTAGCAGGTACCTACAAACATTCATGAGTTCTATCTCCAGGAGCTAGACCTGTTTATCAGGGTGATGATAAAAGACAATATGTCCTAATGCTTGCAACAGGAGGTGAGGGGGGAGTAACCATTTTGAAATACACCCAGAGCATTCTTTTGTCATTAATAAAGGGTTTCCCTGAAGGGATCTTATTTTACCTGATCCTAATTGATTAAGGGGGGAAATAAATACCCAAATTGAGCCCCCTCTAATCTTTGACATGGGGAAAGGGAAATTCCCAATTCCAGCGTTCGGTCCTACTAACAAGGCAGTGAGGAAGCTGAGAAGCACTTGTGAAGGTCACAGTGTGGGTAAGAGGCCCAGGAGAAGAATGATAACTAATCACAGGAACAAAGAATGTTTCCCCTCCCTCAATACCATATCACCACATAAATAGGAGTCCTGTATAAAGAAAGAATTATAGGTGAAAAGAACTGTGTGGCCCAGACCTTATTTAGGAATTAGTCTGTAGGGAAATCTAAAGAGGACATAAGAGGCAAAAACCAGGGCATTAGAGAAAATTTTAACCTCTTACTCCTACAAAAACAGCAAACAATGACTTAGATAAACGTAAGTCCTTACATGAGAGATCTGTTTATTTCAGTTTCATTTATCAAACATTATATTCAGCTTTCAACAAAAAATTAAAAGTTAGGATAAACAGCAAAAACAAAAACAAAATACAAAAATAACAGTCTGAAGAGACAAAGCAGCATTGTAACCAAACTTATACATGGCAGAGATTTTAGAATTACCAGACTGAAAATTTAAAATAATTGTGGCTAATATATTGGAGACTTTTATGGAAAAAGTGGACAATATGCAAGAATAGATGGGCAATGAGCAATGTAGGTAAAATCAAATGGAAGAGCTAAAAATCAAAACACTGTGACAGAAATGAAGAATTCCTTTGATCTGATAATCACTACACTGGAAATGGCTGAGCAAAGAATCAGTGAGTTTGAAAATGTGTTGGTAGAGACTTTCCCAGCTGAAAAGTGAAGAGAAAAAATAATTTAAATATGAAACAAAATATCCATGAATTGCAGCACTATGACAAGAAGTATAACATATGGATAATGAAAATATCAAAAGGAGAAGAGAGGAAGGAGAAGAAGAAATATTTGAAGTAATAAAGGATCAGAATTTTCCAAAACTAATTACAGAAAACAAAACCAGAAAATTCCAAACAGGATATATGCCAAAATATGTACACTAGCGCATATTATATTTAAAACTAAATATAAGTTTAAAATTATATTTTAATATAATTAAATTAAAGACAGAAAAGGCAGAAAATTAAAGACAGAATCTTGAATGAAGTCAATGGGCAAGTCCTCTTCACCCATAGAAGAACACACATAAGGATTAGACTTCTCATCAAAATCAATGCAAAAAAAAAATGAAAGATGGACTGAAATATTTGAAATGTTGGAAGACAAAAAAAAATCCATCATCATAGAATTTTGTATCCAGTAAAATTATCTTTTAGAAATGAAAAATTGAGACTTCTGATTCCCAGTCTGGCACGTTAGGGAGCTATCCTTCCCATTCTTACAGCATGAAAAAAATATGAAGAGCTAAAAATCAACAACTCTTCTGAGATTAATCAGTGAATTGTGGTAAAAGGAAAAGCACTACTCTCTAAATCAGAGAAATAAATAGGTGGATACAGAGAATCACAGCTTGCCAGAGAAGCAGCACAGAATTAAACACAAATGATGAAACCAGTACTGGGTACATCATAGCTGGGTTTCAATTAAAAAGAAGGCATATTAAAATATAAAAAACACAATCTGAAGACATAGAGCAAGCATCAGAAATAGACTCAAATATGGCAGAGATAATTAGTGATCAGAAAAATTTCTAAACAATGAAATAAAATCAACGGAATGTTGAGAGTTTCAAAAGAAAGATATAGAGAAATACAGTATCTCATTTGGAAAAACAAATATATAATTAAATTTGTGAAAGTAATATAAATTAATAATAAGGAATTACGTGCGATTATGCGACACCATATTTAAGAATGTAGAGTTAATAGATGACTTTCTAGCAAAATACAAACTCTTATATTGATAAAAGGTAGATATTTGAATAGACCGCAAACAATATTGCAGAATTTCTACAATTCAACAAAGTCGATCAGGCCCATATCATTTTATAACTTGGTTAAAATCAACCTTATAATTCCAATGTGACTTAAATTTTTTAAAATCATAAAACATGGAAGAAACACCTCTTAATTTTTAATAGTAAATCCTGATTGAGATAATCCAAATTGAAAACAGAAAGAAAATTTACATAAAAAACTAAATAAAAAAAAGTACAGGCCCCGCTGCTACACTGAAGTGCTTTTCTTAAAGGCCCCTTGTCAAAGTGTGTTTTTTTTTTCCCCCATGGAACCCCTGCCACTCAGCTGATTTACTGCCTGCCTGCACTGCCCTGCTGGAGTGCTCTTGCTCTCAGAGCCACTACTGCTTCACCAGAAGGCTATTTCCCACATCCCCATCACTGCCCCACTGGAGCACTGTTGCTCGTGGCCCGCAATAGAGCACTGTGCCAGCAGCCCATACTACCTCAGCTATCCCAGTACACCTGG
The DNA here is from genome assembly GCF_000001405.40 of Homo sapiens. Classification (NCBI taxonomy): domain Eukaryota; kingdom Metazoa; phylum Chordata; class Mammalia; order Primates; family Hominidae; genus Homo; species Homo sapiens. The sequence continues at coordinate 188,480,060 of NC_000001.11, read as the reverse complement.
TGCTATGTCTTGAGGAGCCAGAGGACAAAGCCGTGGGCCTGGTCCCAACCCCAGGGTTAGAGCATCCAGCCCAAGAGCACCAAGCTGAGCCTTGACCCTCTGGAAGTATCCAGAAATGAAGCCAATTAACTAAACCCAATTTATACTACAGTCAAATCCTGAAGCAATAAAGAACATAAAAACAAAATGTGCCAACCAAAGGACAGCACCTTCAAAGACTGAAAGAACATTAGCCCTTACAGATGAGGAAAAATGCCAGGACAAGAATTCTGGCAGCTCCAAAAGCCTGAATGTCTTCTTATCTCCAAAAAGTTGCAGTAGCTCCCGAGCAATGGTTTTTAACCAGATTGAAATGGCTGAAATGACAGATACAGAATTCAGAATCTGGATGGCAAAGAGGCTCAATGAGACACAGGATAACCTTAAAATCCAATAAAAAGAAAACAGTAAAGCAATCCAACAATTGAAAGATGACATAGCTATGTTTTAAAAAGAAACAAACTGAATTTTTGAAAATAAAAAGTTAACTCTAGGGATTTTATAATGCAATTTGAAACATTAGCAGAATAGACCAAGCTGAAGGAAGAATCTCCGAGCTTAAAGACAATTATTTTGAATAGACATAGGCAGAAAAAAATAAACTTAAAAAATGAACAGTCCTCCAAGAAATATGGAATTATATAAATAGACTAAATCTATGACTCACTGGCATTCCTGAAAGAGGAGGACAGAGAGTAAGCAACTTGGAAAATACACTTGAATTCCATAAAAATTTTGCCAGTTTCAGTGGAGAAGTCAACATGCAAATTAAAGAAATTCAAAGAACCTCTGTGAGATACTATATAAGACAGCCATCCACCAAAGACACAGTCATCAGATTCTCCAATGTCAACACGCGCGCGCGCACACACACACACACACACACACACACACACATTAAAAGCAGCTAAGAAGGAGAAGGTGACTTACAGAGGGAAACCCATCAAGCCACAAGCAGACCTTTCAGCAGAAACTGTACAAGCCAGAAGAGATTGAGGGTCTCTTTTTTAGCATCCTTAAGGAAAAGAAGTTCTAACCAAGAATTTAATATCTCACCAAACTAAGCTTCGTAAGCAAAGAGAAATAAAATCCTTTTCAGAAAGCAAACACTAAGATAATTTATTACCACTAGACTTGCCTTACAAGAGTTCCTTAAGGGAGTTCTAAACATGCAAATGAAAAAAACACATGATACCTCAAAAACACACTTGAGTCCATAGCTGACTGATACTCTAAAGCAACTGTACAATCAGGTCTACATAACAAACAGCTAACAACACGATGACAGGATCAAATCCTCACATATCAATATTGACTTTAATTGTAAACAAGCTAAATGCTCCCACTAGAAAAGTACAGAGTGGCACGCTGGATAAAGAGGTAAGACCCAACTTTCCTCTGTCTTCAAGAGATTCATCTCAAATGTAATGACACCTATAAGTTCAAAGTAAAGGGATGGAGTAAGATCTATTAGTCAAACAACAAAAAAGAGGTAGGTGTTGCTATTCTTATATAAAACAGATGTTAAACCAACAATGATCAAAAAAGACAAAGAAGGACATTATAGAATAATAAAGTGTTCAATAAGACTCAATTATTATAAATTTATAGGTACCCAACATTGAGCACTCAGATTTATAAAACATCTTCTTAGAGACCTACAAAGATACTTAGATAACTACACAATAAAAGTGGGAGACTTCAACACCCCACTGACAGTATTAGAGAGATAATTGAGGCACAAAGCAAACAAAGATATACTAGACTTAAATTCAACACTTGAACAATTGGGCCTAATAGTCCATCTCCAGAATATTCTACTCAACAACAATAGAATATTCATTCTTCTCACCTACACATGGAACATACTATAAGAGAGATGACATACTTGGCTATAAAGCAAGTCTCAACAAAATATAAAAAACTGAAATTATACCAACTACACTCTCAGGTCACAGTGTAATAAAAATAGAAATCAATACCAAGAAGATCTCTCAAGCTCCCAGAAGATCTCTTAAAAACTTGCTCATGACTGATTTTTGAATAAAGAACAAAATTAAGGCGGAAGTAAAAAAATTCTTTCAGACAAATGAAAATCAAGACACAACATACCAAAATCTTTGAGACACAGCTAATGTAGTGTTAAGACAAAAGTTTATAGTGCTAAACACCTACAACAAAAGGTTAAAAAGATCTCAAATGAAAACATAACATTGCACCAAGAACTAGTAAAGCAAAAGTAAACCAACCACAAAGCTAGCAGCAGAAAAGAAATCACCATAATCTGAACCAAACTGAATGAAATTGACAAGTGAATATAAATTCAAAAGATCAACCATACCCAAAACTTGTTCTTTGAAAGAATAAACAAGACTGATAAACCACTAGCTAGATTAATAAAGAAAATAAGAGAGATCTAAATAAGCACAATGAGAAATGACAAAAGTGACGTTACAACTCACCCCCCAAAATGCAAAAAATTCCCAGGGACTATTACAAACACCTTTATGCACACAAACTAGAAAATCTAGACAAGATGAATACATTCCTGGAAACACACAACACTTCAAGATTGAACCAGGAAGAAGTTATATCCTGAAGACACCAATAATGAGTTCCAAAAGACCTACAAACCAATGAAGCCCTGGACCAGATGAATTCATATCTGACTTCCACCAGATGTACAAAGAAGAGCTAGTAGCAGCCCTACTAAAATTATTCCAAAAAATCAAGGAGAAGGGCCTCCTGCCTAACTCATTCTCAGAGGCCAGCATCATTCTGATACCAAAACCTGGCAGAGATGTAACAATAAATGGAATCTTCAAGCCAGTAACCCTGATGAATATAGTCATCAACAAAGTAGTTGCAAATTGAATCCAGGAGTACATCAAAAATTAATTCACCATGATGAAGTAGGCTTTATTTTTGGAATGAAAAGTTGGTTCAACATAAAGAAGTCAATAAATGTGATCCACCACAGAAGCAGAATTAAAAACAAAATCTACATTATCATCTCAATAGACACAGAAAGGCTTTTCATAAAATTCAACATCCCTTCATGTTAAAAACTTTCAACAAATATAAGCATCTAAGGAACATACCTCAAAATAATAAGAGCCATCTATGACAAACACACAGCCAATATCATACTAAATGGGCAAAAGCTCAAAGCATTTCCACTTGAGAACTGGAACAAGACAAGAATGTCAAATTCCACTACTCCTATTCATCACCGTACTGGAAGTCTTAGCCAGGGCAACCAGGCAAGAGAAAGAAATAAAAGTCATCCAGATAATAAGGGAGGAAGTCAAGCAATCTCTTTCAAAGAAGATATTATTCTAGACTTAGAAAATGCTATGGACTCTGCCAAAAGCCTCCTAGAACTGATAAATGGCTTCAGAAAAGTTTTAGGATACCAAATCAATGTACAAAAATTAATTGCATTTCTATACATCCATAATGTCCAAGCTGAGAGCCAAATGAAGAATGCAATTTTATTCACAGTAGCCACAAAAAGAATAAAATACCTAGGAATACAGATAACCAAGGTGAAGGATCTCTACAATGAGAATTACAAAACACTACTGGAAAAAAATAAGAGACATCACAAACAAATGGAAAAATATTCTATGCTCATGGATAGCAGGAACCAATATTGTTAAAATGGCCATCCTGCCAAAAGCAATTTACAGATTCCATGTTATTCCTGTCAAATCATACACATTACTTTCCAATGAATTAGAAACCATTATTCTAAAATTCATATGAAACCAAAAAAGAACCCAAATATCCAAAGGAATCCTAAGCAAAAAGAGCAAAGCTGTAGGCATCACACCACCTGACTTAAATAATTTAATAGGCAAAAACAAACAATCCCGTTAAAAAACAGGCAAAAGACGTGAACAGACATGTCTCGAAAGAAGACATACATGCTGTCAACAAATATATGAATAAATGCTCAATATCACTAATCATTAGAGAAATGCAAATCAAAGCCACAATGAGATACTATCTCACACCAGTCAAAATGGCTATTACTAGAAAGTCAAAAAATAACAGATGTTGGCAAGACTGCAGAGAAAAGGGAACACTTATACACTGTTGGTAGAAATGTAATTTAGTTCAGCAACTACAGAAAGCAGTGTGGAGATTTCTCAAAGAACTTAAAACAGTTATCATTCAACCTAGTAATCCCACTACTGGGTACACATCCAAATGAAAGTAAGTCATTCTACAAAAAAGACAAATGCACACATGTTAATTGCAGCTCTATTCAAAATAACAAAGATGTAGAATCAACCTAGATTTCCATCAACAGTGGATTGGATAAAAATATGTAGTAAACTTACACTGTGGAATACTACACACACAGCCATAAAAAGGAAGAAAATCATGTCTTCTTCAGTCCATGAATGTAGCTGGAGGACATTATTCTAAGTGAATTCATACAGAAAGAGAAAACCAAATATCGCATGTTGTCACTAATAAGTGGGAACTATACATTGAGTAAACATGAATATAAATATAAGAACAATAGACATTGAGGACTACTAGAGAAGGGAGAGAGAGAGGGAATTACGGGTTGAAAAACTACCTATTAGGTACTACATTCACCCTCTGGGTGACAGGATCATTTGTATATTAAACCTCAGCAACACATAATTTACCAGTATAAAAATAATGCACATGTACCCCATGAACCTAAAATAAAAATCAGTAAAAACTGAAAATACAGACAAAATTTTAATAACTTGATTTCAGCAACTGAAACAAAGAATACTATAACATAATTAAATAGGTTTTAGTCTTTCAAGGATAAAACAATATACAAAAGAACCAAGTAACCTAATTCTATACAAAGTAAAAAAAAGATTTTTACAGGCACTTGATAAAAACATTAGCACTCATTCATTAAGTATATGTGTTAAATTTAAATAAAATACTCACAGTAGACTTTTCTCAACAAAAAAATCAATATATATAGACTAACGGAATGCCAAAATACATTTTATACTGGGAAAAAGCCAAGGTTATAACCTGTAACCACTATTTTCAACATAATTTTGAGAGCTTTGTCTTATAAGAAATAAAAATAAAACAATATTTTTCTGATGCTGTGCTCATTAAGTAGCTCATTGTACCATGGTGTGACTTTGAAACATGATTAAGTCTCAATGTGCTCATATGTAAAATAAAGGTAATAAGAAAACATACCTGTTTTGCTGTGAAGATTAAATTAATTAAAATACTCGAAGCATTTAGAAGAGGGTCCAGCACATAGTAATTACCGTAGATGTGCTTGATGGTGTTCACTGTTACCAGACCTAAAAGCAAAAACGGTAAGATAAGTATCCACATTTACAATTGGTAAAAGATTAATAACTACCCACAAATGTCTTATGAATTTTAACAGGTATGTTATATGTTGCTTCTCTCAGAGCCAGAAACAAGAAATGACTAATACTGGAGAGGAGATTTTTTTTTTTTTTTTGAGATGGAGTCTTGCTCTGTTGACCAGGCTAGAGTGCAGTGGCCACGATCTTGGCTCACTGCAACCTCCACCTCCCGGGTTCAAGCAATTTTCCTATCTCAGCCTCCCGAATAGCTGTGATTACAGGCACCCACCACCGCCCCCGGCTAATTTTTTTTTTTTTTTTTTAAGTAGAGACGGGGTTTCACCATCTTGGCCAGGCTGGTCTTGAACTCTTAACCTCGTGATCCACCCGCCTTGGCATCCCAAAGTGCTGGGATTACAGGCGTGAGCCACTGATCCCGGCAGAGAGGAGATTTTATAACTAGAGGATTCGTTACTCTGAATGTCCCCTTATAAAGAGTGTCATGTTTGGCACCAAATAAAGATATTGATGATGATGTTGATGATAAAAATAATTAACATCTGTTGATTTCTTATTATGTAATTTGCCAGGTTTAGAGTTGCTAATTATTTGCCCTCATGTTAATTTTTATTCCGTCCAAGTTTTATTTCTTGTCATTTCATAGCCTGGGATGGATAGTAAATCGCCAATGAGACTTTCAGTATAAATGAATAGAGCAACAATCAATCAAACAATCAATCAATAACAATTCTATTGATATTTGTGGAGAGTGAACTGAACATGTAATGTATTTTCATATTAAGCATTCTGTCTGATTATACACTGATCATATTATATAGTTGATACGGTTGATCAAAGCAAGTTGATTTGGGACTAATATAATTTTTTATTGCAATTTCATTTTGAAATACACTTTCTTTTTTCTTTTCTTTTTCTTTCTTTTTTTTTTTTTTTTTTTTTTAGACCGAATCTTGTTCTGTCGCCAAGGCTGGAGTGCAGTGGCACAACCTTGGCTCACTGCAACCTCCGACACCGTGGTTCTAGAGATTCTCCTGCCTCAGCTTCCCGAATAGCTGGGATTACATAGGTACGCGCCACCTCGCCCAGCTAATTTTTGTATTTAGTAGAGACTGGGTTTCGCCATGTTGGCCAGGATGATCTCGATCCCCCAACCTCGTGATCCGTCTGCCTGGGCCTCCCAAAGTGCTGGGATTACAGGGGTGAGCCACTGCGCCCGGCCTGAAATATACTTTCAAAGAAAAACATTATTAGGCCAGTTGTAGAGAATGTGCTATAATATTCATGAAAGTTACATTATGAGAAATTGGGGGAAAAAGTTTTATTTTCACAATAAATGTATCCATATGAAATGTAGAAAATGTAAGCCAGGGAAATAAAATGTAGGTTCCCTAATGAGACCCACTTATAACCTAGGCCATTTAGTTCCATGAGTCAGACTCACCACTTCTTAATGTCACACACACACAAGTAATTCAAATAAATATTTCTGCAAAATGAGAAGATTCTGTACAATAAAATGCTCTTAACATTTATAAAATCTCATGTTAAACTATGTTTATGAAGACTTTGTGTACTACTTTATATTATCTATGAATCCTAGAGAAGAAATTTGCCTCAGATTTCAGTGTCCAGAAAAACTTATTGTCTTGTAAGCCTGTTATATATATTTCCTTGATCAGAACTTGCTCAGATAAATGTAGTTCCAATCTCTATCCAAGTAATAATATTTTAAGATATGTATAGTTGCGTGTTAGCTTTACTCTTAGATTTATTCAATTTTATCATTCTTATTTTTGTTTTAATCCATATTTTTGATTTATTTGTTTTGTTTTATCTAGTCATAATCTTTTTAAATCTTGTAATAAAATATGAGAAAGTTTAATGCTACAGGAGTGGTCACATGCTAGTGTGGATAAAGCACAGAGGAATTTGTAATGAATATTGGAATGTGAAACCAGACTGTTAAATTAGATACAAAAGTTAAAGGACTAATACATCACAGTAAGGAATTCTCTCTTGATCATTTTACAGGCAGCTAGAAGAAGCCAGAGAGCACCTTCAACCCTCTGCTTACACATCCCCTCATCCATTTTGTTAGATGCATTTTCTATTATACTTATCTCCCTAGGAGAGACGTTTCTAAACTTCCCAACATCTTTCTCCCAACTTCCAATAAAATCTTCAGTTTCATTTAAGCCTTTAGTATCAGACTACTCAGTTGGCCATCAGATTTGTGCTCTCTGATAGGCTTTAACCAATAGTGTCTACAAGGCCCACCCAGCTCATGCACATCATTCCCACATTGTTTTAGGTGTTTTTCACAGTACCATGCCATTCTGTTACAATAAGTATTTCCAGTTACTATGGCTATTAAACAAATAGCTGCAAAATTCAGCAAACCAACTATTTATTATGCTCACAGTTTCAATGGGCAGAAAATTTAGATGAGGCATGGTTAGAATGGCTATTTTCCATGATATCTAGGGCCTTAGTAGGAGAGCTGAAAGCCAGAGGCTGTAATCATCTCAAAACTTAGTTATATGTCTGACATCAATTGATGCTGACTGTTAGTTAAGCCCATAGCAGAGACTTTTGGATGTGATATTTAACATAACCACATCATGTGACCTGGCATTCACACTTTGTGGTTACTGACATCCACCAGTAAACAGAGAGAGACTAAGTCTGGCCCCACATATATTGGAACATATATTCCATGTCTTGATAAAGTAGAGGTGCATCAATGTCACATCGTAGGAACAATATGTGCGATGGGATGTATTGGTGGAGCTATTTTTGGGATATTCAATTGGCTATACTATTTTATTGTTAATGCATATTTTTCCCTTTTACGGTTATTAAGATAATGCCTTTATGAGCATTCTTCAAAACATATTTTTAGCTTTTGTGTACAAAATTTATTTATCAATTGTATATTAAGTAATGACATTGATAGATAATAGATATTCCAGGTTTTGTAACTGTATGTGTATTTTTTATATAACAATGCATTTTTGTTAGGTCTATGCATAGTAATGACATTGGTGACATAATATATGTATGTGTACACATACGTGTGTGTACATGAACACACACATATGTGTACACATACATATATTACATATACATACCAATTTATACCCATTTATGAAGACTATAGTAGATAATTTTCCAAAGAATTTTTATGAATTAGTACTCTGTATTACTGATATTTTTAATTTTCACCATTATGGCAAATATTTGTATCTCAGTATAGCTTAAATGTATATTTTCTAGATTTTTAAGAAGTGTGTGTTTTTATATGCTTTGACATCCGAATTGTCTTCTGTATGAAGTTCATATTCAAGACTTTTGCCTGTTCTTTATTGAATAATTTATCTTTTGGTTATTGATTTATGAGTTCTTTAAATAATGTGATTATAAGGTTATTTTTGAATATAAGTTCCATGTTATTTTGTTAATAGCCTTGCTTTATACTCACTTGACGGGTGCCCTCTAATTATCAGAGTTTGTAATTCCAACTTGTTACATTTAGTAATATCTGCCTTTGTGTTTAGTAGTTTTGATGCTGTTTTTACAAAATATGCTTATCTCTCAAGCTGATGAAGGTATTTTTCTATCTTATATTCTATATTTTAGCATTTTTATTAGTTTTTATTCACATTTAGAAAATATGAAATCAATTTGAAATTTGATTTTTCTGTACAATATGGATAGGGATCAAGTTTTAGTTTTTGCTTATGGATATTGAATTGACCCAGCCTTATTTATTAAAAATATCAACATTTTATATTGATTGGTAAAGTCTCCCGCATCAAAATTTATGTATTAATGAGTGGATTAGTTTTGGAAGCAAAGTGGGTAATATTTTGATCCAATATCCTACGTTGACTTAAATATATGGCAAGTTAAAGCATTTTACTTTGTTATTTAAAGGTTTTTAAATAATAGCTTGTTTGTTTGTTTTTGTTGTTGTTGTTTTGAGACAGAATTTTGCTCTTGTTGCCCAGGCTGGAGTGCAATGGCGCGATCTCAGCTCACTGCAACCTCCATCCCCCGCGTTCAAGTGATTCTCCTGCCTCAGCCTCCCGAGTAGCTGGGATATGTGCATTATAGGAAACTAAAAATCACAAAAGGCAAATAACAAATGCATCCATAGTCATAAGCAGTTTAAAGTTTGATGTGTCCTTCTAGGTCCTGTGTGTGTATAGTCACAACATCTCATTTTATGAAGTTGAGTTTGAAAGGTTATGTATCATGCTGTTTCAAACACCAGAAATATTTACTAATTCAAAATCCTTAAGCCATATGAGAGTATTTTGAGAACCAAAAATACACCACACCATCAAGTTTTTTTTTAACCAGTCTTGTTTATTTTTAGACATTAAACCTAAAATGATTTACTTTTATCATGACAATGAGTCCAGTACTAGGATATCTATCATGCTGCATCACAAATTTACAAAGTCTCTGTCTATTTGGGTGGCTACAACAGAATACCATAAACTAGGTAGCCTATAAACATCAGAAATTTATTTCTCATAGTTCTTCAGGCTGGGGAGTCAATTAAAGTTGATGCAGATTCAGTGTCTGGTGAGGACCTGGTTTTTGGTTAACAGCTGGTGCCTCTTTGCTGTGCCCTCACATGGTGGAATGGTCAAGGCAGCTTTCTGGGGCCTCTTTTATAAGAGCACTAATAACCATGAGAGTTCTGCCTCATGACCTACTCATCTCCCAAAGTCCCCATTTTCTATTAATAATACCATCACATTGGTGATAAGATTTTAATATATACATTTTGGGAGAACATAGACATTCAGAACATAGCAGAAGGTAATATTGTTGTGTTGGTTATTGAAGAGCATTCAATAGGTACCTCTAATGAAATATCTTGGAATTGTTCAAATGGAAGTATGTATCAATTGTATGATACAAAATATGAGATACCAGACCCAATATGATGAGATTACCATAAGAATTATCAGTTAATTATTTGAGTCATATGAAAATTTTGTTTTATTAGTTTAATGTGACTTGCAAACAAATTAAATTTATTTAAGAGAATCAATAGATGAAATAGTTATATCACTTTAATAAAAGAGTGATGATATCTAATTTATTCTACTAGATATTAAAATATATTTTAAGACTATAATAATTATCAGTGTCAGAATAATGCTATGAGACAAGACAATCCTTGATAGAAAATTATCTTTTTAATGAAAATATCATAGGATTAAATTCGACTTATTTAATATATTTTTAATACATAAAACTCATTAAATGAAAAACCTAGAGTTTTCTTCAAATAAAATCTTCCTTAGAGAGAAAAATGTGAAATTCTTATCAGCAGCAAACGAATGATTAAAGTGAATTTGAAAAGTTCAAATGTCTACTTTGAAGACTTCTGCCAGATTTGCAGAAACCAAGAGTTTTGTGCTCCATAATCATAAAATCATGGTGACCAACAAAACAAAACAAACACACTTTGGAGCAAATGTAAAAGGCAACAAACCTGAGGGGTCATCAGCAATATGGGGAGGAAATATTTGCCTCAGTTATAATAAATAATAAGTTGTCATAAAAAAATATAGAAATAATTCTTATAAATAAATGAAAAGATGTTTAGATAAATTGATTTGGTAAAGCAATTTCTTTCAATCTTTGTCTATAGCACACATAGGAAGAGGCAATCAGCATCTCACAACTGTAAGCCATTTGAAGCACACTGGTATATAACAACACACCAGAGGGGAAACTCCAGTTTTAAGAGCATACTGACACCATTGCCTGTACCTCTGACTTGGCATTAACACCATGGTTATACATTCTTAAGTTTAATCTCTTCTATCAGCTAGGAAGTACTCTAGTTTCAATGCAATCCATCAGAATATGGATCCAGAGTGACAGGATTAAAACAAACATAAATAGATGATCACATATTAGCTAAGAACTATATACTCGACATCTAATAGGAGAAAAGAACATTTATATACAGTGACTAGACATGTTCCCATTTAGACGTGTGAGGTTTTGAGTGCTTTACTTTGATACGCTCTTAGGAAATGCCAATATTCCTGCCTTCAGACGTAAAGTGGGGGTATCTATACACAAAGTCTCTTCGTAACACCATATTGGTCAATGACAAACCACATATATGACTGTGGTTCTATAAGATTTTATTGGAACTGAAAATATTCTATCACCTAATGACATAATAGCACAATGCATTACTCATGTATTTATGGTTATGCTGGCATAATCAAACGCACTGTGCTTCTAGCCACCTAAAAGTTTAGCCCATACAATTATGTACTGTACATAATACTCGATGATAATAAATGACTATGCTACTGGTTTGTCTATCTAACATACTATAAATTGTGTCATTATTTTAAAGTGTTGTGTTTCTATGTATTAAAAAAATTAAGGGTAAAACAGCCTGTGACAGGTCTTTCAGGAGGTATTCCAGAAGGTATTGTTAACTTAGAAGATAAGAGCTCCATGCATTTTATTGCCTCTGAAGACCTCCCAGTGGGATAAGGTGTGGAGGTGGAAGACAGTGATGATGATCCTGACCTTGTGATGGCCTAGACTAACGTGTGTGTTTGTGTCTTAGTTTTTAACAAAAGAAAGTTTAAAACATAAACAATTGAAAATTGAAAATTTTAGAAATGGAAAAGGATTTGTAAGATAAGGCTATGTAGAAAGAAAATATTTTGTACAACTGTACAATGTGTTTGTGTTTTATCATGAGTAAAATTACAAAAGAATCCAAAAGTTTAATAACATTTAAAAGTTTATAGAACAAAAAAGTTACAGTAAGCCAAGGTTAATTTATTACTGAGGTAAGAAAACATTTTTATGAATTTAGTGTAGTCTAAATATACAGTGTTTATAAGGTTTAGAGCAGTGTACAGGAATGTTCAAGAACTTCACATTCACTAACCACTCACTTACTGACACCCAGAGCAACTTCCAGTCCTGCAAGCCTTATTCATGGTAAGTGCCAAAAACATATGCACCATTTTTTATCTTTTATAGTGTATTTTTACTGAACAATACAAGAATATTTACCATTTTGGTGCAATTACTTACAATATTCAATACAGTCACAGTTTTGTAGCCTAGGAGCAATGGGCTGTACATATTGCTTAGTGAAGTAGGCTATACTATCTAAGTTTGTGTAAGTACGCTCTGTGATATTCACACAGCAACAAAATTGCCTAACAACAATTTCTTAGAATTTATCATCATTGTTAAGCCACACAGGACTGTAAACAATATATCTAACAAGTAAATTATAATTTTATTCATATTACACTTTTTCAGAACTCTAACTGTCCAACTCAATGAGAATCTTTGAAAAGATTAAGTAAATCTATGCTCATAAATCATTAAGATGTAGTATTAGTGGCTAAAGCTAGTATATTAAAAATAATCATTTAGTTCTTCATCTTACTAAAAATGAAGTAAAATACAACTATTAATAACAACAACACCTTGGGAAATGGGTTACTAACAGAGACTGAATTACAACAAAATTTGGAGGCCAACAATTGGATAGTTCAGGGAGAAATTTTTTGTAGCTTCAGTTTCTAGACCTCACTGAGAAGGATACAGATAGAAATGCAACCGGTTGCTTCTCCCCAAACCAGGAGAATAATAGAACTGCAATATCATATTTGCAGGAGACAGTGGGAGCAAATTTGAACCAATGTTTCTGTACAGAACGGGAGATCCAGCTGTCCTCCTCATGTATTTTACACACAGGCTGCCCACAAACCCACGTCTGCTTGTTAGATAAGAAACAGGAATTCACTTCCCTAAAGAATAGAGATGAATGTGACTTTCAGAAATTTATTAATTTCTAGAACAGCCACAGAATTCAAAATTCATCTAAACATGAAGCATGCCAGTCTTCAAAGCTGTCCCCTGAACATGGGTCTCTTAGTAACTTGAACGTAAATAGATTACGACATCAAGTTGCTCCACACTGTAAGTGACAGCATCATCATTAAGACAAAATGATTTGTGACCAGGATATATGTATGTGTGCACATGTGTGTGTTAAGATTACACAAAAGTTTAATAAAATGAAAGAGAATCAGAGTGTGCTTAGTCAAAACACGTGCTGTACAACTTTGCAATGTTCCCCACTGCTCTCAGACAACCCCTATTGTCTTGTAATTGTGTACTTTACAAATTTACATTACTTACTGGATATTGAAATATGTGATTCCTAGATGACAATAATAAGCAATAGGTGGATTTTATATCATTTTGCAGTTCATGATACATGGTAAGGTGACTGCTGGTAGGTAGCCTGGGAAACGATAAATCAAATAAGGTCAGGTGGCAGTTAGAGCATTTTGTGAATTAAGTCTGATATTCTCTCAGGTCCAAATAAAAAAGTTTAATGAGCAAATTTTATTTCACTGGTGAGAAGCATTGGTGGTTGCTTCTTATATTATGTTGACATAAAAATCAACTGGCCGTAATAAGGCTGTTGTGCAGTTGTATATGATTTTTCTATTTATTAAGATTAGAGTTCCTTGCCATTTTTTGTCCACAGAACAATAATTCATTGAGAATTTTAACCAACCCATTTTACTCTTTGATATGGAGTTCTTTTGCCTCATTATAAGTTGCTCTTTATCTCTTATCTTTAGATTTATTTAAGAACTCTTAAGTTTTTTGCTTACATTCATTATTCTTTATCTTTATTTTTTATAAGAATGAAAAAAAATTCAGGAAGAAACTAGTCTCCTTCAACTAATTTCTAAAGGTTCTTGCTCTCATCCTCTAATCAGGAAGGTCAGCAAAGCTATATAGTCAATAGTTTAATGGAGTACCTGGCCTCCCAACTCCTGACCTCTTGCACTTTCCATTCTGCTAAAACTCCCTGACCTTAAAATGAATACCTTCATTAGCTTTCAATCAGAGACATACTGCTATTAAAACCTAAGATTTTTACAGTGTATAGCTAATCTCATTTCTTATTTCTCCTCTATTTATATCATAATTCTCCTTAAAGTGCTCAAATTTTTATCTTTTTCATATTACAAATTAAATTGGATTAAGCACGATTTTTGAATGCTTAAAAACCCCGTTTCCTAAATAGCTTTATTAAGATATCAGCTTTTTAAATGTGGTTGAAAAGTCAACCTCAAGCTCAGTCAAAATACCTGATTTCTGTAAGAGAATTATCATTCCCTTCAGCTGATTATTTTCTCACACTGGCAATTTAAAATGAATAGCAACCACGTGATATAATTATTAGCTACCTACTTTGCAAGTGAATTCACTAGGTCATACCCTTTTGGAAGCTGTTACTTATCTAACGTTTGAAAGTAATATACTGCTTCTAATAACTAGCTTCATTATATGAAATGATTTTAAATAGTTATTTAATCCTGATCCAACACCCACTGGCAGAGGTCCACAGCTTGGACCCTGTTGGGAAGAGAAAATTATTTTTACAATGTGGTCATTTACTAGAGTAATATTTATTAAAATGTGTCTTACAGAATACAGATCTAAGAAACACTTAATGAGAAATGTTTTCCAAGGGCAAATCAATTTTGTAAATACTGCCAATTATGTTCTCCTCGACAAAATAATTTAGTGTATTAAAAGCTCTGAGAATGCCTGCAATAAGGAAATGTATTTGATGTTGTTTAAGCTGGAAATTCCCAGAATTATTTGCCTAAAGTAATGAACAAATTTCTATTTTAAAAAAGCACAGGTTAAAATATATTTGGGCCTAATATTTCACGGATCGTTTATAAGATATTATTCTAAAAATTTCACAGTCACATGGAATATATGCAAATTATGTTTTCTATACACTCTAAGAGAATGAAAATCGATGTCTACTGATAATTTGTGTTACACTTTCACAAGAACTCATGTTATACTTCAACTATCAGTAATATAGGCTTAGATATAAACATGAACACGTGTAGGACTGAACTTCTTTAAAATTCATCTACTCACTGTCTAGAAAAAGCAGAATATAGGAAGTTTCACCATTACTAATTTAAGTAATAAGTTGCATCTAATTAAATATGACTGCTTTATTCAAAGTAAAATTTTAGAGAAAGAGTAGGTTTTTAAAGCTGCTGATGCTTGGTGTGGTATCTCACACTTGTAATCTCAGTCGTTTGAGAGGGAAGAGGCAGACTTGAGGACAAGAGTTTGAGATTAGCCTGGACAACAGAGTCCTTGCCTCTACCAAAAAAAAAAAAAAAAAAAAAAAAAGTCACGTGCCTGTAGTTCCAGCTACTCAGGAGGCTGAGGCAGGAGGATCCTTTGAGCCCAAGAGTCTGAAGTTACAGAGAACTACAATTGTGTTGCTGCACTCCAGTCTGGGTGGCAGAGCAAGACCCAGTCAATAAACAAACAAATATATGAATAAATAAATAAATTAATTAATTAAATGGCAGGAATATATAAAAATATACTTATGAGTGTTCAGAGTTTACTTACAGAACTCCTAATAATTTAATTATTTTCCTTACTCGCCATCTGGTGGCAGAAAACCTCAGAGATATTTTCAGTCTGAGTGAACTGATAGTGTGGGTTAGGATTTATGAAGCCTCTAGCATCTGTAAATAATCACTGGAAGGGTAATACTGAATATGCAGGTTATTTCTAAAGGATCTTACAAAATGGTGGTGTAAGCTCTAAGTATAGAAAGATTGTGGTAAGGTACAAAATTCAGCTTCTGTAAACGAGGCAAACAACCGTTTGTTGACAACATCAAGAAGCAGAGAAAACCACTTGCAGAGATGGTGGAGAAAGAGAACTTTGGAAAACTACATTGGCATTTGCTGCATTTAACTTCACTTTGTCTAGCTTCCCTTTTCCTGTGCTTTGATATAGCTCACTTCTCATAATATTCAACTATGAGATCTTGTCCTAAATACCCAGAGCCACTTGAGACTTCCAAATAATCATATTTAATAAAAGGTCATTTAGGTTCAGAGTGACTCTGAATGAAAATTAAGAAAAAATAATAGTAAAACGTCATACATCAATTTGATAACATTTTTATTTGAATCTCATACTTTATATTTAAAAAATACACACACTTGATAGTAGTGTCTTTTCCCAAATTCACAACTACTGTTTTGTTTCTCTTAAATTGACAAGAAATTTAGGTATTTTTGAGACATGGAATTTATATTTCTAGACTCTATTTCTGGTCTTTAAATTGAATATGTTTTCAGCAAATATTTATATAATTTCATCAAAATAAGTCTGTAGATAGAAATATACTTGCAATATAACATTATTTCACAAAGGTTAGATAAAATATAAATCATTTCTAGTTAGGAAATAAAGGATTGCTGTTTTGAACCGTTATTTAAAGAATGAAAAGGATTACAATATATAGGTTTGGCAAATGGGTGTGGCATACAAGTATTTGAATGGAATTGCCTCTGCCTTCCATAGTATTTTCATATTAAGTGCATGAAAAATGTACATTGACTTTACTTGGAAAAAATAGTTAAGTTTTGAAAACCTAAATTATTACTATATTGTGGAAGATCTCAAACACTAAAATATTTAGACAGATAAGCAATGAGAAATCATTTAAGATTTTTGTGTAAGGGATGATGTAATGCTATGCAATTTTAGAAGATCAGTGTGGGGAAAGCATGAAGGCAAGGAAAGTTATAATAGTTGTATTATACTGGCCCACCTAATTGTAATAGCTTTTGGAATAAGTGTTATCAATGGATGTTGAATGAAAGGCCCAGATGTGCAACACAGGGTGATTCAGTAAGACACAAGAAGAGAATGGCATTAAGAATATCAATCTAGAGACACAATGTTGACATTGGTCTAATTAGCTGCATAGCTCTGGAAATATTAATACCTGACCTCACCAAATCTAAGTTTACAGGTCTCTAAAAAGGAGATAACAGTGGCTTTTAAGGTTATATAAAATAATTTGTGTGATCCTCTTAGCAAAGTCCTTGGCACAATGCTCAAAAGTTAGTTATCCTAATCCCTAGTATGCTATTTTTAAGTTACTCAAATTTATCTTTTCTTGTGCTAATTTTATACAGCTAAATAGTTCAAATAAACAAAGCTTGGGTAAGTAATATGTCTCTGATTAAAATTTATTAGGAATCAAGTGGATATAAAGGTCAGAAATGCATAATTAAAGGGAATGATATGTCAATCCTGAATTTACATATTATAGTTTAGATGACTGCAAATAAAATATTTTTTTTCCTAAATGAAAACCTCAGAATGCAAAATGGTTCTGAGTCAATCAGTTTAGGTTCTTTAAGGTATGGAATATATCACTGAGATACAAACTAAAGGAACTTACTTTACATAGCAGACATTGTTATTCAGTAAATGCAATAGTAATTGTGGTTTTTGCATTGTTGGAATGCCGTTTGATATTGGAAAACATTCTTAAGTATAAATAAATGTGGTTATGTCACGTATTATTTTAATGGGCATTTCTTGCTTTATGTTTTCTTGCTAATGATTTATTACTTGATTTTTTTAATGCTTATTTTAGAGTATGGAAGTGATGTTAGACAAAAAGCAAATTCGAGCAATTTTCTTATTTGAGTTCAAAATGGGTCGTAAAGCAACAGAAACTCACAACATCAACAACGCATTTGGCCCAGGAACTGCTAACGCACATACAGTACAGTGGTAGTTCAAGAAGCTTTGCAAAGAAAACAAGAACCTTGAAGATGAGAAGTGTAGTGGCCGGCCATCAGAAGTTGGCAATGACCAACTGAGAGCAGTCATCGTAGCTGATTGTCCTACAACTACAAGAGAAGTTGTCAAAGAACTCAACGTCAACCATTCTTCGGTCATTTGCATTGGAAGTACATTGGAAAAGTGAAAAACCTTGATAAGTGGGTGCCACAGGAGCTGAGTTAAAAAAAATCATTTTGAAGTGTCATCTTCTCTTATTCTAACAATTCTAATTCTAAACAATGAACGATTTCTCAATCGGATCGTGACATGCCATGAAAAGTAGATTTTATAGGACAACCGGAGACAACCACCTCATTGGTTGGACCCTGAAGAAGCTCCAAAGCACTTCTCAAAGCCACATTTGAACCAAAAAAATGGTCATGGTCTCTATTTAGTGGTCCACTGCGGGTCTGATCCAGTACAGCTTTCTGAATCCTGGAGAAACCATTATATCTGAGAAGTATGCTCAACAAATTGATGAGATGCACCAAAAACTGTAACGCCTGCAGCTGGCATTGGTTAACAGAAAGAGCCCAATTCTTCTCCATGACAATGGCCAATCGCATGTCGCACAACCAATGCTTCAAAAGTTGATTGGACTACAAACTTTTGTCTCATCCGCCATATTCACCTGACCTCTTTTCACCTGACTACCACTTCTTCAAACATCTCAACAACTTTTTGCACGGAAATTTCTGCAGGATGCAGAAAATGCTTTCCAACAATTCGCTGAATCCCAAAGCATGAATTTTTACACTACAGGAATAAACAAATTCATTTCTTGTTGGCAAAAGTGTGTTGATGATGATGGCTCCTATTTTAATTAATAAAGATGTGTTTGAGCCTATTTATAATGATTTAAAATTTAAGGTCCGAAACCACAGTTACATTAGCACCAACCTAACTTTACTGAAAGCGATTCTACAAACAATTTTTAAATCTTTTAAAAATTTTTAAACAATCTAAATGTTTTTCTTCTAATCTTATATTTCTGTGCTAACTCTCTGGTTATAAGCATCATATGTTTGAAGAGATGTACACTCATGGATACATTAATAATGACAAAAGTTTAGGATGTTCTTCAACATGGAATAATTATCTAGAAAAATATTTTAGCTTTCAGTTTTTCTGTTTGAACATGTAAAAAAAAGGCTTAGAATTCCGATGCAGTTTCTTAATTGCTTTGAGGGTTTTTAATTTTATTTAATTTATTTATTTTAGAAAGGGTCTCCATATGTTGCCCAGGCTGGAGTGCAGTGGCACAATCATGGTGCACTGCAGCCTTGACCTGCAGGGCTCAACTGATCCTCCTGCCTCAGCCTCCTGTTTAGCTGGGACCACAGATGTGAGCTGCCACACCTAGCTAATTTTTTAGTTTTATTTTTTGTAGAGACGGGGTCTCCCTATGTTTCCTTGGCTGGTCTCCAACTTCTGGGATCAAGCAGTCCTCCAACCTCAGCCTCCCAAAGTGTTGGGGTTACAGGCATGAGCCACTGAGCCTGGCTTAGTATTTTTAATTTTGAAGGATATGCATCCTTGTTATGACATAGTTGATATTCCATTGATACTTACACTTCTTTTCCATTCCAGGTAGTGTCTTAAAAGTTGTCATTAACTAAGGAATTTTTTTCTATATCATGAATTTTTAACAATAAACACATTAAAAAGTCATTAAGCTCTCCTCCTTCATATGTGTGTCTACTAGTGGTTTCATTCCATTTGAAACTAATCATTTGTTAAAAAAAGTGTTAACTTTTAATTGTTCTAATATATTATAGTTAATATACATGTACCAGAAGTGTAATGTAAAAAAAGTAATTTGCCAATAATCTACTTTTTCTTTAGAGCATATTTTCTATTAACTTCAAATATTATTTTGCAAGTTACTTAACTACATAATGTACTAACTTTTGTTTTTATTAATGAACTGCAGCTTTAAATGTTATAGCAAGTGTTGATCTCTTCATTGTTCTCAGTGGAAATAGTTACTATGTTAGCCCCACTAAACATTGTTTTCTTTTTCTTCAAAGTTACAACTGGCTTACACAGGAGAAAACTGGCTTTTATTTAAAGATAGGCAAAAACCTTCGCAGTAAGTTATACTCTGACACATATTTCCAATTTAGAATTCAACCTGGCCTTCAGTTAATTTTTTCCATAGTTGCTATCTTTTCATCGTGCTGCATAATTTATTACTGGTATTATTCTAAATTACCTATAGGATATAAAACTAAACTTTTAGTCATTTAAAACAACACTTTTTTTTGTTCAATGAGTATGCCTATCATGGTTTGGCACCAGAGATTGATCATATTTGTCTCTCAGGGACACTGGCTGACAGAGGGTCGGATGTGACACACACTGTTACCATATCAAGGGCAAGGACAAAACAAAGTGGTTACTGGCTTTAAGAGCTGATGCCCAAATACTACACATACACGTTTTTGCAATTCATTAGCCAAAATAATTCCTGAGTTCCAGTAAACAAAAAGAGTGATCTCAGATTATCTCTAGCACAAGACAATAGGACATTCATGAATAACCTTAATGATGATAATAAACCATACTTCAGGTCAAAAATATTCATATTAGGCTCATACTTCTTTCTGACACTAAATGTTACTATTTTAAGTATCCTCTTTCTCAACAGAGAAAACTACAAAGCCTAACCTAATAATAACCTCAAACTCAAAGCCCAGGTATGGTATGTCTCGGTCCAGAAAACTTCTAATTTAAAAGACTCTTTTGTTACCTCACATTTAATAATTGAACAGATATGGAATAACTACAGCAAACACCCCTATAATAAACAGGTACAAAGTTGAGTTAACAGCCACTTGTTGGTAGCTTTTGCTAAGTCTCACTAGACAGAACTGGTGGTGGCCTTCCACACTGGGATAGAAACTGTGCCTTGATTAGTCCCTGATTCCAATTCTGTGGAAAGTTCCCCAGTAGAACTGGTTTTATGAGTGTGACACAAGTATAGACACACAGAGTCCTACTTTCAGGAACTTTTCTGCCCTTGATTAAATGCTCTGCTGTCAACTGTCTTGAAATTCTTAATCATTTCATCTTTGAACTTGTGTTTTGTAGGTGAAGTTTCACTGGACAGTAGAATCTGCCTGTGAGCAGAGGAGATATGCTGGGTAGCAGCAAGCACATATAGGCTCAGGCCATGGTGATGGTAGATGGCAGGAGGGGTTTAAGGAGTATCTAGGGGAAAGAATAAGCAATGTGTCCACTGAGTAGTTGACATGGCTCACCAGCACACACATACATGCCTGAGCAATTGGAGCCATGGGGCTCAGAGGTGATGCCCTAGGGATATAAATTATGACAGTGATAAGGGCAATAGCAGCAGAAGTAATCACAATGAAAATATAGGCTACAGTCCTGGGAAAGAGGAGGCAGGTGCTCTTCCTGGGGGAAGCACAAGCCCTGAATTGAGAGGTCATTTTGTCTGTAGACTCCTAGAGCATTTGCAAAAATATTAATTCTATACTAAATCAGGAACTGCAGGCACTCAGAGTAAATTTTTTCAGTTAATTATTACAAAACTGAAGCATAGACATCATCAAATAAAAACAAATCAGACTTAAGTAAGGAGAGACTTTACTAGAAAAGATTACTGCAATATCAAGAATGTTTCTACCACGGAATGTGTAGGCAGCTCAATATCAAACAGTAAAAGGCTTTCTTTTATGGGGTGAACTAAGCATCATGAATAAGAACTTTTAGGAGAATCATGGCAAGAGCTGGAGGTGACACCATGACTGAGATGGCTTACCAGGAAACATGCATTTCTGTGATCAGAATGAGCTATTAAAAGAAGATGTCTGCTTGGATAAACCTAAAAGTGAACCAAAGGTCAGGGTATTGCAAAGACAATAAAAGGCTGACTAAAGAGTGGTCAAGCCAAGTTAGAGGGTCAGTCATGGAAAATTGTGAGCATTTGGCTAAGTTCTCTCTATCAGAGAAGACGAAGACTGTACTTAAACACAATTAGAGATAAAATAAGAGTCATTGTCAGGCTGAGGCTAACCAATGCAATTTTCAGAAGTGGGCTGGACTTTATGTTATAGCTGGCCTTGAAGGACAAGCCATATCACCTGTTAAGTATGTTGTCTGAATGACAGCTGTTGGAGGAGTGAGAGAGTAGGCACTTGGTGAGACATATGAATAGGAATATAATAAAAATAACAATTGTAATTTTGCAGGGAGTGAAACAGGATCCAAAATCTGAAGAGAGCCATGTTAGAGGATTTCAAGACATTGGATTCAAAGTGTATTAGATTGCAGAATGGGGACAAGAGAGATAATCTAACAAAGTTCCCAGTTTCCCATCTAAATATTTTTGGTTATTGACATAGACATCAGTGAAGTCCCATGGAAGATATACATAACCATCACTTGTGATCACTGTGGAAGAGCTTCCTCCAGAGATGCCTAATGGCAGATGATTGTAGAGGACAACTCATTGGAGTTACTGTAGTTCTCTAGTGATGATGTTGGTGGTTTTGGTAAGAATGACAGTCCTGGTTATTTCTTAAGGCAGAACACTGAAAATATTGGCATTCTAGTGACCTTGAGTTGACCATGGGGCAGCTGCTCCAGGAAAGAATACACGATCTGCTGTAATAATCAAGTCCTTTAAGTTTACTCTCACTCGTTTAACCTTTCATTCTAAGGCTAATCGAGAATCTTGTGAGAAAGTAAGGTTACAACCTCCTTCTGGGGCTGGAATTGTGCACCAAAGTCTGTAGTCGTAATACATTTTTTGTAGACTTTTGGATCATCTGGTACCTAGAAAACTTAAACCTTATGCAATAGAGTGGTTAAGGTGAGAAAATAAGACATTGTGATTAAAGATTTGATAAGAACTAATAAAGTTAGCTGAATAACAGGATCCAATTAGTGGGCAGGTACCTATAGGCATGGTTGCCACAAATAAAATATGTCTTGTTAGTAGTTATCCAGGTTTTGTGTAAATAATTGTCCCATGATTTTGTATTTTGGAGTCTATAGGACATCTTTGGATGAAGATACCATCTTGTCCACTTGGGAAGAGAAAAGTTTCTTTAATGAAGACAATTATCCCAAGCATATCAGATAAAATTGTATTTATGATTTTCTAGGTCTATTAAAGCACATAACAAGGCAAGGAATATGAACTCTTGCCTTTCATTGTAAAAACATATGTATTTTTATTTGTTGCAGAGTATTTATAATTACAGACACTTAGGCCCATGAAACTGTCCTTGGTTATGTTAGGGTGGAAGCATATACAGCTCTTTTGAAAACATTGAAGTTGAAGGAAGTTCTTGTTGAAGTTTAGAGAGAAAACCTAAAGGGCTTCTGAGTGATAACGTAAATGCCCTTGAACCTGAAATAGCATAAACATTTAGGAGAATCTAGAAGCTTCTAAAGGAAAGAGAGGATATAACCAGCAAGCAAAAATAGGGTTGTGATATTTTGCTATGAACTGGGTGAATGAATATCATGGACTCAGAGATCTAGGTTAGACTCATGGAACTACTAATGAAGGAACAGCTTGGGTGAAGCAAGGAAGAAAGAATGCAAAGCAAGGTCTGTTATTGGAAAGCTGGAGTGTAGTGGGGGTGAAAATTTATGTAAATACCAACTTGAAGGAGACAGAGAAGAAGAATACAGTCAAGAAAGATAACAAAAATACTGAGGTTAGGAAATAAACAAGGAAATCCTAGGGGATTTTGTTTTCAACATTTTAAGGGAAAGGTAACTAACTCCTATTTTTATCTGGTTGGTCTGAAGTTCTTATGAAAGCTATCTACCTTGTGGTGCCATTTGTTTATGGAGGAATCTTGAGAGAGCTACAGTTTCCAATGTCCAATTTAGATGGACTGCCATTTGAGGAGCTTTTGGATGTTTACATTTGAACGACATGCATCTAGATTGGACCTCTTGGAGTTTTGCAGCAATGTTAGTGGTGAGGAGTATGACATAAGGGCCCTGTGGACAAGGCAAAAGATTAGTTTTCTGATGACGTCCCTTCCAGAGAATTAAATCTCCAATTTCTAGGTTGTAGAGTGGTTTGCATAGAACTAGAGAAAAGCAGCTTCTACCTGTTGATGGTAGGTGAATATAATTAATAAATCTCTTGAAGTATTTTGGAACATATGAATTGATCAGGTTCAAATATTCAAGACGCAGGAAAAACAGAGAATCTTCATGTCAGCCAGTTATTATTTTATATTGGGACCTAAGGAATAAAACCTTACATCATAGGAGATTAAGTCCTTTCTTCGTTTTAGCATTTTTTAATTTTATTTTTCCATTCGCTCTGTTATTCCAGGTGAATGGAGATGGTTTTATTTTTTGATATCTTATGTCCCTTTAGAGCCAAGGTTTTTAATAAGTAGTGTGTGGTTTCCAAGGTTTCCAAAGAATTATCAAACGTTATAGAATAAAGAAGAAAGTCATCTACATATTGGATGAGCGTTAAATTGTAAAGGAAGATGAAATCCCCTTGGATTTGCATTTAATGTCCAGGAAAAATAACTGGGGTCTTCTGTAAATCTCTGGTACACAACTAACCAAGGACACTGTTGCTTTTCCCATGTAAAGGAGATTAGCTATTGAGAGTCAGGGTGAAGAGGCATGCTGAAAAAATCAGAGCATAAGTCAACAATGGCAAATGAGTGACATTGGAGGGTATGAAAGTGACTGTAGTATTGGGGTTTGGGGCCCAATGGAATCTGTGTTTTACAATTTTATTTATGGCTGGTAAATATTCGACTATTTGTTAACACTTCAATTAGTTTACTCACCCCAATCGTCATCCCTAGGTAAAATGAATGTTTTGCATAGGCAAAAGTTGGAAGCAAGGAGACCTTGCCAAGGAGTCCTTAAATAATAGGTTAATAGTAATAGAATAATAATAATAATAATAACCTCAGGTCTTAAAGGATATTAGGATAGTTTAGAGAGGGACATAGTAGGCTCTATATCCACCTTTTGGGACTTTGCTTTCTAAATAAGCCATGCATCTCTAGTTCCCATAACCCAAAATGAGTAAGAATATAAATGAGCATGTTCTAAATGTGGGAATTGTCAAGAGCTTGAAGAGCTATCCGAATGGCAAAGACAGCAGGGTGATCTTTCAAAGCTTTCAGAGGACAAGGATAGGAATAAAGTAAATTTCCCCCTAAGTTCTCCTTACTTTTTATATTTAAAATTGGATTGTACATTATTATAGTTATGTTTTTGTTTCAACACCACTATGATGCATCAACAAACCACTTTTGAGCCATTGATGTATTTTTATAAATTGAAGCTTTGATGTGAGATTTCAATATCAACAATGTAAACATTTAAAAAATATGAATAATAGCACATGAATGATGTGATAAAAAGATAAACTGAGATAAAGTGTATTGAGCTAATATATGCTAACCAAGACAAGAGACCTCACAGTCCTTGTGGCACATATACAACCTCTAGAGCTCTAATGATTTCTACAAATCTACAAATGTAATTTAATGAGTGGAAATATTAACCATATATTTTAGATTTATTAAATGTGAAATCAATGTTTGAGTTCCTATTTTCTTTTTACTCTGGTAGTTAAAGATTGCCTCAGGATTACTTTACAAACTGCAAGACCCCACTAGTATCCCAGACTCTATTTGTTAATCTCTATTTGTTAAACACTGCTTACTGGTCATGCTTCACAAATCACTTGTATTTCAAAGATGTAGAATTTACCAAGGTCTCTTCCTGTTTAAACATTTAGGCAGCAAAAAAGATCATGAATGTCAGTGTCTTAACCCTTAATCCAATTTGTTTTAATCTTAAAATGTTAAAGTAGAGAACAAATCTTTTATAGTTGAGATAGTAACTACGTTCATGATTAGAATTGAACACTCAATGAGTGCCTCTGCTTCAACAGAGTTGGTTTACTTTCCCTGTCTTATTGGGGGACTCTTTTGCTGACAGAGCAGTGATTTTTGTTATTTGTTTGTGGATTGATAATCATTTTTAATGATAATCTAGGTTTTATTACAATATCTAGTACTTGAAAGACATTTTTAAATAAATAAAAATCATAATAATTATTCTGAAATAGATTAACAATTAAATATCACATCAATAAAATTATTTTAATTTTATTTTTGCTTTCCCCATGGTTTTGTTTATTAAATATTTACTAATCTTTATGTCAAGAAGCATTTTATGAAAATGAGAAATAAACACACAAGAGATAAAATGGAATTTAGTAGTGGAAATACTTATTCTCCTATACCAATGTGGTTGGGCAAAACCTCACAATTTGTAATGAATCTGTTCTGGATTTGATTCGATGTATTTTATCACCTAAGAGAAAAAAATTGCATTATCAAAAACATTTTAAAACAAGCTACATTCTAGGATACCAGACTTTTTTTACGTTTTAGCTATTGTTGGCTTTCCATTAGTGAAAATAATATGTTATAAACTCAGTCTTCTATTTTTATATTTAGGTATATCAAATTGATGTGAGTGGCAAATTCTTTGCTTGATATATTTTCCCAATTAAAACCAATATGTTTTCATACGTGTTTTTAAAAGTGACAACTAAAGTGGTTTGACTATCTCCTTTCTTTCTTCTAAAAGCTGAAACATTGCATTCATATTAGCAACACTGCTTTTTGATAGTTCATCATGCAGTATCTAAACCCTTCTTTTGCGCTGTTTAACATTCACATTATTTACCCTTGTTCCATCACTGGTCTCTTGACCCCTCATCAAATACTGCTGCAGGTCAATTTTATGTTTTCCTACTATCATCTCTAATGCAGCATATACAAAGCTAAATTTTGTTCTTTCTCTTAAACCTAGATCTTTTTCTGTCTTCTCTATCTTGAGGAACCCACAATCTCCTATCTACTAATTCACCTGTCCTTTACTCCTCATAGCCATTATTGGTGATGATAATTGTGAATTGACTCTCAAAGTCTTCTAGATTGCATTTTGATTGTGCATGTCGGTGCACTGTATTTGTTAAACTCTATTTGTTAAACACTGCTTATTGGTTATGCTTTGCAAATCACTCGTATTTCAAAGACGTAGAAATGCACACACACGCATGCAGACACACACATACAGATAACATAGTATCATATCTTGCTGCTTACTATGTGCTAGAATCTATACTAACGGATTTTCAAACATTATTTCACATAATGATCACTCATAATTTCTAGTGTGAGTAAGTCCCTTATAGGTACTAAATAGCAAAGGTATAATTAGAATTTTATTCAGTTTGATTTCAAATCTTGGTCAGACTTAACTCCCTTGATGAAAATGATTCAGATATTTCCTAACTGAGGTCCTTGATACTTCCCATACTAAAATCAGTTTTCCACAGTATCATATTTTGCTAACATTATAATCTTTCTAAAAGGAAAATATAATTTCACTTCCTTACTCAAATATATCATAGACAATTCTTTATAAGAAGTATTAGACCAAACTCCATATTCCAAAGTTCATTTTGATCTATCTTTAGATAGCTATTTTTTTTCTCTTATTTGAAATCTATAGTCATCCTGGACTTCTTGTAATTTCTTGAAAACATGGAGGGCCTTTTAAAACTGCTTCTTCTGATCAATCTCTTTGCATTTCCTGAAATCGCCTTTCTCCTCTCTATAGAATAAAAGCCCCTTCTGTCTAACTTAGTCAGAAAATTCTATTTTAATCTAGTTGTACCAATGAGTTGTAACACTATAATACTTCTATCATAAATTTTAGACACATTAGGTAAATAATGCATCAGAGACCTTTCCAAAAATATATACATTGTGATTAGAAAAAATATTTTATTTTATTATTTACATGAGATAAAACACTTTTGTAACATATGACATCATACAACCTATTATTCCTTTAGCATATCAGATATACATATATTCATTCTACTATTTATTCTTGTTTTAAATTCTTCAATAGTAGACCACAATTTTGGTTTTAGAAATTCACACATTTGCAATGGCATTTGCAAAAATGTGGTCTTAAACATAGCCCTAATAAACACCTGTTACATTCATCAGCATGCAGAACCAAATTATTTTCACTCTTTGATAAGCAAATCCTTAAAGGCATGCATATATATTATTGTTAGTAAGTAAATACTTTTATTTCAAATACTAATATTTTCAAAATCACCTGAAAACACAATTTGAAAAGAATTTTGCCAATATCGTGGCCTGTTATATTTCCGTATATGTTACTTTGAAAGTACCTAAAAATATAGAGATTGTACACAAAAACATTAAAGACATGCATATATGTTGTTGTTAGTATTAAATACTTTTTATTTGAAATACTTCTGTTTACAGACTCAACTAAAAATATGATTTAGAAGAGAATTTTGCCAATATAATGGTATGTTACATTTCTGTATGTTATTTTGACAGCATCTTATATTTATATATGCGTGTATATATATGTATATTATATAGATACACAAAAACATTAAGGGCACTCTACTGACAAAATTCTTTTCTAAATCACATTTTTAGTTGTCTTTGAAAATACTAGTATTTTGAATGAAAAGAAACAATTTGATCACTGTAAAGTTTCCAAATATCTGAGGTGAAAAACTTGAAAAAAGAAATACCTCAATGCCAGCTCTCGATTATTTTATTTTCAGTATTTATACATTTATTTATTAATAACAATAACAAGCAATAGAATGTAATAACCCTTTATTCAACCTTTCTTCCACCTCCCCATCTCTCTACAACGCCTCTACTTCAAAGATAAACACTATGAACAGATTTATATAGAAATGTTTACATAGTGGTTTGACCCTGGACAAGCTTCTTAACCTTTCTGATACTCAATTTATTCATCTGTAAAATAAGGATAAGAATACAACATGAAAAATCCACAAATTTTTGATGAGAATTAAATTAGCTAATTAAAAAGCACATAAAACAAGATCAGGCATATAGTTAAGTGTAATCATCAAAGCTGTCTTTGGCAACACGACTAATAGAATGGTAGTCTACCCACATTAATATAACTTAGTTGTTTCTTTGAGGAAATTTATACCAAAGACATATAAGAGCATGAACCAATAAATAACTTCGCTATTTACTGGAATTATAAGAGGTCAGTTTATCAGATGATAACAATTGGCTCGTTTATCAAACAGCAGTGTGCTCATCAACATTCACTTCAAGATCCTTGCTTCAGTCTGTCCAATCCTAATAGCATGAATAATGCCAAATCAAATATCATCAAATGCCAAATGCCAAATCTAAAGCAATTCCCCATCATGAGAAATCCACCTTAAATTACTTTACCCAGACCACAGAGTCCGCATCTTATCCCGCCTTTGACTTTCCCTTCTGAGATGATGCTAAGAATGAGACAGATGGTTTTTCCCTTATTGTAGTGAATTTAGTTTCGTTCAATTAAAAGTTTCTCAGGCCGGGCGTGGTGGGTCACGCCTGTAATCCCAGCACTTTGGGAGGCCGAGGTGGGCTAATTGCCTGAGGTCAGGAGTTCGAGACCAGCCTGGCCAACATGGCGAAACCCCGTCTCTACTAAAAATACAAAAATTAGCCAGCGTGGTGGTGTGCACATGTAATCCCTGCTACCCAGGAGGCTGAGGCAGGAGAATCACTGCAACCCGGGAGGCAGAGGCTGCAGAGAGCCGAGACTGTGCCACTGCACTCCAGCCTGGGTGACAGAGCAAGACTCCATCTCAAAAAAGCAAAACAAAACAAAACAAAACAAAAAAACAGTTTCTCAGGTGTTATTTTGGGAAATCAAGAGTACCATATAAGTAATTATGTTTCATTCAATCAATTGATTAAAGTACAAAAATTCATCTCATATATTTCTTCTTAAAATTTCTACTGAAAAATTAAAAAGTTCAACTTTTAATAATTTTCCTAATAAACTGTGTTAAAATTTTCCAACTGAATGATTCAACTGCCACTTTTTAATTAATTATAATTAATAATTAACGTATATTCTCACTGATTGTTTTCTTCCCACTTTGAATATTTTCCTCCTTCTGATTATTTTAAGGAATTAAATCTATATTTATTTCCTTCTGAAGTGAAAAAAATCTTCCCATAATCCTGATTAGATATTGTTAATTTAAAAAAAATCATAATATATTGTCTCTGACATCAAGAGTTTTATAATACGAAACCATCTTTTCTTTCTCTCTTTATGTTTTTTCTTTTGAAATTACATAACATTTTAAGACAAATTTATTTGCTTATTTTTTATTAAATAAGTTTTAAGATTGATTTTTCCTTGGATGCACTATGACTTATAAATCTTTAGATGTAAGTAAGGAACAAATTTCAAATTGCAGCAGTCAGTATATTTATATAGTTTATTTTAATTGAAAATACTCTTTATATTTCCCTTAGGCTTAATTAGGAAAAACATCAAGAAGTTTAGTAACTTTAATTAGCCAGTTTTTCAGAATTTTTTTTCATAATTAAACAGTTCTGTAGCTACCACTCTCATCACAAGTATAATGAGGAAATAAATTACCTTTTAGAAATTGACCAAATTTAATAAGTAAATTCAATGAAGACTAGATTTATCATGATTCCAATAGTCAAAGGGTATGACCAGCTCATCATTTCAGATTTATGGTATTCAGTGCTTCCCTAAATTGAACATAAGCTACTTCAACTGTAATATAATAATGCATTTCTATTCTATAAATTTGAGTCTCAATTGAAATTTAGTAAAATCTCTTGACTTAGTTAATATATTAAAAGCTGAGTAATTTTTTTTTTTTTTTTTTGAGACGGAGTCTCCCTCTGTCACCCAGGCTGGAGTGCAGTGGCGCAGTCTCGGCTCACTGCAAGCTCCGCCTCCCGGGTTCATGCCATTCTCCTGCCTCAGCCTCCCGAGTAGCTGGGACTACAGGCACCCGCCACCATGCCCAGCTAGTTTTTTGTATTTTTAGTAGAGACGGGGTTTCACCGTGTTAGCCAGGATGGTCTCGATCTCCTGACCTCGTGATTCGCCAGCCTCGGCCTCCCAAAGTGCTGGGATTACAGGAGTGAGCCACCGCGCCCAGCCAAAGCTGAGTAATGCTTAATTCAAATAATATCCTGTCATGTTTCCAGAAACTTTTTGTTATTTTTGAATGACAAAACATGAATCTAAAATGAAGTGGGAATTAGTAATTAACTACTATTCATAATTTCAGAAAAGAAAAATAGTGAGATATAATCAAATTAAGAGATTCAATGACCTCATTACCAATTCATTTATTTTACTATTCTTCCTCTTTTGTATGAAAAGATCTAACTAAAATATATTATAAAAAGCATTCTTCCAAATTCCTGTTAACATTAAAAAAAAAGAAGAGAAGAAAAAAGTGAATTCATAGATTCACTATGGAATTGAAAAATTGAGTGGTTTGTAAGTTTTAAGCAGCTAAAGGAGCTCAAATAGAATCAGCAGAAGAGTTTCTCTAGCTATGTCTCTCAGGTCTTGTTCCATCTGGATCTGATGTGGAATGTAAGAGTTATCGTCTGGTGTCTATGCAACTATTATTAACAATAAGTGAAGGACTTTGTTTTATATTTCTTGAGTTTATACTACCTTGCTTATAATTTAAATGTTCAATACATTTCTCATAAATGAATGAACTGGTTCACTTTCTATAAGTTAGGGAGATAAAGAGATAGATATACATGAAAATTAAAGGTGATCTGAATAAAATTAAAATGAAATACATAGGAACCTGGGAATTACCAAAAATAACTATTATTAAAAGAGATTTTAAATCACATCTTAATAATTTATTGCACATATCTATCTTAGCATAAATGGAATACATTATTTATGGATTTCTTTAGATCAGTAGAACTCTTCAAAATAAGAAGATGGATATAAAGGTAGACTTTAGTGTATTTTGATTCAAATTTCAATAATGGAAATGAGTTATAAGTTTTACTATATTCTGTTGATTAAGTGTACTGTAAAAGTCTCCACCATCCATTACATTTTATTCCCTAACTGCCTTAATGTAGCAATTAGAAGTCGATTAGAAATGTCCAAGAACAATAATACTTAAAGATCAATTAGGAACCCATGCTGCTAGAAAGATTAAATATTTACTAAAATAACAAGAGCCTTGAAACTAATGGTTCCAACTTCATTACTTGAATACATTTTTGAACTGCTATTTTCTGCCTCACTTCACTGTAATTGCAAAATGTAATAGTAGCAGTAAATGTTTCAGACTAAAGTACATAAAAGGCGTAAAGCTTTTAGGTCATAATGACACTTGTTTAGATATAGTACACAGAATCACAAGCAGTTTTTGTTACAAGTATATAAAGGTCTAATTGAAAAGAAAACTTTGTAATTATATTATTTAAGACTAATTATATTTAATTCAATTGATGGAAAATAAAGCTACTACGTTTATTTCTTATGAAGAAAACAAAATTAAAATGTGTTGGACTACTTATTATGCCTCGGTAATTTACATGGTAACAATAAAGTCAGAGTTATATGAAAATTAAGTTAAACATTTCTAAGAAAGTTGTTTCTAACTTTCTCTCCCATAAATGTTGCTGCCATTAAAAAGTTTTAACTATTAAATTTGTATATATTTTGATGATTTACTGCATAGATTATAAGGAAGCATTGAGGTATTTTTAACAGTGGCTTATAGACATGATATAGTTATACTTCTGAGGGTAAGTTTTGTTCACATACAAGCAGAACTATTCCGTCAACATTCTCAGAATAAGGAAAAAATCAGCATGCATGTAGTCACACGCAATAGCCACCTAAGTGACACGACTTACGTCTGGGTTACTGGGATACCAAGGTGAAAACCTTAAAAAAAATGAAAAGAGAGAGGGGGAGGGAGGGAGGGAAGAAAGGAAGGAAGGAAGGAAGGAAATAGAAATCCAATACTGAATAGATGGAAGGAGGGAAGGAAGGAAGAAAGGAAAGAATGAAGGAAGGAAAGGAAGGATATAGAAATCCAATACTGAATAGATGGAAGGAAGGAAGGAAGGAAGGAAAGAAGGAAGGAAGGAAGGAAGGAGGGAGGGAGGGAGGGAGGGTGGGAGGGGAGGAGGGAGGAAGAAAGGAAGAATAGACATAGAAATCCAACATTGAATAGATATTTGGTAAGGGCCATGTCCTAGAAGGAAAATATACAATCATTTGCTATATGAGGCCTCCCAGGAATACTCAAAAAGAATTCTAGTAAAGTGGGAATGATGCTTATCTTTCAGAGAGGAAAAAAAGAACAAAGGTCATTTGAATAATGAACCTTAACACAGAGAATTGTCCCATAGATACTGTACATTTGAAAAGAGAGAACATTATAATTATTGTTAATAACAATATGATGTATATCAAGTGTTTTACAGAATGTGGGACATGATTTTCATGTCCCACCAAATGAGCCCAAAAAAAAGGTTTATTTAAAATAAAACAAATATGTTTAGTTGGAATAATCTAACATTGGTACATATACATATCAAATTTTCCATTTTAAAAATATTAAATGTAACATTTTTATAGTAAAATAGATTAAAAGTAATATGCACTCAGAAAATTATTTTTTGGATTATTTGTTCGATGATAAAGATGAAAATAATACTCCAGGTCACATTTTTCTATTAATCAAACAAAAGTATGAGAAATAAGATATTTTCATTAATTAATCCTTGCACCTTTCTCAACATATATTTATGCTATGTAAATTTCAATATGTATTTAAATCCTACATTTCTCACAAAACATTAGTAATTTGTAATTATATACTGACGCATGCATCAGAAAAGCCTAGTCTGAAATGAATACATTCAAATCTTTATCTGACTACTTCATGTATTTCCAAAATGCATGATATTTAATCTCCAGAAAAATCATCCAGATGATATTTGACATAAGTTGCAGATATCCCAATACTTACAAGATGATGACTCATTAAAATCTATGTCATTAACTAATAACCAGTACTCAGGTAAGTGAAAGCCATTTTGAAGACAAAAATTAATTAATATGTTTATCAGTCCTGGTTATCCAGATAAATGAGACTAATGGGATAAATATAGATACTTAGAAGGAGATATTTGTTACGGGCATTGGCTCATGCAATTGTAGTAGATAGGAAGGCCTACTATCTGCCTTCTGCAAGACTGGAAACCAGCAAAGATTGAGTTGCAATTTCTTTCAAGTACAAAGGAGGAGCTGGATGCCCAAGTGTGCAGAAGATTTATGTCCCAGCTCTAACAACAACAACAAAAAAAGGTAAATTTGCCCTTCCGATACTCTTTAGTTCTATTCAGGTACTCAATGGATTGGCTAATGTCCACTCAAATTGTTGAGGATGATCTCCTTTACTCAGTCTACTGATTTGAATTTCCTTTGGAAAGACCCTCATGCATACATCTAGAAATAATGTTTTAGCAACTATCTGGGCATCCCTTAACCTAGCCAAGTTGACACATAAAGTTAACCATCACAGTACTCTTTCACACACCATATACAAGTTAATTTAAGCTAAATTAATAGTTAAAATTGGAAACAAAAACTATTAAAATAGTAAAAGTATGTATACTTTTTAAAATATCTCAAGAAAGGAAATTTTCTTAAGAAAATTAACCAGAAGGTGTAAACAAACAAATAATACAGATAATACATATGAAATATGTTAATTTCTATTTACAAAAGATGTATATAGAAATAAATGAAAATAAAAATATATAACCCACGAAAAATATTTTCCTATAATGGCTTCCCTCATCTATCCATTTTCTCAAAGGCAAAAATCCGGAGTCCTCCTATATTCTATTTGTTCTCACTACCCACATCCAGATGATTACCAATTGTATTAAATCTTTCCACATCTGCAGAATCATGATAGAATTAAACCATTTCTGACATCTACAACTCACTCACTCCAACAGCCTCCAGTGTGAGTTCACTTTTTCCATTCACTCTTGGAACTCCTATCTGTTGTTCAGCAGCAACTGCCAGAATGATCTTGTTAAAATGCAAATCAGAGAGAGATAGAAAGAGATTTAATTTGGGCAGAAAATATATAACTATATTAAACACAGTACAGGGAAAGTTTTAACTGAAGGGACATCTGTGTTTGAACAGTATGAGCGAGGCTTTATAATAAATACTTTGAACCTAAAGATAAAAATTTGTTGCTGCATCTTGAGTTCTCGGATAGGCTTGATGCTTTTTTTTTTTTTTTCCTTCTCAAGCATCTGGGAATTAAACCACTCTTGGCAAGGGATGTGAATAAGTAGACAAGAGGAGATTTTAAAATTATTTTATCCCGCTGTTCTTCCTAAACAGTGAAATAATTTACATTTCTATAATAAAATTGTGTTTTAGACTTGTTATTCCCATCATAGCAGTTAGCTATATTGGAAATATGATAAACAATGATTGAATTAATGAACTTTTTTGTGGTTTGTATGCTGAATTTTTAGTCTTTAAGAACTTTAACAGATTGTAAAATAAATTCTTTTTTTTTTCTTTTTTCTTTTTAAGTCGGAGTTTTGCTCTGTCGCCCAGGCTGCAGTGCAGTGACACGATCTCAGCTCACTGCAAATTCTGCCTGCTGGGTTTTAGCAATTCTCCTGCCTCAGCCTTCTGAGTTGCTGAGATTACAGGTGCGAGCCACCACTCACAGCTAATTTTTGTATTTTTAGGAGAGACAGGGTTTTGCCATGTTGGCCAGCCTGAGTCGAACTCCTGACCTCAGTAATCCACCTGCCTTGGCCCTCCCAAAGTGCCGGGATTACAGGTGTGAGCCACCGTGCCCAGCCAGATTGCAAAATAAAGTCTTAATATCAGCTTTTCCCTGACTTCTTTATTGAGTTCTATCTACCTCAGCAAATAACACCACCATACATCGAGTTACTCAGGTCAAAAATCTGAGAGTAGTTCTTATTTTCTTCTCATAACACATATGTTAGCTAATCTTTCAAACTGCGAACATTACTTACCAACTATACAGCTAACACCCTGCTCACAATACTTTTGAACTCTAGCAAATCTCCCATACGTCAATGTACATCTATTTTCTTACCCCACACTTATTTAATTCATAGCGATTATCATTATTTAAATTATAAAATATCATATGAAATAAATTCTTAGATATCATGCTATATTAGACTATATAATACCACATTATGTTAATTACTTATTTTATTCTTTCGTGATTCCCCCTCCTCATCAAAATGAGTATGGATATTCCTTGTGAAGTTCTATTGAATTCTAGAACAGTGCCTAGCACCAAGGTAGGCTCTTAAATTTATGATGAATAATATATCACTAGGAAATTACAAATTAGAACAATAATGAGATACTATTATGCACCTATTAAAATTACTAATTCAAAACACTGACAATAACAATTGTAGCTGAGGATAGGAGGCAAAAGGAATTCTCATTCATTGCTGGTAGTACTGCATAATAGTACAGCTGCTTTAGAAGACAATTAGGCAGTTTCTTCCAAGATTAACCATGCTCTTGGATCCAGCAATTGTGCTTCTTGGGATTTATGTTGGGAATGCCAATATGGTACAGCCCCTTTAAAAGATAGTTTGGCAGTTTCTTCCAAGACTGAACTGCTCAGGACTAAATGAAATTTATCTAAATTATCTTTACTTCATATGATATTACAAAATCTATTAAATTCTCTCTCTATATATATATGATAGGTATATATATATTAAATATATAGTTTTATATATCTAATAGATATACATATGTAGATCACATGTATAAGATGGACATAGATATGTGAATCATATCTATTATATATATATGCTAACCATAAATATATATTACATGCATAATTATATAATATATAATGAGCATAAATGTCTACATTATATGTATACACATATATAGAGACAAAGAGAGTGACTCTGTGTCAATGATTAATTAAACTTGTTGATGCCATAGAAACAGATAATTAGATGATTTTCTTAAAGTATATAACCGAATGAAAATATAATTGTCTAATACACTAAGTTCACATGTGTCAGATCTAAATTATCTGACCAGAATTTATCCTGAAGATGTGAATTTAAAATATTCAGTGGAACTGAATATTCACATATACACAGAATGATATCCAGGTTGAGAATTACTTTAACTCAATGCTAATTTATATATGTTTTGAGGATCTGTTAATCCACCATGTGCTTTTGCTTAATTTTAAGTGAATGTTATTTTTATTCACATTAGAGTACCATAGAATATCTCAACATTTTCAGGACCCGACTCCTGGATTATTTAGGACTCATATTTAAGAGAGACTATCATTTTGACATAGAGGCACAGACTTGAATTAAGTTGTCTGCCTAAATAAAATAAGTTTTTATTAATGTGAACAAATTTACAATACTAATTTACGTGTGTTTTGACTGAGTTACCTCTTGATTATGTGAATTGTTCTATATTGCTATCATTATTAACTTTTATTCAGTGTTAGAGCTGGCAGTGGCAAGTTCCTTGGGTCGTAAAACACATTGTTATGTTTTATGGAATTAATTAGCCATTTAAGCTTGGTAAGT
This sequence comes from Homo sapiens, assembly GCF_000001405.40. NCBI lineage: Eukaryota > Metazoa > Chordata > Mammalia > Primates > Hominidae > Homo > Homo sapiens. Next base: position 188,442,343 of record NC_000001.11, on the reverse strand, counting down.
GTTTGAAAAGCTTATAATTATGGAAGGTTACTCATATTGTTTCCATCCTAGTGTAAAATATTACAAAGCGAGTGATAAAGGGTATTCACTTTTTGGTCATTGTAGATCAATAAAATTTAGAGTGAGTGGAAAAAAAGAGAATTATGTTTGCATAAGACATTCCAATATTAATCATTTTAATATAGTCATCCTAAGCTAAAGCAGAAAGACTAACTTTGTAATTTACAAAGGAAACCAAGTTTCTAAAGTTAAACTTACAGTAAGCCAAAAGGAAGTTGAGACAGCAAGAAAAGCAATATTTTGAGACATTAAATAAAATGTTCCTATTTAAATGTGGATATAAAAAATCATGCTATTCAACGTCAGAGCATATTTGGAAGTCTTTCTCAGTCACAGTGTCCTCTGATATAGGTTCTAAGACATTTCTAAGTTAATTAGCATTATATTTTTCTGTCAGAGAAAAAAGACAACTTAGCAGTAAATGTATAATAAAAAATTAACATAATAGGAATAATAGCGGTTACATTTTTTATTTTTGCTATCTTTCAGTGCAAGGGACTATACAACATAAATTATCTAATTTAATTCTTTCAACAATTTTATGAAGTTCTTCTATAATAAGCTACTGTATGTATTGGAAAAATTACATTTGAAAACCTTAAATCTCTTACCCCAAGAAATGTTTTTAATATACAGTAATACCAAAATTTGAACTCAAGTTTAGGAAGGATGAGGATATTAAGTCATATAGTTTTATGCTCTGGAGATATGGTCCGTAAATTATGGTTTAGTGTCTGGTGACCTATTTTTGGAAATATTTATGGCAAAACAGCCATAGCTTTAAAATTTGCATAGGAAAACTTTGTTCTTTGGATGACTATTGAGTTATGTATGCATGTGGTGAATTCTGCAAGCCTCAGTACAAAACAATTACTAGGTATCTGGGAGTTCAATAGAGAGTCCACAAGTTACATTATATTGAGAAACAGAAGAATACACAAGCCAGAGAGAAGAAACCAACCTGAATATTCCAGACAGTTTCTTGAAGTTGGCCAAAGAGTTTCCTTCATAGTAGCCCTGTCCTAGCCCTAGAATAATGGCTATATAGCATCTTACTAACAAAACTTAAATATAAGCTGGAATATCAAATTCATTTGCCAGTAAATTGCCTGCCTTCAAAACAAAATTTAACACTATTTAATGAAAGACAACAAAATAACAATCTTCAACAGCATAGTATCTATAATGACCAACATAAAATTTTTAAGGAAAGAAAAAATATAAATACATATATTAGACATGTGACTAAGCAGGAATATGTCTATCATAAGCGGGAGAATATAACAGTGAATAAAAATAAATCCAGACTTGACAGAGATCTCACCATTATCAGAAATGAAAACAGCATTTACAAATATGCTCAAAGATATAATGGAAAATATTAGAATGGACAAATTATGGCCTACACGCTGGTTAATTATTTTTATAAAATTTTACTGGAAAATAGCTATCATATACAAATTGTTTAGTGCTGCATTTGCCAAAAACCAGCAGGCTTGAGTATAGTAGTTGTGATAGAGACCATATGATCTCCAACCCTAAAATATTCACTTTATGGCCCTTTAAGCAATAGTTACTTGACTCCTTGAAAAAGTGAGTACAAATGAATAAGCAGAAAGGGGATTTCAGTATAGAAATGAACATGTAAGAATAAAGAGCATGAGAAACAGCAAAGAAGCCATAATTAACAGCCTGTTTTACTTCATTTTAAGTTTCTTTAAACAGAAACAATAAAATTGTATTACAGTATGGATAATATATAAAAAAGTGAAATAAAGGGCAACAATAATATAGATAACAAGTAGAAATTAAATGGAAATATAGTTTTGTAAAACTTTTATAGGTGAAATAGTATAAAATACAGCTACCTAGAATTCTATGATTTAAAAAAGTGTGTATTGTAAAGCCTAAAAATCCTAAAATCTTTTTAAAATTAATTATACTGAAAAGCAAATAGAGAGAAATTGAATACTAAAATACAAAAGGTGAATGAAACACAAGAAAGCTAGAAAGAATAAACAAAGGAAAAAAACAGGACAAATATAAACACCTATAGCAGAGTTAAATCTAAACATAGCTTAATTCTTCTCTTAGGTGTGGCATTCTTTATGTTTATTCTGCTTCATATGTGACCTAATTTATATGCTCTATTTTGGGAATTTTGTCCTTGTTATCTCTTCAGTGATGGATTCTGTCCTATTCTACATAGTTTCTTCTGCAAAAGTAATTATACTTCGGTTCTTTCATTTTGTTTTATATATTTCATGTAATCTCCTATATACTTCCCATAAATTTGCCTCTCTATTCTTCAGTCTGAATATTTTAAATATATTTTTTCATTTTATAATCTCCATTTTATCTGCTGTTAAACCTATTGCAGATTTTAAAAATATTAGTTTTTTTAAGAATTCCCATTTCTTTCTCCTTTATAATATCTGCCAATATTTTCTTTGTTGATTCTTAACTGCTTGGATTTATTTGTCATAGTTATTTTAAAGTCCATGTCTGAAAATTACTGTTAAAAATACTTTGATTTTTTTAAACTTTTGTGTTTTAAAAATGGTGCTTTTTTTTAACTAAATGATGAATCTTGTCTATAAAAATATAATAGAAAGAATTAGAGGCTGTGGTTGTCATCTTTCTTCAGAGAAAATTTATGGTTCCTTGGGGTAGGCAGCTACCCCAACAGAGGTAGGTCCCCTGTTGGGGACCAAGATGATGTGAAGCCTGGCTTTAGCCCTTGGGAGTCTATGATCTATTATGCTTCATCTGTCATCCCAGTATGGACCCCTTAGAGTCCCAATCAATAACTTGGAAAATTTACAAGTCTTCATTTAAAGCGTGCTTTCAAAGTCTCATGAGACTGCAGAAATCTTTGCTCAGCTTCTCAGTCTATTGCTACCGCTCTCAGTTTTTCATTCAGCAATCACCTCAAAAGGAAAAGAGGTCCCAAAATCCCTGATAGCCACTCTGCACTTTCCTCCAATACAAGTTTACAGCCCCTGAAATTTACATTCTCTTTGTAGCTTTCCTTCATACATAAGATATTTACATTTTGTCAAGATTTTAAAATCAGTCTCAGAGGAAGAATTGGTCTGAAAGTAGTCAAACGCTGCCAGAAACAAAATGTCACCAAAGATAAGATGAATAGCATGACACTTTTAGGAATACCTTTCTTTTGGTCTTTCCTCAGCTTATTGAGGTTTCTTAATGATTACAAGATTTTTGTTTTTGTGTATTAGGACTTTTGATTTGAAAACTGATGAAGTATTCTTTAAAAAAGGAAAAAAATGACTTTCGGATCGAAAGGTTAGAATAGGTGTTTAGAGTATATTTGCAAAGAGTCTAATAGAATAGACCACCTAATAATGCAAATATATATTCGCAGAAAATAACATAATGTAACAAGGCTAAACTTGAATTGAAGGACATTTTCTCCAGAATTTGAAGAAAAAAGTCATAGAAAATCAATAATTATAACATTAGCATTCATTCAATATACAGTGATTCATAACTAATTCATTTCACCACCTCATCTATATTTCACTGACGTGAACAAATAGAAATATATGGCTTGTAATAAATAAATTATGGATATGCTTTATGTTTAATATATGTAACCTTGATTTAATGTAATTTCTTGAAGATCCAATAATTCTAACTTGCATGATTTATAAACTTTTTAAAACTTTTTGTGGTCAAAAGATAATTTTGATTACTCTCAAATGAGTTTTTCTCAATAGAATTGAGAGACTATAAATCTATGATTGAATTTTGTGAAGTTTCCTAGTCAGGGTAGTTGATGATAATGTTTTCTTCCAGATGAAACATATTCCTTATTGCTCCCTTCACAGCATAATAGCTACTTCTTGACTATGTTTCCTTCCAAACAACTAAATAAATAAAGCTACCTACCTATAAAAACACTAATAGTTTAGTGTAGACTTGTAGAATAAAACCAACATATTTTGTAGTACATAGTTTCTTGTTGTGCTATTTTGTTCAGGTAAATAAAGAATAATGAGAGAAGAAGAGGGGCAAATCAGAGTGAAAGAGATAGAAAAGAGAGTAACAAATGGTGTCATAGTGAAAACTGAGACAGAGATAACAAGGCTTCTGAAGGAGAAAGTGGAGATATATTTAGTTCATTAAAGGTTCAATCTCAATTTGGTTATGTTTTGAAGTGGTGTATTTAGTCTTTTGAAGTTTTATATGCAATTAATTTATTTTTGTTATGCTATCATTTCTCTTTAATGGTAGCATGGGTTTATGCTTTTGATCCTGGTAAAAAGAGAAAGTGCTGAGATTCTAGGATGCTTTCAAGAAAATTGACGGGAGGAATAAATAATAAGATATAAATATTATCTGGCTAATAACTTGCTTGGATTAAGAAAAAAATCCTTAAAGATAGACAAAGTAAGGTCATATGCAATCCATGATTAACCAAGATATTTTCAGAAAAATGTAAATTACTTGAAACTGTTATGAACAAGTCTTGCAAGCTACTGTCTCTATAGCCGAAGTTGTATATTTATTAGCAAGTAACAAAACAAAAAATAGAATAGTATAGTTTTTTAAATAGTCTATTCCCTTTCATTGATTTATACGATTATTAATTTGTTTAAATAATAGAGACAATCACAAACACACATACACATGGGACAGCTCCTAGGGATGCACTTTATTCTTACGATGAATTTTTAATATCAATAATGTTACCTTTAGAAACTGAGGTAAATAGGATTTCGGTGTGAGGCTTTGTGGAGCTATGCTGTGTTCACTGTTTGCTGTAGATGTAGGTGTCAGAAGCTAAAATTTCTGTGGTGTTCTTGTCTCCCTCATTGTCTTGGGTTTCCCCAGGGACTTATTATTATTTTTTAAAAGGTATGAGTCCTGTAGTTCTTTTCAGCTGAGTTAAGTTACAATACAGAAGCCTATCATTAATGTGGCAAAAAGTTAGGGGTGGAAGAAATGCCCTATCATTAGTTTGGGTATAAGGCTTTTAGCAAAACTGTGCCCTGGGCTGTGACTTTGACAAGTGCTTCTGGGATTTTTTCCTCCCCCTTAATTAATACAGGAAGGCTAGTAGGGCAAGAGATGGATGTTTCCCGTTCCCCATGTTGGTTAGGCTCTGATAAATCCCCCTATGGTTAGGCTCTAGTGAAATCGTTTTCCTTGGGAGCATACCTTTGTGAAGGAGAGCAGAATTCTCTGAGCATATTTCAAAGTGTTTCTTTTTCTCCTTTCTGCGTTGGAAACAGGAGAGATTTTTAATACCATTTTCACCATACAAACCTACTGGGGTTCACGGAGGGAAAAAGTGTGGCAGTTCTCCTAAGACTGGTCTTTCAGGAGTTTTTATATCTCAAGCTAATCCATACTAGTTTCCAACAATTAGTCAGTTACTCTCTATTATAAATATCCGATTCTGGCTGCAGTGGCTGTTTCTGCTCAAGATAAGCTGTGATGCTCTGCATCTGCCTGTTCCGGTTTTTGAGGCCTTTGACTTTAAATTTCTGATGCACGGCAGAGCGCGGTGGCTCATGCCTGTAATCCCAGCACTTTGGGAGGCCGAGGCTGGCGGATCACGAGGTCAGGAGATCAAGACCATCCTGGCTAACATGGTGAAACCCTGTCTCTACTAAAAATACAAAAAATTAGGCGGGCATGGTGGCGGGCGCTTGTAGTCCCAGCTACTCGGGAGGCTGAGGCAGGAGAATGGCGTGAACCCGGGAGGCGGAGCTTGCAGTGAGCTGAGAGTGCGCCACTGCACTCCAGCCTGGGCGACAGAGCGAGACTCCGTCTCAAAAAAAAAAAAAAAGAAGTGCACTGTTGGCTTTCAGTTTTTCAGCTTTGTTCTTATAAGAATGGGAGTAACAACTTCCAGATTCTTTGTATCTGGACTGGGAAACTAGAAGTCTAACATTCACTTGTCTGGCCAAGGAAAGGTTAGTATAAGGAGTATGTGTCACTTTTGGCCTGATGTTTTAAGAGCCAACGCACAATTGACAAGTTTTAAGAATGTCAATATCACCCTCATTTATATTATAATTATTTTCAGAAAATTTCATAAGAATTTAAATCTAACATGAAATAAAATCAAGATAACATATCCAAAAATATGTGATGTTTATTAAAGTTTTATCTAATTTTAGTAAGTAGTAGATTTTATTCCAAAGCAAACATACATGATGGTATGTTATTTAGATTTTTTGAAGATAAGCGACATTTAAAATTGCCTTTGTATTTTAATTTCACTGGAAAAGAAAGCATAGAAATAATTAAAATTATACTTTCATGACATTTGTAAAATGGTTAAAAATATGTGTAAACCAGTTTCTGTTACAAGTTTAAATTTTTGGAAACCAAAATGCACTTTTTAAAGGCAAAAAAAATTATACAAAGAGGAGAAAGTATTATAACTTTTACAAAATACTCAAAACATGACATCTTTTTTGATTTCTTATATGCTTATTCTATGTATTTATCAAATGGCATTATGCATTAGGTGTCAACTAAAAGCTTTTCAATTTTCTTGTTATATTTTTCTGTTTTCGTTTATAAAGTAATTATGCCAACACTAGGGGAATGTAATCATAACATAGTGTTTTTTGAAAACAAATTAGTATTTATAGATTCTAAGTTATTTTCCTTTTAACATTGAAACAAAGTTGTATTTCTATTACATTTGGAAAATTCTAAATATAATGCTTTTCTAAGTTTTAGTATTTACTGAATACCATCTCTCACATTTATCCTTTATTTTTAAATGTATTTTATTTTAAATTTTCTTTATTTTTAATTTTTATGGGTACATAAGTACGTGTATATATTTATGGGGTACATGTTATATTAACATAATACTTTTGAATATACTTGTGAGACTAATACATATTATGAAATCAGCTCATTTCTGTTTTCTACATCTTGTCTCTTAATATTGATTACTTCTACAAATTTTAATATTACAAACTACATCATGTCCAGTCATGAAACCAGTTACGTAATCTTGCAACTTATATAAAAATAAATCACTGTCATACAACTTACAAAAACATATGCAGTGATATGCTTCATTTGTAGGTATTTTGCCTGCATTACATTAGACACATGGACAAAAAAAAAAAACAAGTCTCCTGGAAAAAAAAAATACGTCAAAGTTTTCCAGTTAGCATTCTCTTTGTAGACATTGTAACAAAATAAAATGAGAATAAGATAAAAAATTAGAGATTCTTGTTATAATGCTTTTCTGAATATTTAATTGTGTTCATTTGATCAGATTAACGTTCTAGCTCAAGGGTCCCCAACCCCTGGGCCACAGACCACTATAAGTCCTTGATCTTTTAGGAACCATGCCAGACAGCAGGATGTGAGTGGCTGGAGCCAGCATTACTGCCTGAGCTCTGCCTCCTGTCAAATCAGTGGCAGCATTAGATTCTCATAGGAGCATGAATTCTACTGTGAACTGTGCATGCAGGGGATCTAGGATGCCCACTCCTTATAAGAATCTAATGCTTGATGATCTGAGGTGGAACAGTTTCATCTGAAACCAACCCCTGCTCGCTGCTGTCCCTGGAGAAATTCTCTTCCACAAAACTGGTCCCTGGTGCCAAAAGGTTGGGGATTGCCTCTATAGTCTTCTGTTTATGCTATAGCACAGTGATAATACTACCTTATTACCTAGTTTGCTAAGCTATAAGGATCAAATAAAATATATATTTGAGGCTTAATTGGCTAAATAGGGGAACTGATTGGGTTTGTGAGGTACAGCCTTTGTATACAGCTCCTAACTTTACCCACAGTGAATGTATTAATATTATGACATATTTAGATAACATGTGGAAACACAGAAAATTTTAGTTATAAAAAATTATAGACACATTACCTTAATCATCTATTGTGTAATTCTTTTCATTCTGAGCCTCTGTTTTCTTTCGGTACAAAACCAACTTTGAATAAACTACAAAAATCTTTATTTCCTACTATTAATCTTGGTGGAATTTTGTGAAATATAATTTTGGTGGAATATCTAAATTCCAGTGGACACTGAAATAAAGCTATCTCTGTCCAATTTAATGTTTAGAAGACCGTTTCTTCAAAAAGCAGTCCCATTTGCTATCCTAGAAATTCTGTGTGAGATTTATACAATAATCTTTACTCCTAGCACATTGAACCAAAAAAAAAAGATTAGAACTAAAATTTCAATTTAAATTTATTCTAAGCCCATCTGTAACTTTTAGATTGTTGCTTTTTGGGAGTATTGATGCAGAAAATCACATTATTTAAAGGAAATGTCTTAATATGTTTTAATTGGAAATTTCAAAATCATATAATTTATCAGTAGATACTGGATTGGAAGCTTATCTCTGTACTCTGGAAGTTACACATTTTTTTCAAATTTTCTTTAAGTTAGGGCATTCATTTAACTAGCTGATATAACATATAGTAAAATTTCTGGCTACAATATATTCACAAGTATTCTGAGAAGAATAGCTGATGGACTGATACATTTCAAAATTGTATACTAGAGCTAGTAGAAAACGAATCTATAAAATATATAAATCTTTAGTCAGACTCTACAAGTTCAAAACCACTTGAAGCATTTCTACATCTTGCATGATGTTTAAATACCTATGTGATGACATATTGAGGTTAGCATTCTCAGTGAAGCAGTTCTGTGTATCTGAAAGCACTTGTATTGATTTTATCTCTAGATAGCAGCTATGTGACAATTGATGGATCGTAGGGACCACAGTTCATTAACTCTATATGCCTATCTCTTGTCAGTGGACTTTTAGTATCCTTATTTTCCATTTGCACATTGGATATATACAGAAAAATTGCACTTTCTTTTGATCAATATATCTTATGCTAAAAATTCAATGATATTAATTACCCATAGTCTTAAATAATATGTATGGAAATCTATTGATGTGTTTATTACTTTATTTTAGCCAATAACATAAAAATATGTTGATTCCATATAAGAGACAAATTCATTATTCTTTTCCTCCTGAATCCTTACATCTTAATAAATCATCCTGTGTATTGCTCTAGCTATACATGAGTGTATTTTTGGTTGATAAGCAATTAACAAGTCTCAGAAGGCTAAACTTGCCTCCTCACCAATTCTCTTATTATGTCCGTTGAATATATAACAAAGGGAAATCTTTTTATGATAATATTATTTAGAAATTAAATCTATCTAAAGAGCTTAAATTATATGTTAGAATCATATCATTTTGGGAGATTTTGAAACTGTTAAGGGTCAGTGAGAATGGATAGAGTCCGTTGTTTACGTGATAGTCACATCTAGATGGCTTTCTTTATATTAAACACTTGATACAATGAAATTCGTAGGCTCTAGTGAACTGGTAGTCAAAAGGTACATGATGTAAAGATCTAGAATGATATTTTATCATGTTATTTACCAGCTGAATTCATTAAATTTTCTGAGAGTCACTTTTGTCCTCTGTAAAATAAGAATAATACCTACTCAGTTGTGAGAGATTAAATACAGTCTGATAACACAAAGAATAGATTCTGAATAAATAGAGTGTAACATTTTATATTATGGCTTAACATGAAATTAATTTGGGCAATCATTATAAATAACAGATGTGTAAATAAGATCAAGTAGGAGAAAAAAATCTTGGCTTCTGGTCACAGTGACACAGTGTGATCTTTATAAAGAATGTGATGGCAAGAAATGTGACGGCAGCACACACTTTTTCTCAGTTGAATGCTTGGCTAGATACCAGAAAGACTTTAAATTATGTAACATAAAACTCATTTTTAAAAATTAAGGATGCTGTTTTTTTTTCTAACTTGCTGACTTCAGCTTTTAATAATTCCATTAATTAATCAGGCAACATAAATGAGATTTAAATAAGTATTATAGTAGAGAATCTGATATTATTTATTCAATAATTATATTTTATAATCACATTAACTATCTTAAATAACTGTAACAAAATTCAAGTATTAAAACAAAATTAATTTTTAATATTAATCTGAACATTTGAAATGTTTGGTTACACATTACTTGAACGTAAAATTATATAAGCATTCATTATAATTCTTTTATACAAGAGGAATATGTAAAGCACTCAAGCCATAATAGTGAGATAGTATCAAAAATTAAGTCATTGGGAAAACAAAACAACAAAATAATAATAATTAAATTTTTAACTGAGGAAAAATGTTTAAAACACAAATCACAGATATTTTTACAAAATAAAAGGTAGACAATTTGAACATACACAATATGTCAAAACAAGTCCAAGCCAACACAAATAAATAAAACAAAATAAAAGGTCAAATAAGAAACTTGTTAAAATATTCTCAATGAATGCTACATAATCGTCAAAGGATATACATGATTTTAAAATTAAAGAAAAATTAATAATTGATAATATATTTACTCACAATAAAGTATTCTAAGAAAAAGAACATATTTTTGAAGAAAATATGTATATTTAAATATTGTAAGAATTGATTATTCTCAAAAATATTATTTACAAAATGTATATTGAAAACCTACTGAGATATTTTATTATTAAATTCACAAAGATGAGTTGTGTTGTTTTTTTTAAATGACAAAAGATAATGTTGACAAAACAGATACCTTGACGTACTGTTAGTAGTTTAAAATAGGACAATTCTTATTAAAAGTGATTATGAAGTTTGAAATTCTTTTTGTTTACACAGTAACTTGCTCTGGGGAGTTACTATCCTAATGAAATATGTGAGACATATGTTATTATAATGTCGTTATTAAGCATAAAGCAACATATTTGCTAACTCCAGGTAACCTTAACCCTTTGAAAAAATAAGAGCAATTTTTTATTGTTTATTATTTTTTAATTTTTTAGAGACAGGGTCTTGCTCTGTCACCTAGGCTGGAATATAGTGGCACAATCAGAGCTCACTGCAGCTGCCACCTCCTGGCTCAAGCAATCCTCTCACCTCAGACTCCTGAGTAGCTGGGACCACAGACATGTGCCACCATATCTGACTAATTTTTTTAATTTTTATTTTTGTAGAGATAGGGTCTCTCTATGTTGCCTAGGCTGGTCTTGAACTCAAGGATTCAAGCAATCCTCCTGCCTAGGCCTCCCAAAGTTCTGGGATTACCTGCAGGAGCCATTGTGCCTGTGTAAGACAAAGATTTTAAATTGGATTTTGTTTAAAAAAGTGAATGTTCTAGGCACTACAGTTTATGTTATTATTCATTTGTTTTATGGCATATCCAACACTATTACCTGATTTCTATATCTCTTTTTCAAAGTGACATTATCTAGTGAGTAGATACGTGTGATTTTAAAATATTTGTTTATTTTATTTTATTTTTAAATTTTTATTTCCACTCCATTCATACTCCTTTATGGAGTGGAAATAAAACTATCTTGTGTGCTAATTTTGTGTCCAACTAATGATTTTCTAAAAATATTAATCGTAGCCAATGCTACTAAATCTTTTATATACATTATTCTATTTATAAAAATTATCTAATGAACATAAGTCTTTCCTGAAGTTTATACTAAAATCTTTATGTTCTGGTAATTTAGACAGAAGAAAATAACTAAAGGGAGATTACCATGACGAGAAGAAAAATGAAAGAAATTGTTCTTGCTGATGAATAATTATTGATTTACCAGCAATGCAGCAATACTTGTAACAATACAAATGCTGCAGGACTACCTTTGTTGGAAAAGAGAATTTGCTGCTCTAATTACTGACAACAGGCAACATTGCAAGAAATTACATTCGGAGAAACATGAAAAGTGGTAAATACATTAGATGCTGCATGAGCTCCAAGATAGGCTAATTTTTTGTTTTCTCTAATAATACTCTTCATAGGTATCAATATTTTAAATTTACATTATGTCTACCTAATATTATAATTTTTAAAAAATTAGTAGCATATTTGCTGCTAAAATCTGTTGAAGGAAAGAAAAAACTAGTAAAAATTAGGCAAAAACCCAAACTTCTATTGTAAAATGGTGCTAAAGTTTAAACAGTTGGTTTCTAGAAATTTGCTTATGATTTAGGAAAGTATAATATGTTCCCTGGCATATTTATAATAAGTGAAAAATAGAATCTTCTTGAAGAAGTATGCTAACACTCTTATAACTCTTTTGCAGACTATTAAATATTGCAGATACCGAAACTTTATTTCCTTCTTATTGCTACTTCCTTACAAAGAGAAGAAACTTACCCTTTCCCTAGGGTTGCTTTTACAGAATAAAAGGTTTCTGCTCACTGCTCAACATATTCAGCTTTGATGTTTAGGAAATTTTCCCCAATCTTCTATCTATCCTATTTGAACCTAAGTTATTCAATTATCTTCTGAAGCACCACCTTGCTCCCAATTGAGCTCTTGTCTCCCTGTTGATGACCCTTTGCTCTTTTTCGTCAGGTCCTAGATCCAAGTCACCATCATCTCTCAACAAGACGTCAGGCAGCTACTTATACTGACTTCTTGCTTTCAAACATATCCTATAATAATCTATCCACCACCAAGATACCAATGTGATCATCCTGGAACAAAAATAAGATCATATCTATCATTTTAATGCTTAAAATCTTCCAATAGTTTTGAATTGCATGTAGAAAATATACAACCATTTTTTTTTGACCTGCTGGCCATGCATGTTGTAATCCTGACTTCTTACGTAACATCACCAACTGTACACATGGTTATCAACCATAAGCTAGGCTAGGGTTTCCAGATTTATCAAAAAAGGGGAAAAGAATAACCATGCAGCTTGATTTAATTTTAAAACAAAACAAAACCTTTAAAAGTGTAAGTATGTCTTATGCAATAGTTGGAGCATACTTAGACTAAAACATTTATTTAAATGTAGAATTCGAATATAACTAGGTGTCTTGTTTTTTATCTGGCAACCCTAATCTAGTCCCAACAAACTTCTTGATCTTCCCTCAAACCATCAGGCTTATACACACCGCATAGTTTTGGAGCATACTTTTCTCTGTGCCTGAAATGCTCTTTCTCTAGGTTTTTATTTTAAATAAATATTAAAATTTGTATGAAACTAGGTACCAAAATAAGCCATATGTGAGAATTGAAAGTGCAGTGGAAAATGTTTATATGTAGTATTTTCAAAGACTATAAAAGCCATTTTCACAGATCTAGGACTCCTACATGGTATCAAACATATAAAAACAAATATACAGAAATAAAAAGGAAATTCTTGTAAATAAAAATTCCTTTGAGAGAATATAAATTCAAGGAAGACAAATACAGACCAAATCAACTATGAGCCTGTGTAATTGTCCTCCATATACGTCCATGTCCTAATCCCTGGAACCTGTAAATATGACCTTAAATGGCAAAAGAGATTTTGCAAGTGTATTTAAATTAATGATCTTGAGAAGAAGGAGGGGTTATCCCACATTATCTGAGTAGGCCAGATATAATCTCCATGGGCTTTATAAGGGGACCCAGTAGAAGTCAAAATCAGAGGAGAGGGCGGTGTAATAACTGATGTGGAGATTGAAGTGATGCAATTTGAATATGGAGGTAATGGCTACAAGCCAAGGAGTACAGGCGGCCAGGGAAAGCAGAAAGACATGAAGAAATATATTCTCCCCTCAGAGCCTTCAGAAAGAACCATCCTGCAGACAACTTGATTTTAGCACCATTAGATTTAGGCCTCAAGAACTTTAAGACGATAAATTTGTGTTGTTTTAAGCCACTAAATGGTTGCAGATTTGTGGTAGTGAACACAGGACACAAATACACCAACCACTCACAGCCCCTATTCCCATTACAAGCTTCTAAACTAGAGCAGTCCTGATCTTGTGGAAAAAAAAAATAATAGTTATTGTTAAGTCAGGTTCAGAGTTTAGAGTTATATGTTTGGATAGATGTTCTAGTTAGTGAATTTCTACTTAAAGTGAATGGAAGTTCATCTGTTATTTAAAATGAATCAGGGAAGTTCTTAGACATGAAAGAGTTTTCTAAAGATGATTTAGATTTAGAATTTCTAAGTCTAAAGATTCAGAAATCTAAAGATTTACTTAATGATTTACTTAATGATCAGGGACTATTCCTTTTAAAAGAATTTTATTCATCTTTGTCTTACATGTAATATTTAGCCTGCACTCCTGCTAATAAGTCTTAATCATTCGTCTGTACTTTTTACATTTATTTAAAAATTTTCGGTGAGGTGAGTGGTCTCAACCCTTAACCTATTTTTATAACAAGAATAATTAAATGCTTTGAGATTTTCTAAAAATAAGCTAAGTGATATCTATGAAACCTTTTAATTTTGCCATTTAAATACTCCTGTCGACTACAGAAAATAGTTTAAGACATTCCTTGAATGATACGCAGTTTGTCTACTGTTCAGAAATCAAGCATATAAATCAAGCATCTGTAGACTCTCTAGTCTGTTGCTAAGAGACCACAAATTATGTGGCTTTAGAATTGGGGAACCAAGAAGCTTACTATGTATAACACATGTCCTAAAAAGAAGAGAAAGAGAAGATACAACTGGGTTTTTATCAAATACAAGGATTGCAAACCTAATAGTATTCATGACTATGAGGCATTTCAGTAAGAGCACAATTAGGAGGAGCAGGAGAGGAGGGGAAGTAATGATCAACAGAGTGGCAATCAAAACTGAGAACATTAAGAAATTCTTATCTCTTTTTCAAAATCTGGAGGCAGAGCATAGGCTTTGCTTTAATGTTCAAAAGACTACTTGGTTAATTTTCAGCACAATGAAACAATTTCTTAAAACAGCATAATAAAACATCTTCTTCAACACAGCAATTTTGTAGATGTACACAATTTGGCAACCGGAGAAAAGATCCACTTTTGGGTAACAACATTTATCTAACATTAATCTAGTCATTTTCAGAGTATGAAAATACACAGTAGAGCAAACAGTGTACGAAGGCTAAGAAGGTTAAAAATCGTTGTGATTTTTCTCCGTAGGCTCTTTTATGCTGTCTGTCTGCCCATAAGTATTAGATTGCCTAAGATTCTCCTACATTTCCACTTTGTGTTTTTAAAAGTCTCCAAATAAAGTCCATGCAAAAAAAAATTTAAAAATCAATAATGTCCGTCACATTTTCTCTCACTTTATGTGAAACAGTATTTTTCTATATTCAACTAAACAGCAAATATCATCTCCTGAATATTGTTGATCACCTTCAACTCAGTCCGAACAAAAAAAATCTTCAAATATCTGCTTCTCTTTCTCCTTCATTTTTCCTCTTGATCAATAATACCCCTCTTTATTCACTTGCCCAGACTCTGAACTAGAAACCCTTCTAGATGACTTCCCCATTTAAAATGTAATTATGAATTTTCTGTTCCCATATTTTCATCCTGATCCCACCACTTACAAATTCATTATCTGCTTTCAGATGCTTTCATCTGCTTTTATGGGCCTCACTAACTCTCTTTTAGATTCCCATTATTCATGGCACTATTTATTGGTAATTTATGGGCAATTCAAATTCTTTTCTAATTGCCCAATGATGACATAATAAAATAGAAATATTTCAGTGCATGACTTCTCTTTCCTGTGAAACCTGATATATCTACTTATTTCTAAATGATTTTTCAAGTTATATTAATTTTCTCATTTTTCCCTTAATCTGTACTACTTCTTTCTGTGAAGCCTTCCTTGACTTCTACAGGGAGATATAAGTTCTATTTTACTTGTACTTCTATTGTGTCTTGTTTAAACCTCACATATCAAGGTTTTTAGTCATAACAGAAAATACTAAAACAATCACCATTTGAACATTGTCTTTTACCTTATTATTTCATGTTGTATTATATTAGTTAATTGATTTCATATTTGTCATTCCAGGTGAACCTTAAATCTTAGACATACTGGGTTACCTTTCATTTTAAAAATTTTATTAAGGTATGTTTGACAATTAAAACTGGTATATATTTAAGGTGTACAATTGGATAATTGATATACATATACATTATGAAATGACCACATTCATAATAATTAATATATTAATCACCTCAGATAGTTACCATTTTATTTTTCTTTCTTTTTTTTGAGGTGAGAACACTGAAGCTCTACCACTCTTAGTAAATTTCAAGTGTACAATAAAAGATTGTTAACTATAGTCACTTTGTTGTACTTTCAATCTCCAGAACTAATGAATCTTGCATAACTAAATGAATAACAGATTAAAAAATTCTGGGACAGCTTTTTAAATCAATTTTGTGTAACTAACATCAAGCAGAGTTTATGGCAACATAGTAGGTGTTCCATGTACATATGCTATCTGAATTTTAAAGTAAATTCATGTGAAAAAATTTAGATGAATCAGTTTGTGTGGCTTATAATATGATTCGGCAGGAAACAATTTACCATTGGTGGAAGTATGTTGAACCAGATTCTCTGAAGAGTCATCACACTAAAATGCAAATGTACACTACATAGATTGCAACAGGCATAGCTAAATGAGTTGTAGGCTTCTCTAGCCGACCTCTAAAATAAAAATAAAATACAATGGCAACCAGGGCAGCAAAATAAGAGCAGGAACGTGAAGGCAATGAGCAAAAGCAAAATGTAGGATAACACCGAAAGGAAATTACCATCTCATTACTGTTTTCTAGAGGCTAAAATTTACAAAAAAGCCTCAGGTTTAGTCCCTCAAACATTAAAGATATTGCAATTATAAATATAGAACACAAAATTACTATCTATCAAATACATATGACAAGAAAGAAGGTATCACAAAAAATGAGCAAGGAACAAAAGATTATATCATGGCCTATGATATTTGGAAGCTATATAGATAGTATTTTACATACATACACACACACACACACACACACACACACACACACACAAATTTTAAAGGTCCTGAAACCAAAAATGTAGGGCCCATTAGACATATTAAAAAACTAATAGTGAATAGAAGGTAGATTTGAGTGACAAATTAAAGTGAAGCACAGAGAGATTTAAATATAACAAGAGCCAGTGAATAATATACGGCATGGGGATAGAATGAGAATATTTAAAATTGGTCAATTATGGACCCTAAAAGAGAAAATAAAGATTATGAAAAGAAGTAAAGTTTGAAAAGGTAATACCTGTAAACTTCCCCATTACTAATAGCTGTGCATCCTACAGATAAGTCATCAGTGGATAATATACAACATTTTTAGGCTATTTCTTATGTGTGATTTAAGAGTTGAACAATTTTAACTTTTCTTATTTTGACAACACAACTCTTGGCAATACAATTCATCTCATATATAGAGAGAGACTATTCCATATATATATATATATAATATAGAACTATATATAATATAGAACTATATATAATATATAACTATATAAAAATATATAACTATATATATAATTGTAATTGTATATGTATAATCCCTAATACATATAGTATGTGTATAATTGCAATTGTACAACTCTACCTATACATATATGGAGAGAGACTATATATAGAGAGACTATTCCTTATATATAACTATATATATATAAAATTGTAATTATATATGTATAATCCCTAATATATATAGTATGTGTATAATTGCAATTGTACAACTCTATCTATCTATATATATATATGGAGAGAGACTATGTATATGTATATTGTACACACATATAGTCTATTTGCTTCTGGTCACTTCTATATACAAGTTACTACAGATCTTGTCTATATGTAGTTTTTAAGTTTGAGAGCTTTGTACTATACTTGTATCCTCTGTTCGCTACTTATCTCTCTCTGTCTCTTCATTTTACTGTGCCTATATGAAACAAGCAGCTGGGTAGGATCTTAATCTCCTTCCTGTGCTGATTTTCTCCACACTGGCTCCCATCACAGCATAGAAACTCATAAAAGAAGATGTATATATAAGTTTGGGCCAAATATGTATTTTTTCATAAAAGTCACAATTTAGGGTCACAGCTTATAACTGCTGTATCTTGTGACATGATGCCAAAAGTCTTCAAATCTCCAAATTCTCCATCAAAGTAGCTGGCAGTCCATAAGCAGCTTTAGCAAAATTCTGTCTACATCTATTGCAATTTGCAGACAGCATAGGTTTAGACTGTTTACATTTCTCTTGCAAAAATTTTGCTTAAAGTAGAAAGAAACAACAAAAACATACCAAGTTTTAAAACTTACTTTAACCTCCCTATTAACATTACAGTATGCAAGGTGTGTATTCTGTCTTCATTGATACAATCAATAAGAGTTAGTCAAATGTTTCACCAGGGATAACTCAATATTGTAAATATGTTAATTATTTCCCAAATTATTTTATAGATCCAGTGCAAAGCAAAATGATAACTCTGCGTGAATATTCCTGAAAACAGTTCTAAAATTTTAATGAAAAAATCAAAACCCCAAAATAGTTTGAAGAAGAATAATATGTTGACATGGCTAACCTTACCAGACATTAATATATATTACAAAACTATTGTATTTATCTTTGTGGCGTCACCTCATGAATTTATCCAGTAATATATGGGTCATTATGGAAATCCCAAAAATAGGCCAATAGATATAGTGAATATTGCTATGTAATAGTGATAATATTACAAAACTAAAATGATTCTTCAGTAACAATTGCTTAGATATCCCTTAAGAAATAAAAATAAATTTGGATCCTCACTTTACATGACACAAAAAAACCAATTCCCAAGAAATTAAGAGCTTAATGCTAAAATATGGTGAAGAAACTGTAGGAGAATATATTTACATCTCAATTTCATGAAAAGGACTTCTGCAAAAATACACAAATAAATACATCAAGAAGATAAAAGTGAATAATTTTGAATGTTTAGCAATAGGTAACTCCTACTGGTAATATACAGACAATACAGTACTTGAAAGAAGATATTTGAAAAATATACTAGTGAAAGACTAATACAGAAAATATACAAAAACTGTATTTCAGTAATAGAAATTCAACTCAGGAAAATGTGGTCAGAAGATAGAAACTGATACTGCACTGAGGAGGAAACAGAAATGGCAAGCTGTTAAAATGTTGTAAGTATTGGGAAATATGCAAACTTTGGAAACATTTGGATACAATGTTATTCTCTCCAGATTGGCAAATTTGAGAAATTTGTTATTAACAAATGTTGGTATAGATAAGAAATTATAAAAGCATATGCATGTTGTCAGGAATGTATAATTGATAAAACGATTTGGAAAATATTTTTGTATTATAAAGTTGGAAACATGTAAACCCTATGCACAAGATAATCCATAGTCATTAATAAATTTTAAAGACATGACCAGGCATGGTGGTTCACACCTGTAATCCCAGCACTTTGGGAGACCAAGGCAGGCAGATCATGAGGTCAGGAGATCGAAACCATCCTGGCCAACATGGTGAAACCCCGTCTCTACTAAAAATACAAAAATTACCTTGGCATGGTGGCACACCCCTATAGTCCCATCTGCTCAGGAAGCTGAGGCAGGAGAATCACTTGAACCCAGGAGGTGGAGGTTGCAGTGAGTCGTGATTGCGCCACTGGACACCAGCCTGGCGACAGAGCGAGACTCTGTCTCAAAAAAAAAAAAAAAATGTAAAGACATTTTTGTGCAAATACAGAAGGCATATGTGAGAGTGTATTTAGAAGTATTACTTAGAATAATGAATACATATAAACAAATTTTTATTAGTCGGATAATGAATAACTGTATTAATGGAATAGATATTCATAATGCATTATTATACATCAGAAAGTATGAATATACAGCAGTCACCTAAAACAACGTTACTGAGCCTAAAATATGCAATGCTGTGTGAGAATGGTCAATTCTAGATGAGTAAAGTAAGATGCCATTTGTAAAAGGCTAAAAATCAAACACAATAAAAAATACATTGATAAAAACTTATGCAATTTATGATAAAACTACGATAGAAAGGTAATTTTTGATAAACAACCACATTTAACTAGAGGCAAGAAAATGGGAAATCGAGGAACATACAGGTGCTGGCAAACTTATCATTAATATTCCAGGTTTAAATTGAATGGTACGCTAATAGGTGTAAATTTTAATATGTTTTAGATCTTACATGCATATTATACATAGTACTTTGTATGCAAAAAATATTGCATAATATAATATGCTTACATCTTAATACTATCTTATCGTATAACTGAGTAACTCTTGACCTAGGTACACACACTGATCAATATATTTTTAAAATTCCATGAATGCTATCTCTCTGATCTCTTGCTAGAGCATTGCAGTGTTTCATCTTTGCCTCCTCTCCACTTCTTTGTCTTGTGAATAAAAGGAATAAGCCACAATTTTTAAAGGAATATTACTGAAATAGTAGCGTTGTGGGAGGGTCAATGAATCAAGAGAGCTTATAGAAAAGAGTTTAATCTGTAAAGGATAGAGGGATTAAGGTGCTAAAATGGCAGGAAAAGAAGTCAAATTGATCTAAGAAATCTTTTGAGAAAAGAAAGTAAGAATGCCTCCCAGAACTTCAAGGTGCCAGAGAAAAGGAGGACAAAGGATATTTTCACTAGAGTTGCTTCAGACTATTTACTCACTAAATGTTTAAGAAAATTATATCTTAGAATGTGCTTTTTATGTATCTACTGCTCTGAGATTGCAAGAGTAAGTTCTATATGTCCATATTTAACAACAGCAACAACAAAAGTTGAGAATGAGTATTTTTGCTTTTTTCTGTTGACAGAGTACAAGAATTTCATGAGATTCTCAAAAGAATTTGTAGTGGGCATTTGCCATATTTGTCTGGCTGCCCAATATTTTTCCTGCATATCAATTATTTTAACAGAACGTTCATGTATTGGATTAAGACAGTGATCCTTGGGCATCAGTGGCAGCACTGGCTGTTATCATCCAAGCTAACTTTCAAAGTGTAAGCACAGCAATCTGTAGCATTTAGTGCTGGATGGTGATGACAACAATGCCCTGGCTAAATCAATTTGCAGCCCCACTATTTTTACTTTCTTTTTCTTTGTTTCTGTGCATGAAACATAGAAGTCGAATACTTGGGCATATAACTATGACTGATAAGAGATTCACATAATAAATATTGCAAACTGACTCCCTCCACAACTATTTCAACCTCCTTCTCCCTGGCTGGTTCTGCTATAGAAGCTAGAAAGCAGGCCAGGAGTGGTGGCTCACGCCTCTAATTCCAGCACTTTGGGAGGCTGAGGCGGGTGGATCACAAGGTCAGGAGTTCGAGACCAACCTGGCCAATATGGTGAAATCCCGTCGCTACTAAAAAATATATACAAAAATTAGCTGGGTGTGGTGGCGTGTGCCTGTAGGAGGCACGTGCCTTGGGAGGCCGAGGCAGGAGAATCGCTTGAACCCGGGAGGAGGAGGTTGCAGTGAGCCGAGATCCCACCACTGCACTCCAGCCTGGGCGACAGGGTGAGACTTCATCTCAAAAAAGCATCCAGCCTCCCTTTGAACTTAGGATTGATTTATAGTGACAGATTTGGAGATGGCAGAAATTCTTGGGAAAGTTTTCCCATTCCCAAATGAAAGTAAAAAAGAAAAGAGGGAAGGAGGGAAGGAAGGAAGAGAGGGACTGAGGGAGGGGAAAGAATGGAGGGATGCAGGAAAGGAAAGGAGGGAGAGAGGGAGGTAGGAAAGGAAGGGAGGGAGAGAGGGAAGAAGGAAGGGAGTGAGGAAGGAAGGAAGAAGGAGGAAGGGGAAGGGAGGGAGGGAGGGAGGGAGGAAAGGAAAGGAGGGAGAGACAGAAGGAGGAAGGGAGTGAGGAAGGAAGGAAGGAAGGGAGTGAGGGAGGGAGGAAGGAAGGAACAAGAGAGGAAGGAAAGAGGAACGGAAGGGAGGGGAAGGGAAGGAAAGAGGAAAGGAGAGGAGAGAACAGAGAAAATAGAAGAAAAAAAAAGAAACTGGAGAGGAACTTCTTGTTGTTGCTATTTTTCTCTCACTATTTCAATATCAAATGGTGTAACAGTGATATTGTAGCCCCAAAGTTCAGTTTAAAGCTCAAAGGTTGGTGGTAGAGGAAGATGAAAAATGCTCATATACTGGATATTAAAGGCTTCTCAACAGACATCTTTTCATGTAAAATATAAATATACTCATTAATTATTTCAGCCACTGTTTGTTATTTTTTTCTATTTCTCAGAGCCAAATACCTCCCTAATTGACACAGTTCATGGCACAACAGAGATAAATTTCCCTGCAGTTGATAACATTTGCCTGTCTTTTATTTAAATAATGAGCATACTACATACATAGAATAAATTATAAAAGATAAACATGTCATCCTGTTTTAATCAAATATCATATTAAATCTTCACATTTAAAGAATTAATAATTTTCATTATGTACTATGAATATTACGCATGGTTGAAGAACATGTATTGTTAATTGTAATCAAGATTATACTCCTATTCTCCATCTAAAGTTTGATTTTTGTCTACATTTTAGTAACTACTCCATTTAAAAAAAAAGTCAATAGTAATGTCAGTAGCTTTTGTTTCTAAAACAACCCCTCACCAGCACATGGATTCCAAATTGATATTATAATAATATTGTCTTAGCCTCAGTTTCATCTCACAGGCCCTAAAAATGTTTGCTTGCATATCTTCAAGTATTTCTGTGAATCGGCAGGATTATATCTCTATGGCACTCAGGAGGAAGCCAGCTCCTGTTTTTCTGCTTCACCATCCTCGTGATGGCTTTTCATATGGCTTCTACTCAAGGAGAACGCTGTCCATTACTGCACAGCTGTTGCCTGCTGGTACCTTCCCTGAGTCCTCTGGAGAGCATTAGCTGTCTCACAGCTCTGAGTACATAGGCAGAGAAGAAATACTGTGTAAAAACAGAATATCACAAAATATTTGTCAGCGCCTTCATCTCAAAGTATTAATCCCTAACAATTTAAAAGGTATTGTTGGGCCAGGCAAGGTGGCTCACGCCTGTAATCCCAGCACTTTGGGAGGCCGGGGTAGGCAGTCACGTGGTCAGGAGTTCGAGACCAGCCTGGCCAACCTAGCGAAACCCTCTCTCTACTAAAAATACAAAAATTAGCCGGGCACGGTGGCACGTGCCTGTAATCCCAGCTACTCAGCAGGCTGAGGCAGTAGAATCCCTTGAACCCAAGAGGCCGAGGTTGCAGTAAGCTGAGATTGTGCCACTGCGCTCCTCCAGTTGGGGCGACAGAGTGAGACTCCGTCAAAAAAAAAAAAAAAAAAAAAAAGATATTGTTAGTTGCTTGAAGTTGACCATGGTGGAAGTACTTAACACTAGAGAAATAAGTATATACAAAAAAATTGGATCCTTTATACATTTTTTGAGAGGAGTGTGTTTGTTAAACATTTACTTGACACACTTCTAATTTGAATATATCACCAAGTCCAGAAAAGGGAAAAACATGCATAGAATTTTCAGTATCTTTTTTGTTTTTCCATCCTTTCTCACCAGGGTCTGATGAACACAGGAAAAAAAAGAAACAAAAACAAATTTTAAAAATAGCAATAAAAAAATTGTGTTCCAGCTGGGCGCGGTGGCGCATGCCTGTAATCCCAGCACTTTGAGAGGCCGAGGCGGGCGGATCGCGAGGTCAGGAGATCGAGACCATCCTGGCTAACACGGTGAAACCCCGTATTTACTAAAAATACCAAAAAAAAAAAAAAAAAAAAAAAAAATTAGCCGAGCGTTGTGGCGGGCGCCTGTATTCCCAGCTACTTAGGAGGCTGAGGCAGGGGAATGGTGTGAACCTGGGAGGCGGAGCTTGCAGTGAGCAGAGATCACTCCACTGCACTCCAGCCTGGGCGGCAGAGCGAGACTCAGTTTTAAAACAACAACAACAACAAAAAACTGTGTTCCTTCACCTCTAGCCAAAAGAACAAAATATGATTTGTATTAATTCATGAAAATAAAGGCCTAAATGTATTAACTGTTCACTATTTCTTTAAACAACTATATTCGGAATTATTTTTTGGATGCTCGAATAATGACACTTGATTACAAAAGTCAAGATAATGTTATAATTTTTCTGTCTCTTTCTCTTTGTCACATGCACACTTCCTACTCTCTCAGTTACAGGTGCTAAATGTCAAATGTTCTTGAACAGCATATTTCTCTTAACCCTTTTATACCACTTCTCTGAATTAATAATTTCTATTGTCTATAATATTTTGCCGGATATTCCTGACATTGTTAGAGGATTAAGTCGTCAGAAACATAGAGCCAAATTTATTCTTATCCTTCCAGTAAACAATATGGCCACTATGCTGTTCTGGATATTAAATAGAAAGAGTAGTTGTATAAAAAAGTTAATGAGTTCTTAAAATCTTATGATAAAATCATGACGTTTACTGAAATAGAGTCTGACCTCACTTTGTACAAAGTTCGACTACTCACAGATTTCAAGACCCAAAAACTTTAATTTCCCCTTCTGCCCCACATCAGAGCAAGCTGCTAAGAAAATTTAGACGTGTTCCACTGAGAGCAAAAGGAAGTTCAAACTATGTAAGCCCAGCAAGTGTGCAAGAATGGTCCCTCCAGCCCTGCCTCCTAATCACAATCACCACACCCCTCCACCCCCAGCCAGTCTCCTTTCACGTCTCTCCCATGTTGCTTTCTGACCTGTTTGAGACCGTGCCTTTCTCCATCCAGAAAGCCTCATTATGTGACTAATAAATATCTTTATTTTTTTGATGTGTGTAACATGGTCATGACATCTGAACTGAATTTTAGGTGGTGGGAGGGTATCTTGTATCAATTACATGATAAAGATGTTTACACAGGCTATTTGGGCTGTTTTGTCCTATAATAGGGAAAGAATGGCTAGGAGAAAGTTCATAAGGCAATGTTAACTCAATAGAGATTCATTTATATAGAATTTCACAATTTCTGAGGAACTGCTAATATTATAATTTGTCTGTATTCCTTTGGTGTAGTATAAAATATTCCTTGCTTTTAATGATGATATCATTTTTATCATGTGGCTGGAGTCCAGTAAGTAGAAAAAGATGCAATACAAATATTACTGTACAATCATTAACTACATTATAAACAAGAGCACTGTCTCCTAATGTCTAGAAATCTAGAAAAGTGTATGATTTATAATACACAGTACAGAAGAAGAAAAAGAAGAAGAGGAGGAGGAGGAACAAGAGGAAGGAGAAAGAAAAAAATAACATAAGCAGAATAGAAAGAGTGCAATATTAGAAGTACCATAAATGTTATGCTTATTTAGCACGTTAAGGACTATCCTATGGATGGAACGGAGGTAAAGGAAGAAGAGTGATGGGGACTGTATCATGGAAGAAGAAGCTTTTGAACTAGGCCTTAAGAAACATTCAGGAATTCTAATAGTGGGGTTAGTAATGGAATAGTAATGGAATTGGGGCTGGAACACAGCATTTAAAATATTTTATATTTAAAGCAATAATAAAGATCTGAGAATTCAAACCTGACAGCATGAAAAAATAAAAATGCGGCTATAAGCAACAACACAAATGAATCTCATGAAGATAATTTTGAGGGAAAGTAGAGAGATGTAAAAATTATATACAATGTAATTCCAGTGTGATGTTCAAACAGGCTTTTAGCAGTCTGGATCCTGGTTACCCTGGAGAGAGAGTGTCTGCTTAGTGATTGGCAGGAGTCTTAAAGGGGGCTTCTGGAGTGCTGCTCAGGTTCTGTTTCTTATTCTTGGTGCTGATTAAAATAAACAGATTCAGATTATGAAAATTGATTGAGATGTACATTATGATTTTTACAGTTTTCTAAATTAATATTCTAGTGCAGACAAAGTTTATTTTCAAAATGAAAGCTATATATGAGTTATGTTTTGCATAAAAAATATAAATGGTGGAATTTGCCTAATGATTGAATTAATACTGGAAAACAGGGAGAGACATATTTGGAAGCTGGAATGAGATTGTGATAAGCTGTAAAAAACTGTTCTAAGAAATTTCAATGTGCTAAAATAATGCACAAAAAATCTGAATAGTGACATATGTACAGTTTAGTTTTACCAAACTAATCTAAAATTAATGTAGATAATGAGGTATAGGCAGTGGGAAGTAGGCAATGACATGATTAGGCTTTGGAACAGCTGATCAAACAGACCAGACAATAGTTTATGCAGCAATGCATTAGTGTGAAAGCAGTGAGAATATTCTCAAAAGCCAGTCACTTGATGTATTAAAAATATCTTGCAATTTAATAGGATTAAGCTAAAAAGGAAGTATGATGTAAAGCCACTATACCTTCTACCTAATGATACTATAGAAGCTTATATAAAAAATTTTAGGTTTTAAGAGATGAAATGAAGGACTCTCAGGACTTTTTTAAATTCTATTCTTCTCTATATTTTAAGAGATAGAGAAAAATGGAAACTTCTCTTGTTTGGAAAAAGTTCAATTAAATCAATGGCTCAGTGCCTTTTGGGGAAATTGAGCTATTCACTGTATGGTGTTTGGACTCTATTTCAAAGTGGCTCTAAGGTGTTATAAAGAGTGGTAATTAAGTTTATCAAACTGATTTGTATAGGCTTTTGCCTGAAGCTAATGGTATATTTGTTTCAATAAACTCAGTGGTAACAGGCTTAAGCCTTACTTATTTTTCCCAAGAAAAGTCTCTTGACCATAATACAGTCTGTCATGAACGAAGACAAATTCTGCAGCTCTTGTTCTATTCAAAGTATAGAAATGTGCAATTTGAGCCAGAAATACATTGTAATGGGACATTAATTATTCTTCAATTTGGCATTTTTCCTAGACATTAGCACCCAACACAGGAAAGGGTAGCCTTCTTGGTATTGGCAGGAGAGGGTGTAAATAGTCAAATTTGTATGATTGCAAAGCTTGGAAGACTGCTTCATGGCTCTTACAACACACTAAATATTAATAGTTAAGCATACATCTTTAGTTGTCTAAATTATTCCCATGCTATTTTGGGTACAATATTTTTGATTATTTTGGTCTGCATGCTTTGCCTTTTTTAGCAGATCACTTTGCACATGGAAGTCAGATTATACAATTTTCATGTCAACCTCTACCAATCCCACAGAGCTACCTGCTTGGTATCCATCTTCCTTTTCCCTTCTGTTATAGTGGAATGTGTTCCTTTCCCTATCTGCTGCTTATTTGAGTGTAATGTAGTTTCTCTCTTTCTCTCTTTATAATAACTGTCTTTAATGGGTACTATATTTTGTAATGCCCCTTATTTTGCCTTTTTTATGGATAAAAGCACTTACATCCAAGTAAACTAATTTACAAATGGGAGAATAAAAAACATAGAAGCAAAAATCCATATGTGTTCAAATTCAAAAGCAGCTAGGTACAAACTAAACTAAAATATATAAGAAAAAATGAAAACAACTTGGGCAAAACTAAAAATAAGACCTATAAAATCCTTTAAATGTATATAAAATAAAGCTTTATTATTAATTTCCTTATGGGATTATATGAGTGAGTTGTAAAGATAGAAAATTCCATGGCATTGACCTATCTACTGTAAGAATAATACTAATAGTAATAAATTAGCTACCTATTGTGAACTGTGTTTTTGCTTCATAAATTATTTATCAGATTATAACTCAAGAAAAGCCCCCAGAATAGGGGCAGAATTTCTCTGGAAGTCATAGTGAGCAATTATCAGTGAAAGGCCTTCTCTGTATTTCTGTACCTTTTTCTGTATATGTGCTGAAGATCTATTTCTAGAATAACCCAGATTTCTGGATCATGGCATAGTGAGTGTACCCTGTGTCCTAATAACCAAGCAAAAGTAATCATCAAATGATGGGAACACAGTGCCTCAAAGATGGTATTGTCAGAGGAAAGGTAAATAGTAGTGTTAGGGTGAAAAATGAATGTTAGGGTGAAAAAGTTCCTGGGGATTATCTGAGGATTACCTATTGCCCTTTCCACTGTCTGCATGCCCACCACAGGAATGGAATACCTAACATCAGGACAAAAAGATTCTCTTAGTTGTAGTTAATTGTCTTATTAAATTCATTGTTAATATGAAAGGACCAGTGTTATGGAAGACACTAATTCAACTGGCAGACTCCCATCTTCATGGGTTTCAGTTATCCCAGAAAATGAATACATGCCTTAATCCTTCACTCTTTAAATTCTATTAATAAAATTGCCTAACCTGTCTAAAATAACAAATCATATATGTGAATCACTGACAAACATCAGGGAAGGAATATTTGAAATAGGAAGGAAAAGCTCACCAAACAATATTTAGTTTGGTTTTGTTACATGGAATTGCCTTACTGAAGGTTATAAATGCCTCTTAACACTAAGCTTCACCACTAAAACTCTATGTTCAAAATGAAAAGAAAATTAGACTGTGCTATTTTTTTTAATACATAGTCTTTGAAATACAAAGGGTCATTCTCACTGTAATATGTGTATTATATATATAAACATTTGGGAAAATACACAGATATATATGCACACATATATATACATAAATACATATATATGTATGCTAAGAACTAAAATAGCTTTAAGCTATTAAGCTAAATAGCTAAAAGACCATGTATTATTTTTAAACAAATTATTTTTCAATACGTACATAGTATATTAAATATAAAATATTCAGTTATTTATGAAAATGTGCTGGACAGTAGACTAAATGCTAAGATAACCAATATAAATAGACTATTGCTCTTCTAGTGGTCTTGTTGATTAAGTCTGTTTACTCTGGTGAGAAAGAATCACAATATTTCATTGTGTTAACAAATTATAAATTTATTTCTCTCAACAAAGTCTGGTTGTAGCACTCAGTGGGTAACATTCCATGTAGTGTTACAGGATCCTGGCTTCTGCCAAACTTCCACACTATCAACTTCTAGACCAGTGTTGTCTGATAGAGTAGGTGTTAGCCACATGTGGCTCTTTAAGTTTAAATTAATTAAAATTAAAAATTAAGTCTCTCTAGCGAACTGGGTATGTTTCAAGTTCTCAATAGATACATGTGGTTACCACACTGAAAAGTCCAGAATTAACTCTTCTTGAGCCTTTCATTCACATATATGACAAGCTTATCATATACAGATTAAGGAAAGCACACACACACACACACACACATACACACACACACACAGCAAAAATGGAAAACAATGTAGATTTTAGGATTTAGGATTTAAATGAAGTACTTCACTTTCTTTCTTACATTTTTTTGTTGGTCAGAGCTATGCTCTGGGACCCACACAAATACACAAAAAACTGGAAATATGTTTTTTATTCCAAAGAAGAAAATTAAAACAAAATCCAGTGAACAAATAGCATTGCTTTTACTACAGTCTACATTTGTAGTCAACAAGCAACCAATTTTCTTCTCAATGCATACAGTTTACTCACATGCCTACTCCCCAGAAGAGATATGCCAAAGTCTTATATGGTTTCGGCATATAGCTTGAAGCCCATGCCTGTTTCATGGACAAATTTCAGAGAAATAAACAATTATCACACTGGCCAAATTGGATGAGATTTTTAGGATGTTTTTAAACCTTGAAAACTCTGACTTAATAGTGTCCACAGAGGAAATTATATAACACAATGAAAATGAAATCGATACTCTTCTTGATTAAAAATATGAATTAAGACTTCCACATAACTATTTATTTTTAAAAGCTTACTGTATTTAAGGGGAAGGGCTAATTTACATTTATTAATGTGCTCCTTTTCTTCTCCATACACCTGTATGCTATGCTTACAAAAATATTGTTTAGAGGTAATACATAAACATAAAGAGAACTTGAGGTAGATTTTTAGCTTAACTAAATGAATTGTTTATAGTGATAATTACACCAATCATCTGTCAACACTAAAGTCTACATTTATTTCTGCTTCTAAACCCAAAAAAGTTACATTGTATATTAATTAGCATGTTATGTCTTTGCTTTGTTAAAAAAATGCATTCTATTATTATGAATTAAATGGGAGAAAACAGAACTCTCATGGGTTAAAAATTCAAAAACAGTGAATATAGGATTAATATAAAGGGTGGAATGAAAACATCATATTTTTAATTGGAATCCTTATATAAGGGAATATCAAAGAAAAAATTAGGCAATTACCAAGCAACAATGAAAAATGCAAAGACGACTATTCTCAGTTATAGCCCACAGCTGCTCTTGTACTTCCTGGAAAATAAACGGCCTCAATTATAAACTTGGCAGAAATAATAATGTTTGTGAATTATAATTAATGTAACTTACATGAGCTGATTTTCTCAGTTTTATGACCAGTAACCTACAGGTGAACAAAATATTCCATGTTTAAGATGTAGTTCATAATTTGGCACTGATTAACATTTAATATACAAAACAATGTTACTTAGTGCATTTGAAATCTGGAAATATTCTTCAGGAAAAAGCAGAAAAGATAAAAAATTGCATTTTAAATAATTATTAATTTTATTTATTCATGCTATTCTCATAACTTATTTTCACATTGCCAGTGTAAAATGATTGTTTGGAAAAATAATTGCTTTATAAAAATGTTCCTTGTTGTCTGGAGTTGGTTATTTTAAAAATTATACCAAATATTAATAACAAAATAAATATTTATTTAAGAATCTACCTTGAGAAAGATTGAAACATAAAATATATTTGTAATTGGAATTCCTATTTAAGCAACATACTTGTGAATTATTAAGAGTCAAATTTCAATTTCAAAAGTAAGTTAAATACGATACACTCATTTTTCTCCAGTAAGTATTTCTACACTAAAATATCTGTTCACATTCTTGTTGAGCAAAATAATCGATAACACTATAAGAATATGGACTCTTTTTGAATAATTATATCAAGTCATAAAACATAAGGAACATATTTCATAGTTTGGTTATAATAGAATGCTTCATGCCGTTTTGTATCTCTTAAGAAATAATTTGTCCCCAATTCAACATGTAATTTAGAACAATTAATCTTTGAGATATAAAGGAAACAAAAACTAAAAGCCCTCAGTATTCATTTAAAACATACATTTCTCATACGAAAAGCAATATTGTTTTTGCTCTCTCTGCTAAAGAGATCATTTAACACAGTTACTCCGCTCTCTATCATGCTGAATGCTAGGAATACATTGCTATGGAGTGACAGCATTAGCATAAATTTGAGCCAGTGCACATTTGTTTCTTGCTAGCTACCCATCTTCTCATTTTACCTGGTAGATCAGAAATAAAAGAAGGCAAAATGATGAGCATTTTTTAAATTTGAAAGCACTTATATGAAGAAGGCA
Organism: Homo sapiens; assembly: GCF_000001405.40. Lineage (NCBI taxonomy): Eukaryota > Metazoa > Chordata > Mammalia > Primates > Hominidae > Homo > Homo sapiens. The sequence goes on along the minus strand of NC_000001.11, from coordinate 188,411,060 downwards.
TTTGTGTTGAAATGTTAAGTACTGAATGAAGACTGTGATATACAATGCATGGTAAAAGATCTGGAAGGATATTCACGAAATGTTTCAATGATGATTGCTTCTGGTGAGAAGCAACTTTCTCTAAGTAATTGCAGTGGGCATTTGTTGTTTTGAACTGGATGCCATTTAAATACTCATACTTTATTGTTGAATCCCAAGTAAAAGTGGAAAGCAGGGCTTCACCCTAACTACATAATTTTAATAGGGGCCAATATTATTTTATTCTCTGTTAGCTAGGGTCAGTGAGATGCTACTGTGTCTTGGTGAGTGGCATAAAACCTCAGAAGCCATAGATTTTTCAGCAGATATTCACTGTCTTCCAAAATCTATTTTTCTTCATTTTTAACATTGCAAACAATATCCTCAAGTTTTTAGTGACACATACGGCCAAATAGCAACTCTTAAAGCTCTGTATAACCATGTGACTAAATTCCATCAAAGAAAATGTGAGCAGAAGTGAGATATGTGACTTCTGTGTAATATCTTCAAAGTGAGATTACACACCTTCCACTGTCATTTTCTGCCAGCCCTACATCTGGAACCAGATGTGATGATGGTGAGCCCTTTTTGACAACATGGATAAAATTTATACCCACAAGATTCATGGAGCAAAGACATGGAAAAACCTGATTCAGTTTCTGAATACATTCAGGAAGCAGAGCAGCCCAGTTGACACACCAGATACTCCTCCAAACTTCCTAAAAATCTGTCCCACCCAGTCCTAGATTCACACCGCTGCATCCTCCACCCTTTCCTTTCCTCCAGATAGTGTCTCCCCAGCATCTGAGAAAACTGGTAAAGAGAAACCATCTGAAAGGGATAGATGTGAAACAAACTAAGGAGGCAAGATCAGAATTCTCATAAGTGAGCAAAATAAAAAATATTCACAAGAAAATAATATTTCTGTGATTATTAGTAGTTGCAATACTCATTATAGAGTTCAAAAGACAGTTGCAAATTTAAAAAGAAAGTTACCAGACATGAGTTTTTTTGCTTACTTGTTATGTGAGGGATCAGAACTAGTAAAACATATATTAGAAAGAAACAAATGAATGAATTTACATGTATTTATTATCATATATATTTGAAGTTACAATAGAAAGATAAATTACGGATGGAAATTTAGTGTTGAAAAGCTAGAAACTTTAACCATCTTAACAAATTCACATTTATAGTTACATGACAATCCTAAAATGGAACAGTTCTTTGATCATCATCACACTTACACAGTAAGGAGTAATTTTCAAAACTTAAAATATATTTTAAAGTACTTCAGGATAAATTACCTTATACTTCACTTTCAGCTGTATGTAAGTTAGTAAATTCAATCTCTGTTATCCCAGACAGTAAATTTAACCCTCGATTCCTAATTAAAGTGTGTACTTGAAGTGTTGAGCCTTTTCCTTTAAAGCTTATTCATGTCATATTTGAAAAGTAATTATGATTGAGTCAAGTCTCATGGCTTCCTTGAAATTCTGCTCCCATGTTATAGTAACAGAAGTGTGACTTCAATTTTCTCTTTTGAATTGAGAAATAATTGAAGACATTTTTGAAAAGAAGTCAAGTGCTTGTTTTCTCTGCATAATCCTGCAATTTTGTTTTTTGAGTGTAACATCATGGACGATGTGTTTAATGCTGATGAGCAAATTGTGTTTAAGCCAGAAATGTAAGAAGTGTTTGCAGATAAAAGAAATACAGTGAGTTGAAGCAGACAGAACTAATTAATGTGGATCCATTCCAATTGAAAATTGTGGTTTTGACAGTTAAGAAGGGAAATGTATGGTTCATAACTCAAAAATTCAAATGATAGAGGTAAATCAAGATATCAAAATAAGCAGCAACCATAAAGATAGGAATATTTGGATTACATCATCAGTTGAAATTATGGAAATTTTATTTAAATTGATATTGGGATCCATTTCATACTCAAGATATAGATTTAGGCTATTATTATTACTACTTGAATGGAAAAGCTTACATCCTTAAAATATTATAATGGGATAAATTCCAAGTATAATTTTCTTATTGTTATTATATAATATATATAATATTATTTCTAGAATTACTTTAAACAATAAGTGGATATGATCTCTTAAAAGATGTTTCTCCACATCCTTATGCTAGAAATAAAATATAACAAAAGTCAATAAAAATTAAAATTTGGATAGATAAATCATTTAATAATAAATGTTAGAATATTAAATTCTAAGGTAAATAATATTAATAGATAACAGAGATAAAGATAGTGAGCACCTGGTATGTGTACATGCTTGTTTCCTTTATAAGGGAGGATATAATACTTCATTAATGAGCTTGGATTAGAAAAAGACTTTTAAGTTACAAGACATTAATTTTAAAAATTGATTTATTAAAAAGTTTTTGAATCCTTTATTATTCAGTTGATTTGCATTTCTTCAGAGGTAAAAAGCAGTGCGAATGAAATGTAAGTAACAAACCAGTGGCTATAAAAGCTAATTTGAGCTTGAGTTTTTTATCATTATCAGACTGTATAATATTTTTCAATTTAACATACACTTTTTAAGTCATCATATACAAATAGCACAATCAAATTCTTATGTTTCCTTTCTCCAATCTTATGCGCTATCTCATTTATCAAACTTCAATGAGAAAAACAACTCAAAGTAAATAAGCAAAAAGGAAAAAATAGCTGAACTTTACAGTCAACTGGTTGAGCATTTATTTGAATTAAACATTTAAGTGTCGCTAATTAAGTCATTAACCTTTACATTAAAAATTCTACTTCACACTGTGTACTACACTGCAGTTCAGCTGTAGTTCAGGTGTTAGTTAATTAAATCTAAAGCCAAGATATTTGTTTGAAAATCCTCTATTAATTCATTTAGTAGGATGCTAAAAAACATTCAGAGCAATTTCTAGATATATTTTGCTACTATTTTACTATTACAAAGTTTTACTCTTAATTATTTAGTAATTTGACTGAAAACACAAAACATCATCTACTAATTAAGATGCACAATTATGGGACTTTCAAATATAAATATAATTGGGATTATAGATCCTTTACACCAATTACACATTTTCATTTCAATTCTATACTCTATTTATGACGTGATGTTCATTTTTAGATTAAATTCAAGAAAATTTAATTAAATTAATGACATTTTACATAAAGACAAATATAATTTAGAATTATTTTCCTCAGTTACAGTAAACATTCTACACATTATTGCACTTACTATATAATTATGTGGTAAATAAAAATGAATCTTGGTTTTATAAATTTAAAAGATATATTGAAATCAGTTTGACTTAGACCACCAAGCATAAAGGTAGACATATATTCTATCTATCTATCTATCTAGCCTATCGCTTATGTTCCAAATATCTACTTGCTTCTCAGAATAACTTTTTCCAAGATTCCTATTATATAGGCAGCTTTCCTTGTGACATTTTTACCCTTCTCAAGCTCTCAATAATGTAATCATTTAGAATCATATGTTTTATTATGTAATTTATACTTTTATAATTTTCATAAAAATGAAACAAAAACTTATTTTAAGGTAGAATGAAAACATTTAAGTTAACCAGATGAATAAATTTTGAAAAGCATAGTTCCCAGCTTAACTAAATTGATAAGAAAACAATCCAAAATAATGATACTTACTCACAGAAATATGTGCAGAAGTCTCTCCTCATAGAACATTGTTAATAAGCTATATATAAGCTGCCTACGTTGATTATTTTTAGTTAGCATAGAATTTGTGAGGCCTGGTTGTATGGAGGATAAATGTAATCACAGCTATGTATTTCTTTTTGGCATTGTTTTTTACTAGTGTAAAAATAGGAGGATCCTCAAATCTGAAAAAAGCACATTTTAAATAGTGTTTCTGAATATATTGTTCAAACCTCATAACTTGATGTAGCAAAAACAAACACCTTGGCAGCTATTTCTCATGATGTTGTGTTCCAATGACTTTAAGTTCCAGAAGGAATATGTTATCTACGCATGGTTCTTTCCTTTATCCTTTGAATAATTCATAAAATTTAGTGTAAGATCTAGTTTTGACAAATCAACCCTTTACCTTAGCACAGCTCGTTGAAAAATCACCAGCAAGATTGTTCTTAAGATTCATGGAACACTTTTGGCCAAAAAGGAGACTTAGTGGAAAGATATCAGGATTGAGGATATCAGGATTATCCTGAGGATAAAAGGATTGCTTTCTGGGAATCCTTGGTATGCCTTAGCACAATTCTTAAATAACTTTGTGAAGCAATTTGCAAGATCCAAACACAGGCCAGGAAGATTAGACCAAGGGAAGAAACAGAATGAAAAGCATTTTAAAAATAAACAAAAGTAAGCACAAATTGCTGTTTCCTTGCTGCTCTTAGCGTTCCTATTGAAAATACCACTTATGAAGAGAGAAAATATAATAATCTAAGATAAAGAAAAATATATTTATTTTTATTTCTGTTAATGGGGAACTGTTTATATATTCCTGGACACCTAAGTAGATATTGTAAGTGAAGACCATACCTGTGGCTAAGAACCATGGCAAGTGACCAAGCAATGCAGTTTTCTAGTTCGACCTAGGCCTCAATCCACCATGATTTCCATGAAGAATAGTAAGGCCCAAAGGCATAATGTGGAAGGTATGAAGATTATTGTAGGCTATGGTAATGGTTATTACATAAATTAGAAAATGGGAAAGGTCATCTATTGTTTTGCCTCCATTACATGAAGACATCATGTCAATGTATGTTGAATGAGAATAAAAGGCTTTATCTTACCATTATTACATGACGTGTCCAACAAATCTTCCTTTAATCCAGTCTTAATTATGATGCTAAAGGGAAACTTTTGGGATCACTTGAGCCCTTTCCTTATAGTAAATTATGCAATACAGTAATACATCACTGAGAAATGTGTTTTAGGCAATTTCATAATTGTACAAGAGTCATAGAGTGTACTTGCACAAACCTCGATGTTATACCCTACTACAGACCTAGGCCATATGGTATGGCCTATTGTTCTTAAGCTACAAATTTGTACAGAATGTTAACTGTAGTGAATAATGCAGGCAATTGTAACACAATAGAAAGTATTTGTGTATCTAAACATAGAATAGAGTAAAAATACAGTATTATAATCTTATGGCACCACCATTTGTACACATTTCACTATTGACTGAAACGTCATTATGTGGTAGATGACTATCTGTTATTTTAGGATGCTGAAAGAGATCATTGGCTGGAGTGCAATTCTGATTCCTGCTCACTCCATTTTAGGAACCTCATCTGCCTAGCGTAGGAGGGAGATAGCTCACCATGACTAACACAGGATTGTATGGATTAAATGGGGTGTTTCCTCAAGCATTTCAGCTATAACTATATAAGAAAGTTTGTACAAGAGGCAAAGGATGACCAGCATGATATAATGGACTTAGAAATATAGAAGTTCCATTTCAGTATCAAAGTACAGCTAAGCATAATTGTACTTTCATGAAAATTAAATGGTATTTTAATTTGATTATCCAAAATGTTAACTGAACATGAAATGCCAAAACCAAAACCTAGTTAAATTCTTTAGTTTCATTTTAAATCACTAAATATATTATGCATAATATTACATTTTCTAATATTTTTCTACAAATATTTGATAGGAATGTTATATGAGTTTGAAATAATATAGAATGTGTTTCCTGAATTTTACTTGTGAGTTGAAAATTCACTAAAAATTAGCTACAGCCAAGATGGGGTTTCATGTTTAACCTTGTCTTCCCACATTTGATCCACGTGTGAACCTTTGTGTGTCTTTTATGATGTTTCTTCTCTCAATATAATATTTTTATTTTCTGAGCTCCAGTGAGTATGTCATACTTCCTCCCTGCCAAAAACTATTAGCTTTTCTTCCCTTTCTATAGAAGATTATCTTGCCCTTGATAAAATCAAGGCCATAAAATTAAAGAAGGCTGCATCTTTAAATTTGCATGGAACAGAGTCATCCACCAACTAGGAACACTCAAATTAAACTATTATTCATTAGAAACACTTTAGTTTGTCATGTAAATGAAAACAAATTTTGACATGGCAACTGTACAAATTATGCTGATATGTTTTTCTTCCACTGTACATTTGCAAATAGAATTCCTGGAATATGATCTCCTTGAGATTTGGACCAGGATCTGATTATGATTTTCATTTTATGTTCAGTGTCTAGCAAGGCCGTATTCTCTTTTGTTGTTTAGAACAAACATTGTGTCAAATATAAATTCATTGTACATAAACAAACATATTTGACTCCCATTCTATTCAAATATTTATCTCTTTTTTTCAAAATGTATATTCAATGGATTTTTAAATATATAAGTATAAATTTTCATTGCAAATAAACTTTCACAGTTTGTTTTCTTGAAATGGTCTTAACTCACCTGTGGATTAAGAAGCAATAGAGAAGAATTGGGTGTGAGGGAAAGTTAGGCTATTCTAATCTAAAGAAAACATAAAGATTGGTGCGTTGTCAACTATGTTGTCGTAATCACCTGGTTGCTAGTTGGTAGTCACTCCCCTTATTTCTCCCTGTGATCAAATTTTAGTAAGCAATACAAGTCATATGTGAAAAGTCTGAGTGTATGCACTTTGTCATTTCACAATAGTCTGTAATGGTCTTGGCAGTACTTAATATTTTTTGTCTGAGTACATCAGGGATGCCTACAGATATTGACCTCCAATATACAGTGATACCTTGATTCCACATTCTTCTTACTTTCACTCCACTGCTGGAAGATGTTGTCATCGACCTTCATATCTTCTATTTCATAATAATTTCATTTTTATTATTATTATAGGGATGATTACAAAGTGAGACATTATGTATCTTTGTCTATCAGTCTATCCTCTGAGCCTACCTACATACTACAGAAAAAAAATAGGTTTTCTGTTACCTCCTTTAGCTTTAATTAACTTGTTTATGGATGCTACCAAGTCTGAGGAAAAGTGTTAGAGAGGCTTACTGCTTTTCAGATCACCTTTTTAATATTTTTATTGAATAACATACACACAGAGAAAACTGCTCACAGCTCACTGATTTTTAACCATCTGAGAATACCTGTGTAAAGACTGTTCACATTCAGAAACATCATCACCACCACCATCACCAGCATGCTTTTTAAGTCATTATCTGACCCCAAATTTTGATAGATTCATCTAAAGGATTGTAAAATGTTTCTTCATTTTCTATTCTCTGGTAGATATAGTAACAGACTCGTAATCGGTTCTTATTTAAATATTTGAAAATGTTCACAAGTAAAGTCATCTAGGCCTCACAGTTTATTTTTAAATAACAGACTATATTTCTTTAATAGGTATCAGAATAGCCCAATTTTATATCCCTTCTATTTTTTGATAAATTGTATTTTTGAAGAATTTGTCCGTCATATCTAAAATGAAAAGTGTATGGTAGTAAAGTTGCGCAAATATTTTTCCTTTATATCACTAGAAAGCAGAGTCTATGGTGGCATTTTTTTCCTGGAAACAACAGTTTGTGATTTGATAATTATTTTTTGTTTTTGGTCAACTGTGCAAGGAATTTTGCTCATATTTCTCTATGTTCTTGTGCATATTAATTATAATGTCTTTGACCACTAACTCCAATATATATATAATCTAAAGATCTGATTCTAATTTACGGTTTAATTTTTCCTGCTTATCAGTAGAATAGTTCTGCTTATTTGCATGTCCCCTAGTTATCGGCTGAATATCTTTGCTTGATTGCATGATTTATGCCAGAGTTTTTTAAAAGAACCATAGATGTTCTAGACACTGTTATCATTCATTATAGAGGGACCACAACTTGCTGTGTTAGGCAGATAAGGTAAAGTGGGAGTGTGGGTTCACTTGAGAACACTTAGAAAAGCGTTTCCTGAGATAATTTCTGAGTTACATTTTTGTTAAAGTTCATACTTAATTTCTTTCATTCTGTTTCTGAATATGATACTCTGGAGATTTCAAGTGTGAGACTATTGGTCTTTGGATCCTCAGCTCTGAAATACTGATGAAAATTTCTTCCACCCATTAAGAGGTTAACTTGTGCGGGCACACAAATGAGTTTATGTGGGTGAGTGTGTGTAGCAGTGTTTGGAGTGGTTTTTATTGTATTAAATTCGATGAATTTTAACACACATATAGATTCACATGCCCATGATCTCAATCATGCAATAGAAGAACTTTATCACTCCAAAACTCTTTTTCTTATCTTTTTATAGTCACAAACTCCTCTTGCTCCTTATGATCAATGATCTGTTCTAAATCACTATAGCATTTATTTTTCAGAATGTCATATACATGTGATTATAGCTTTTAACCAACTGATACTGGCTTATTTCATTCAGCATGATGCTTTGAGATTCACTCAAGTTGTATATATCAGTTTGTTACCTTTAATTATATAACAGCATTCAATTATATGTATACACTAAGATGTGTTTTTATATTCACCAGCTGAAGGATATTTGAGTTCTGTCCAGTATTGGTGATTATGAATACAACTATTAGGAATCATCACATGGAGATTCTTGTGTGAACTTATGTTTTTATTCTCTACTATAAACAAGTACAAGTGGGACTTCTGATACATATCTAACTTTATTACAACAGCTGCCTAAATTTTCCAGGATGGATTTAATATGTTGCATTATCTCCAGGAACATGTGTGAGTTCCAGTGGCTCCATATTCTTAATAGAATTTAATATTGTCAGTGTTAGCCACTGTAATAAGTATATAGTGCTATTTGATTATGGTTTTAATTTACATGTCTATAATGGTTATAATGTTGAATATTCTTTCATGTGTTTTTTTATTATCTATATATTTTTTTTGGTAAAGTTTATATTTGAATATTTTGACTACTTTTTATTGGATTGTTTTCTTAAATTTGAGAGATGTGCTTTTTACTTTTATTATTATTTTAAATTGACATATAATTGTATATATTTGTGGGATTATTTCAATGCATATATAGAAGATGAATGATAAAACTAGAGTAACTGGCATGTTCATCACCTCAAATATTTTTCATTTATTTGTGCTGGCAAAGTTTGGAATCCATTCTCTTAGCTATTTGAAAATACACAATAAATTATTGTTAATTATAGTCACCCATAGTACTATTGAACACAAGATCATATTTCTCCCATCTAGCTATACTTTTATATCCTTTAGCAAACCTCTGGCTATCCCCTCACCCTCCCTTTCCCCACATCTAGTAACCACTACTCTAATCTCCATTAGTATGAGATCAACTTTTTTAGCTTCCACATATGAATGAGAGCATGTGGTATTTATCTTCCTTTGCCTGGTTTATTTTACATAATATAATGTTCTTCAAGTTCATCCATGTTGATGTGAATGACAGAATTTTGTTCTTTAAATGGTTAAATGGTATCCCATTGCAGTTATTTACCACATTTTCTTTATCCATTCAGCTGTTGACATACACATAGGTTGATTTCATATCTTGGCTTTTGTGGATAGTGCTGCAATAAACATGGGAGTGCAGATATCTCTTCAACATACTGATTTCCTTTCCTTTGGAAGTCCCAGTAGTGGGATTGCTGAATCATATATTAATATTAGTTTAGTTTTTTGGAAACTCCATACTGTTTCCCAAAATGGGCTGTACTAATTTACATTCCCACCAAAAACATATGAGTTATCCTTTCTATACATTTTTGCCAGTATGTAGACTGCTGGTGTGTGTGTGTGTGTGTGTGTGTGTGTGTGTGTGTGTGTGTGTGTGGTGTGTGTTTCTTTGTAGTCTTTTTGATAATAGCCATTGTAACTGGGATAAAATGATATCTCATTGTCATTATGATTTGCATTTCCATGATGATTAGTGATGTTGAGCATTTCTATATATACCTGTTGGTCATTTGTATATTTTCTTTTGAGAGATATCTATTTAGCTCATTTGCCCATATTTTAATCATATTATTAGTTATTTTGCTGTTGAGTCATTTGTGCTCCTTATGTACTCTGAATGTTAATCTCTTGTTAAATGAAAGTTTTCAAATATTTTCTCCCCTTCTGCAGGTTGTCTCTTCAATTTGTTGTTTCTTTTGCTATGCACAGACTTTTTAGCTTGATATAATCCTGTCTATTTTTGCTTTGTTTCCTGTATTTATAAGGTCTTCTCCATAAAATATTTGCACAGACCAATGTCCTGAAACATTTCCCCTGTGTTTTTGTCTAGTAGTGTCATAGTTCAGGTCTTACATTTAAGTATGTAATCCATTTTGAATTGACTTATATATGGTAGGAGATAGGGAAAATCCTATATAAAATCATTTTATATATCAATTTCATTTTTCTACATGTGGATATCCGGTGTTACCAGCACCATTTATTGAAGAGACTGCCTTTCTCCAATGTAGGTTCTTGGCATGGTTGTCAAATTACTTGGCTATAAATACATGGATTTATTTCTAGATTATCTATTCTGTTTACTGACCTATGTATCTGTTTATATGCCAGTAAAATGCTGTTCTGGTTACCTAGCTTTGTAGTATGTTTTGAAGTCAAGTAGTGTGATGTCTCCAACTTTGTTCTTTTTTTCTCAGTATTTCTTTGACTATTCAGCATCTTTTGTCGTTGCATTCAAATTTCAGGATTGATTTTACTATTTCTGTGAAGAATTGCATTGGTATTTTGATAGAGTTTGCATAGAATCTCTTTGGTAATTTGGTTATTTTCACATTATAAATTGTTCCAATCCATGGACATAACACATATTTTTTTTTGTGTCCTCTCCAACTCATCCTCTTTCATCAGTGTTTTGTGAGCTTGTTTTCTTTGCTAGCAATCTTTCACCTCAATTAAATTTATTCCTAAGTTGTACGTGCATGTATGTGTGTGTATGTGTGTGTAAAAGCTGTAAATAGGATTGTTTTCTTGATTTCTTTTCCCACTAGTTCATTGTTGGTGTAAGAAATGCTACTGATTTTTGTATGCTTACTTTGTATCCTGGAACTTTACTGAATTTGTTTTTCAGCCCTAACAGTTTTTTGGTGGAATTTTTACGTTTTTCTACATATGAGATCATGTCCTCCACAAATAAGAATAATTTGACTACCTCTTTTTAATTTGAATGCTGTTTATTTCTTTTTCTTACTTAATTGCTCTGGCTAGGATTTCCAGTACTATATTGAATAAATGTGGTAAAAGCAGTCATTGTTGTCTTCTTCTAGATTTTACAGAAAAAGATTTCAACTTTTCCCCATTCAGCATGATGTTGGCAGTGAGTTTGTCCTATACGACCTTTATTGCACTGTGGTACGTTTCTTCTAAACCTAATTTGTTGAGAGTTTTTATCATGAAGTGATGTTGAATTTTATCAACTACTTTTTCTGCATCCGTTGAGATGATTATATGGTTTTTGCCATTTATTCTGTTGGTGTGATATACTATGTTTATTGATTTGGTATGTTAAACCAATTTTCCATTACTGGGATAATTTCCACTTGATCACAATGAATGATCTTTTTAAATATGCTGCTGGATTCAGTTTGCTAGTATTTTGTTGAAGACTTCTGAATCTATATTAATCAGGGATATTGACCTATAGTTTTCTTTTTTTGTTATGTCCTTGTCTGGTTTGGGAATCAGAGTAAAGCTGGCCTCATATAATGAGTCTGGAGGAATTCCCTCCTTTTCCATATTTGGAAGAGCTTGAGAATTTTTTTATGTTTAGTATAGTTCTGCAATGAAAGCATTTAATCTTGGGCTTTTCTTTGATGGTAGAATTTTTTTTAAATATTCAATATCATAACTTGTAATTGGTCTGTTCTGTTTTTTTTTATTTCTTTTTGGTTCAACCTGAATAGGTTATGTTTTCCAGGAATTTACCAGTTTTTTCTCGGTTTCTGAATTTATTGGTGTGTAGTTATCTACAATGGACTCTAATTATGCTTTGTATTTCAGTGGTATCAGTTGTGACATCTCCTTTACCATTTCTGATTTTATTTATTTGGGTCTTCTCTCTCTTTTTTATTAGTTTAGGTAATGGATAGTTGATTTTATCTTTCAAAAAACCAACTTTTTGTTTTTTAAATAATTTCTATTCATCTAGTCTCAATTTTATTTATTTCTGCTCTGATTTATGTTATTTCTTTCCTTTTTGTGATTTTGAGTTTAGTTTGTTCTTGCTTTTCTAATTCCTTGAGAACATTATTAGGTTGTTTATTTAAAATATTTCTACTTTCTTGATATAGGTGTTTATTGCTATAAACTTTCCTCTTACCACTCCTTTTGCTGTTGCCCATATTTTGGTATGTTATGTTCTTATTTTCCTTTGTTTCAAAATTATTTTAGTATTTCATTCTTTTTTTGTAATGGCCCATTGCTTATTCAGGAGCACATTGTTTAATTTTCATGTATTTGTACAATTTTGAGAGTTCTTCATGTTTATTCTATGTGGTCAGAAAGGACACTTGATATAATTTCAGTTCTCTTAAATTTGTTGACCCTTATTTTGTGGCCCAAAATGAGGCTTATTCTGGAAACTGTTTCACGCACAGGTTAAAATAATTTTCATTCTGCAGCTGAAGGATGCAATGTCCTATAAATGTGAATTAGGTCTATTTGGTCTAAAGTGCAGTTTAAATCCAATATTGCTTTGTTGATTTTCTGTCTAGGTGATCTATGCAATGCTGAGAATGGGGTGTTGAAGTCCCCAATTATTATTTGATTAGCATCTATCTCTCTGTTCAAATCTAAGATTTGTTTTATGTGTCTGTTTCCTCTGGTCTAGCATATATATTTATAATTAGTATATCTTTTTTCTGAATTGATTCCTTTATAATTATATAATTACCTTCATTATCTCTTTATAGTTTTTGACTTGAAGTCTATTTTATCTGATATAAGCACAGGCAGTTCTGCGCTCTTGTGGTTTCCATCTACATGAAATATCTTTTTACTTTCTTTTACTTGTAACCTATGTGTGTCTTTATAGGTGAAAAGAGTTTCTTGTAGGCACCATGTAGTTGGGTCACTTTTTATATCTATTCATCCAGTCTATATCATTATTAAGTGAAGAATGTAATCCATTTACATTTAAGGTTATCATTGATAGACAAGGACCCAACTCCTGTCATTTGTTTGATTTTTTTTTCTTGTTGTTTTGTTTATCCTTTGTTCCTTATTTTCTCTCTTTTTTGTATCATTGTAGTTTGGTGGTTTTCTGTAGTGCTAAAGTTTGATTCTTTTCTCTTCCTCTTTTATGTATCTGCTCTATCTACTTTTATACCTCAGAATAGTGGCGTACAGCTGTCATTTGGGTTCTTATCAGGAGGAGGAAACAGCACAGTGATGACTCTACTTTTTAGGCAATGGATGCCTCTGCAGCTCAGACTCCAGTCCAGCTCCAGAGAAGAGAGGTACTAGAGTCTTTTTGCCTGTAGAACAGGGCGTCTCATGTCAACCACTATATTTCCTTGGGAGAAGTTACTACATTAGCTCAGTTCTAAAACATGAAGCTCCTCAGTTTGACCAAGCCACCAATTACCAAGGGGCAATGTTTCCCTTCACCTCAGGCCTCGGGATCATGACTGTTCTGGGTGGCCCAGGCACCATTTCCATGGAATGTAGGCCAAAGCTTCAGCTTAAGTCCTAGGATATGTTACCTCTTTGAGCAGCCAAAGCTACTCAAAGGTTTTCCTGGGTTTTAGGGCACTACTTCAGCTTAGGCTGAGGAGACATGACTTCCCTAAGTGACTAAGGTACTGTATTTCAAAAAGTCAGGGCATTACTTCAGCTGTAGGCCAAGGGTCTAGGCAAAGAGGATAGCCGGAGTGGCTCCATTTCCTCTTGGTCACACAGAGAAAGGTGTAACAGGTATTCACAACTAGGCTTGGGGATGTCACACAACTGGGCTGGTGTGGTTTGGCAACAACTTAGCCTCAGGGATAGAGGGCCATTGCTACTCATCCCTAGAGCAAGACAGTCTCCAGCCATAATTTCTATTCCAAGATGGCATGGCACAGTCGTTCTGTGGGCTACAGGTGTTGGGGCTCAGTGTTGGCATTTTCTCTTAGGGGAACACAGCTTTGTAGCCTTTAGGCAGCTCCCTCATCTGGGCTTAGTGACTGTGAAGACTGCGAGGAACCTGAATGTGGGGTCTGTTGGTGTCCAAGGAGTTGACAAGGGCCTTATTGCTTAACTCTTTGTCATAGGAAAAAGTTCCTCCTTGCTCCCAGTTGATCCCAGTTGTAAAACGGGTCGGTGGACAGAGCTCTCTTCCATTCTCTATGCGGTCATCCAGAGTTTCTGTACTTACTAGGGTCTCTGATACATTTCTGTCAAGCTCCAGAACTCTCCTTCAGTTATTTTCATTAAAATGTAGTTTCTTCATTGTTCTGGCTTTCTTTGTGAGGGTGACAAGTGCTAGAGGCTTCCAGTCAGCCATCTTGCTGACATCACTCTGATTTTCTAATATGGAGTTTAAGATTTCATCGTATATATTATATATATGTTCTTTTTCAGATATGAGGTTTCCAAGTATTCTCGCAATTATCGGAAGCTTGCCTTTTCTTTCTTTTAAAGCAGTCTTTTGTATGTCAAGAGACTCATATAAATCATGTTTTCTTTATAAATCATAGACATAATCTCATTTCGAGAAATTTGTGTAAACTTAAGTCACTTTTTTGTTTTCTTTTATAAATTCTTAAAATTTTACACTTTACATTTTAATCTGAAATTCACTTTGTGTTAATTTTTGTATGCATGCAATGTGATCTTATGTTGAATTTGTTTTTCTAAATGTGAAACTCCAATTTTTCCCAAACCATTTGTTGAAATACTCCTCTTTCCCAATTGAATTGCTATAACTCCATGTTATATATATATATACATATATATGTATATATAATGACTATATTTATATATGTTATATATATTTATATATGTTATATATATAACATGACTATACTTATAAAATTATAAATATATATATATATAAACATGACTACATATATACAATGACTATATTTGTGTCAGTCTGTTTCTGGATTTTATATTCTATTCCATTGTTCAATGAACCGATTCCTGAACAAATATACTGTCCTTATTCAGAAACAAAGAGAAATGCCTCCCTAACTCAAGCAATTCTTCCACCCCAGCCTTCTAAAACGAAGTATCTGGGACTACATGTGTGCACCACCACACCCAGCTAATTTTTGCTTTTTTTTTGGTAGAGATGAGGTTTCACCATGTTGCCCATGCCAGTATCAAATTCCTGGGCTCAAGCAATCTACCCATCTCAGCTTCCCAAAGTGGTAAGAGTACAGGCATGAGCCACTACACCTAGCTCCAACTTCATATACACATATATATATATGTATGTATGTATCTTTTTGTCACTCATTGTACAAGTTTGAACTTAAAGTACAATGTTCATTAAGAGTTGTGAAACTGAATATCCTTGTCTTGTTTCCAATCTAAGACAAAAAGTGTTCCATCATTTATCATTAAATATGATGCTAGCTTTAGGTTTTATGTAAGCTAATTTTATCAGGAATTTTCTTTTATCATAAATGGGCACTTCATTTAGTCAAATTTTCACCTACTGATTTGATCATTGTTTGACCATTGTTCTTTCTACTTTAAACATGTAATGTTGTGGGTTACACTGATTGTTTTTCAACTATTGAGCCAGCCTTGCAATTGTGTATATTATATGTGTATGTTTGTGATATACTATCTTTTCATATATTACAGAATTCAATTTGTAATATTCTCTTGAAGTTTTTGTATTTTAAGTTCCTAATTATATTGTTCAGTTGTTTTATTTTTTAAAAAATCAGAGTGATTCTGACCTAATAAAACTAGTTGCAAAAATTAACTTATCTTTCTTGAAGGATAAATCATTATTGGTCTAATTAAAATACAGCATTTCTGTTTTCCTCCATCACCTACCTATTTTTTCTAATTTCCCTTCCAACTAAGATTGATTTATTCTGGTCAATGGTGCATGTTGGAAAACCTGAGACAATTTCAAGAGGAAAGAAAAGAATAGTGGCTTCAATTCTTTCTTTCTGCTTGACATGTAGGAGTAAGGGAATGAAGTATGTAACAAACTCAGCATTCTTCTGACATTGAGAATGTAAACAGGAATGAAAAGCCAGTAGCCTGGAGATTAAATGGACTTTCAGAACTCAGTGGCAGAAGAGTAAGAGGGCTGTGAGGGATAAAAGAGTACATATTGGGTACAATGTACAACGCTTAGGTGATGGGTGCACCACAATCTCAGAAATCACCACTAAAACATGTATCTGTGTAACCAAAAACTACTTGTACCTCAAACACTATTGAAATTAAAAGTAGTATAGAAAGAGATCTGATATCTTGTTAGAGCCCATTAGCCAAAATTCAGCAACAGTATACCTGTAGTCAACAACAGTATAGTTTATTAGCTTGCTGTGATATGAGAAAGGTGCATCGTGAAAAACTTTGTGGGGAGGGTACCTTTGGAGGGAGTTTTTATGTAATTTGGGCTTGCTCCAGGTGATTTTGGAGTGGTATAATATAAATGAAAATTTGTTTTTGGCTGGATGTTTTAAGAAAAATGGGCAATTTGTGTAATTTTTTTAAATTAAGAAGTAGAAAAATGAAAGTAAGGTAAAAAAGTAATGGTCACTCATGTTATTCAGAATAGGGAGATGTTTAATTATTTTTTATTGCAGAATGTTGAGTATCTGTCTCTGCCAATATTCCCTAAAGATTATTTGTGTTTATTTGTGCTTAATTGATATTCACAGCCAGCTGCAATCTACCAGCTGTTAGTGGTCAGTTGTCAGGGTCAATTTTGTTTGTTTGGTTGTTTGGCTGGTTGGCTGTTTTTCCTTTTTCACTTTGTTGGAATTACAGAAGAGCTGATCTAGTCCAGGACCATCTACTTCACTTTTTTTTTTGTTGCTGTTATTGTTAATTAAAAATAAATGAACCTGGGTTTCAAACCATTATTTCAGTATTCTATAAGTTGCAGCCCAGACACTCCTAACTCACACGTCAGGCTATAGGAGATGTTTTAAAATGGAAGAAAATCTGAGGTATATTCAAAGCCATGAAAATTAGTGATCTAATATACAATGATCATAGAAATTTACTATTGAATGATACCTTAGCTCCTATATTGATATAACATCCCTTTTAAAAAGGATCTTGTAATTTCCCATTTTTTAATTGTACACTGTGAATAGTAACTTCCTTACGAAGAGTACAGTATGGAAGGTAAGACAAAAAAGAGTAACTTTACAAGGAGAAACCTAAAAACACTACTTGGGCAAGGTGATTAAGTTCAACATCACCAATCTTAAATCATATTGATAGTATGTACTCCTAAAAATATGTGATGAAAATAGCATTGATCTCTGTAATCTTCTCATAAAATGATAAAACCATTTTAATCGTGGTTAAAACATCAAAAAATTCCAAAATAAAGACATCTTGCAATGTATCTCATCAGCATTCCTCAAAACTGTAGAAGTTACCAAAAGCAAGGAGAAGCTGAGGAGCCTAAAATGAGCCTAAGGAAACACGAGGGCTTAAGGTATCATAGTATCTGAATAAGAGTCTGGAATGGTAAAATTACTTTAGATAAAAAATACATCAATCAATAAACTAAGTACTCTGCTTAATAATAATGTATTAATATTGATTCATTAATTCTAACAAATGGACCACTCTAATGTAAGAACTTAATAATAGGGGAAACTATATGTGGTGCGGGGGGGACGGAGGTGTGGAGGGAATATATTTACTGTTATTGCATTATATGATCAATTTCTGATTATCTAAAACTTTTATGAAAATAGTCAATTGTACAAATATCTTACTGTAGTAATACATAGTTACATATAAATATCACCTATATATATAAAGCCCAGGTATATTTTAGGAGGTAAAAAAAACTGGCCTGGCGCGGTGGCTCACGTCTGTAATCCCAGCACTTTGAGAGGCTGAGGCGGGCGGATCACGAGGTCAGGAGATCGAGACCATCCTGGCTAAAATGGTGAAACCCCATCTCTACTAAAAATACAAAAAATTAGCCGGGCGTGGTGGCAGGTGCCTGTAGTCCCAGCTACTCAGGAGGCTGAGGCAGGAGAATGGCGTGAACCCGGGAGGCAGAGCTTGCAGTGAGCCGAGATTGCACCACTGCACTCCAGCCTGGGCAACAGAGCGAGACTCCGTCTCAAAAAAAATAATAATAATAAATAAAATTAAAAAATAATAATTTGGAGGAATGTAAATAGCCTAATCCCATTCATTTAGAAAATAAAGGAATTAGAGCTATTTTTTGTTTAATTTTGTTTTTTGAAAGGCTAGAAAAACAAAGCGCATATTCACCTGAAATGTGCTTCATCTATCATATGCACAATTTTATTTTCATTATTATTATCTGGAATATATTAACATTTAGAAAGTATTTATACCTATATATAAAATATTATTTTAGGCACACATTGTGGTTGAAATTTGGATTTTTTCATTATGTTTTTAATTTAATTTCTAACATGTTTAATTAACACATAATAATCACACATAATTATGGGGTACATTGTGATATCTCAACACATGTATACATAATATAATGATAAGGTCACAGTAATTATCGTATTCAGCCCTTAAACATTTATCATTTCTCGTGGTGGTAACGTTCAAAATCTATCTATCTTCAAATATACACATTGTTACTTGCTATAGTCACTCTCTTGTATAATAAAACATAAAAATTTATTCTTTCTTACTGCAACTTTATATCCACTGACCAACTTCTTCTGGTACCGCACTCTTCCTTCTTCCTTCCAGTCTCTGGTAACCAATAATCTACTCTCTACTTCTATGAAGTCAACTTTTTCATTTTTTAATTTTTTTTCTTCCAACTTTTATCAGGGGTGGTACATGTGAAGGTTTTTACATGCATAAATTGTATGTCACTGGTCTTGGGTGTACAAATGATTCTGTCACCCAGATAGTGAGCATAGGTAGTTTTCAATCCTCACCCTCCTCCCACTCTCCACCTCAAGTTAAGACCCAGTGTCTGTTGTTTCCCTCTCTGTGTCCAGGTGTACTTAATATTTAGATCCCACTTGTAAGCGAGAATAAATGGTATTTCATTTTCTCTTCCAGTGTTAATTTGCTTAAAATAATGCTCTCCAGCTACAATCATGTTGCTACAAAGGACATGATCTTATTTCATTCTTTCTTTTTACAGCTGCATAGCATAGTACTACATGGTGTATATGTACCATATTTTCTTTTTCTAGTCCATGATTGATGCACATCTAGGTTGATTCCATGGCTTAGCTATTGTGGAAAGTGCTGCTGTGTACATACACATGTGTGTGTCTCTAGGTTAGAACAATTTATATTCTTTTTGGTATATACCTAGTAATGGGATTGTTGGGTCAAATGGTAGTTCTGTTTAAAGTTCTTTGAGAGATCTCCACACTGCTTTCCATGTGGCTGAACAAATTTATATTCCCACCAGCATGTATAAGAGTTCCCTTTCTCCACAACCCTGTCAACATGTTATTTTTTGGCTTATTAATAGCAGCCATTCTGACGGTGTGAGATGGTATTTATTGTGGTACTGATTTGCATTTATCTAATGATTAATTATGTTGAGCATTTTTTCATATTCTTGTTGGCCACATGTATGCTTTCTTTTATTTTGGAGAGTGAGGGGACAGAGTCTTGCTCTGTTGCCCAGGCTGGAGTGCAGAGGTGTGATCTCGGCTCACTGCAGACTCCACTTGCTGGGATCAAGGGATTCTCCTGCCTCAGCCTCTGAAGTAGCTGGGACTACAGGCATGCACCACCACGCCCAGCTAATTTTTGTATTTTTAGTAGACACAGCATTTCCCCATGTTGGCCAGGCTGGTCTTGAAGTCCTGACCTCAAGTGAACTGTCCACCTTGGCTTCCCAAAGTGCTGGGATTATAGTTGTGAACCACCACATCCAGCCTCCAATGTATGTCTTTTATTGAGAAGTGCCTGTTCATATCCTTTGACCATTTTTAATGTAGTTGTTTGTTTTTTGCCTGTTGATTTATTCACTTACTTATAGATTTTTTATATTAGACCTTTGTTGGATGGACACTTTGCAAATATTTTGTCCCATTCTGTAAATTGTCTGTGTACTCTGTTGATAGTTTATTTTGCTGTGCAGAAGCTCATTAATTAGCTCCCACTTGTCAATTTTTATTTCTGTTGCAATTGCTTTTGGAGTCTTCATCATGACACCTTTGCCAAGGCCTATGTCCAGAATGGTATTTATTGGGCAAAACGTGAATTTTTAAAATATGCTGTACATGATTCTAAGATTTTGCAAAGACATAAGTGAAAATTTTGAACACTATTAGTATTCTTAGTGTACAAAATTCTTCTTAGGTTAATATTTTGGTTTAATGATAACTTATCTTTAAAATATATCATGCAATTTTTAAAATGGTTTTTTCAAGGTAAGGTCATCATACCTTGGATGTTGGATAGTCGTTTTAGGAGAAAAATATATGATTATAGTGCAAATTCTATGAAATTTAAATAATTCAGATGAACACATTTTCTCTAATTGATATTTTTTTCCTGAGATTCATATTCACTTATTTGAAGCTTAGGGCCAAGCATATCTAATCTTGTGTTTCTAGAGAGTAAATCTCTTACTGTTTACTTTAGGAATTGTTGGCCTTGCTAATCATTTTGGTCAATTGTTCATCATAACTGACATTTGAAATCAAGCCTATCACTGTGATCCTCACATAAGTGGCAATCTATGCCTAATAAATAAAGTCATTCCAGGGCCTTCATATGTTACGAACTGACCTCAGATCTCTTCCATTAGTTTTCTTCACTACTTTCTTACATGTTCATTATGACCAATATAGTACAGCTCAGTTTTGATAAACAAACCTTGCGCTATTCTGAGTATTTGCAATAGACTGAATATCTATGTCTCACCAAAATTCACATGTTGAAACCTAATCCCCAATATGATGGTATTTGAAAGTGAGGCCCTTGGAAAGTGAACAGGTCATGAGGGTTGAGCTCTTATGATTGGTATTAGTGGTCTTATATGAAGAAGCCAGAGAGCTCCTTCTGTTATGTGAGGAGATAGCAAAAAACAGCTGTAAACTGGAAAGCAACCCTCATGAGACACAGAATCTGCCAACGCCTTATTCTTGGACTTTACCTGCAGAACTGTGAAAAAATTATTTCTGTCATTTATAAATTACCCAGTTAATGATGTTTTGTTACAGCAGCCCACACTGATGAAGATAGCATTCTAGCTCTATTCTTTGGAAAATTACAGCTCACTGTTTTTGTGCTAAATGTTAAAATTTATTTTGACTTTGTTAATTTTGTGATGATTTTTATTGAATATTATGCTTATTAAAGCCAAGCACTATATTATATTTATGTTTTTTTACACATAACTGCCTGGACACTATATTTTTTGAACAATGGTGCACATGTACAATTTTTTGCTGAATTAATCAAATGATATTAATGTAGTTTTGAAATAAATTAACCAAAAATGTCCAGTTTAATACTATTTTTAGTTATATTCATTGATGATGCTAAGAATGGAACACAGATGAGGAGAGATTCATGGGTAGGCATAGTAAAAGGAAAATAAGACTTACTGGGTTGCTTTACTGTCAGTTAAGAAAACAGAAACAAAGACATATGCATAGAATGAGTATGGGCCCACTGTAAAAGTAAAATAGCTATTAGCTTGGTTATTGTATAGTTAGGAATTATGACTGTCACATTAATTTATTTGAAGACTTTGAAATTCAGGGGTTAATTATTACAAAAAACATTTATTGTCTCATGAAACTTATGGAAAATAAAAGTGTAACCAAGCATTAAGACATTATAGAAATTAGGATGCAAATATAATCAAGACATATTTCCAGCCAATTTTCTCTGCTCTACTTTTCATGTTAACATTTTACCTTTTGTCATGCTATAAAGCGTTTATAACATGTCATTCCATAAGGGGCAAACAGGCCTTTCAAAAGTCTTGGGTATATATTATTTTTGCTGTTGTTAATTTTAATAATATATTCTATTTAACCCATTATATTTTTCAATAAATAGTCAATGTAAATATCACTTATAATATATTTTAAGTTTGTTTTATTAAGTAACTTTTTATTTTTAAAGTAGTTTTAGATCTACAAAGAAATTGCAAGGACTATACACATATTCCTTTTACCAAGCTAATCCTAATATTAATATCTTACATTACATTTTATTTGTTATAATTTATGAATTAATATTGATACATTATTATTAAGTAAAATTCAAATTTTATACAGATCTTCTTGGCATTTACTTAATGTCTTTTTCATGTTCCAGGACTCCATCCAGGATACCACATTACATTTTGTTACTTTGTCTTCTTCCACTTCTCTGAGAGGACCACAGAGGTAAAGTACCAATTTCATCATTTCATATCAACAATTAATACTATCAACATAAAATGTCACTGTTGATGTGAATCTTGATTGCCTGGCTGAGGTCACGTTTGTCAGGCTTCTCTATGGTAAATTTACTGTTGCTTTGTCTTTCCATACTCTTTGGAAGGAAGTCATTATGGGCAGCTAACACTTAAGAGGTAAAGAGTTATGCTCCACCTCCTCCAGGGCAGAGAACCTATAGAAATTATTTGGAATTTTTCTACTTTGAGAGATTTCTTTCCCCACCTTTTATTTACAGTTGTGTGAATGTGTAGATATCTACTTTATAATTTGGATTGAAATCCAACGTTATGTTATTTTGTTTCTCAAGCTGCTCTAGATTTGACTCTTGGGTTCCCTTTCAGTTGGCTCCACTGTCCCTTTGACATACTCCTATCATTTAGGGGGTTTAATTTATGAGTACCTTACTTTATGACACTAAAAGATGCCTAAGTTCATCTTTTTTATTTCCTGCTGCAGCTAGAATTAGCCATTTATTCAAGTTTTCTTGGCTTCCTTTATTGGAGAATAAAATTCGAAATCAAGAAGCGAATGCTAGTTGTGCTACTGGCTTATTGTTCGTATCTGTCACAGCATTGTTGAATTCTGTTATTTCTTTTTGGTTCTTTCTGAGAGTTTCCATCTCTCTGCTTACATTGCCCATCTGTTCTTCTGTATGGCATCCTTTCTTCTACAATTCTTCTACACTTGAATTGTGCAGTGCCAAAATGACAACTTTTGCAAGTGGAGTAGTCAAAGACGTTTGACTAAAATTTTTGACTGCTGGATTTTAGTTGGAATCTTGCTTGTGGGAAACATTAAATCTGAAAAAGACTTTATCCTAGCTACAGACTGTTAAGTAAGTGGCAAGTGGTCAAAATAAGACTTTTTGCATATTTTAAATGACCCTCACTCTAAGTTCTACATGTTTCTCAGTGCCCTGGATAAGTTACTTCAGAGATAGTATCAACCCTCACTATACAAAGTATCAGGAGTATCCCTTTTTATATGCAAATGATAATATGCCCTCGTCAAATTTTAATGGTTGCCACTTTTTTTACTATTTTATATTCTAAGTAAAATATTTAAACATCAATGCAGCCACATAATAAATGTTGTATTGGAATCTAAAATGCATAGTGATATATACATTGTTTTTACATATTATAACATCCTCATGGTATTTTTTTTTCCTGGAACAGATTCAATTTACTGAAATTTCTCTTCACATTTAATTTGAAACATGCAACTTGAAATTTTAGTTTTACATATTTGTAGGTGAAATAACATAATAATATCCTAAATAAATTATTTGCAAGTTATTATGACCAAGAATCAGGATACTCAACCATATGAATTTTAGAGATTCTTAACTATTATCATCATTTAGTGAAATTTAACCATTATCTCTTAAGGCATTTTATGTACAGGATTATTAAATTTAGCAAAGTCAATGTGTTTTACATTCTCATTTAACTAAATGGTATACTCTATTTTAAAATGCTATATTTGACACTCTCAATAATGTATGTGTTCCTTCTTTCCAATAAATGGAACGTCATTGTTTTAGTTTGTTTGGGCTGCTATAACAACGTGCCTTAGACTGAGTAATTTATAAACAACAGGAATGTATTTCTCACAGTGGTGAAGGTTGGGAAGTCCAAGATCAAAGTACCAGCAGATTTGGTGTCTGGTAAGGGCTTGCTCTCTGCCTTCTTTCTGTGGCTTCACATGGTGAATAGGGGCAAGGAAGGTCCTTTGAGCCTTTTTGATAAAGGCAGTAATCCCATTCGTGAAGGTGGAGTTGTAACTGGACCCAGAATAGGCTGCTTGCTGCTCAAAAGCCAACCATGGGAGGCAAGTGTTGCTGGAAAAAAAAGTAAGTTTAATTGAAGAACCAGCAAACCAAGAAGATGGCAACTGGTGTTCTTACGTACCATCTTAAATTTTAAAATTCATCATAAGGTTTTTAAAGGGAAACTTGGCATGGAAGACATGTAGGATTGGTGCAGGATGCAGGATCTGTGTGTCTTTGTTCTGTTGGCTATCTTGGATAATTGCCCATCCAGAGGTCTGGTTGGCATTATCTTAACATTAGCCTGATCGTGGTGGAGTAATTGTTCGCCACTTCCACTAGGGAGGATTCCACAATCAGGGCTCTGTGTCTGGTTTGTATCAAGATCAGCCTCTGGAATTTCTTACGTAAGAACATAACTAGATAAGCATACTTTGCAGGGAGGGAGTGTCTAGAGAAGGGACGAATGATGGGATAAAAGGGAAACAAAAGAAGAAAAAGAAACTGGGTGATCAAAATAGATTTTTAATACTTACGTTCCCAGTTATAGAGTCCTTATAATTTAATCACGTCTTATAGGCCCCACCTCTTAATATTATCACATCAAATATTAGGTTCAAACATGAATTTAGGTGTTAACACCAGCATTAAGTCCATAGCAGCTGTATAGTATTTTGTGCAGCAACACCTCAAGTGATTAAAACCAACTTATTTGGACAAGTACTGTACTCAATTATATAATTTCTGTTGTATAATATATCTCCCCCGATTTAGAGTATTTTTAAATTGTTACATATTATAATATCCATTTATTTCTTGTCTTATTAGGCAAGATATTTCTGCAATGACGATAATATTGTCACTGGACTAAGTCATGAGGATCCAAATATTGATAAGAAATGCTCATTACCCTTGAAGTTTCCAAAGTATATTATGGACAAATACATAATAATAATTAGAATATGGAGACTACTATAAGAACCTGTACATAAAGTTCTCTAGTGTCACCAAGGAGGAGAAAATTAACTCTTCTTGAGCTGCTAAGGGAAGTCGTCATTGTAGTTTTTCCTTGAAAAGTGAACTGAGTTTCATTATTTAGGAATGAGCAAAGATGATTAGAGATGATATATGTAAAAAATGGAAGGGCAATGAAACTTAAGCGGTGAGGTGTTTTAAGAATAGTGAACAGTTCTGTGAAACTGTGCTAAAAAATAGGTGTTTGAAATACAGGAAGTGTGAAAAGAAATTGAGGCTGTAACATAGTTGCCCAAGCATTTATCAGGCATCTGTTAAGTAAGAATGCTGAATATTTTGGATATGTTTATTATTATTTATAATGTTTTTTTAAAATATTCTATAATTTTAGTGAAGTACATTACGCTTGAACATAAAATGAAAGATTGATTGTCACATTAAAAAAAAAAAGACAAGTCAAACATTTGCACATCTGGGAGCAAGTTACCTTAACTACCATGCAAATAAGCTTAGAAAGTTGAGACAACATCCAGTTACCAATGTGCCAATCAATAATGGAATGATGGTGAAATAGCTTACTCACACACACATATATATATGTATATATATACACATACGTAATCGTGGAGTATTTATTTCATAGGTGCAATAAGTATACAAACCAAAGATTTGAAAAGGCATTGCTTCAGAAGCAGTAATAGTCTATGTGGAATGGATTGAATATATGTTCAATATAGAGTTAGCAAGATAGTAAAAATTATCATGAGGCCCAAATTAAAGGAAAATCAGGATCCCTAATAGGGCTCATGCATGATAAAATATGTGTTTCTTCAGCTTTTTAAACAAGAGATTTGCATTTTGAAATATACAAAATAATGATTTGCCTCACTCAAAATTACACTGTAGATGCAGCTTTAATTGAATATAATTTACATTAAATCCTAATTTGTTATATTAATTGTCAGGATGATTGCATTGATTACTTCAGGCATTTATATTTGAGCTATAAAAATTATTAGTTAAAATAAAAATTAATTTGCTTAAGCAGTATATATTTTGAGATTTAATATGTATGCTTAAAATATTTTAGGAAGCTTCAGAAATGACACTTTAAAAACAGTGACAAGATGGAAAGATGATTTATTTGTTCCTTTTATGATATGCCACTTTTTCCACACTAATCAGCACTGAAAATATAATTTATATATTGGTTTTAAAAAATAGAATGAAGGGAATTGTGTTCAATAGGCTCATTTTTCTTTGTATTTGAAATAGCTGGTTATGGAAACCTGCGGGTTAGTGTATATGTATGTTTAAGAAATAAATAACAAAGAAGAGAGATTGAATTACTTAATCAAAGTTAGAGACTAGACAAACTTACAATTGTAAATAAACATTCGCCAATATTTACTATACAAATGCATCTTAGGCATCTTGTTTAGCAATCTGTGTGTGATTTTTTTTCTCTAGTTATTGAAACAGGCATTCACAAATTACATTTTCTGGATATCATAATTACATTTGTTCCCAATATGATTTTAGAATATATGAATTCATTACTTTCTGCCTCCACTTTTAAAAAATGCATCCATTTAATGAATATTGAACTCATTTCTACTCATAGGCCAGGCACTACTTCAGGCAGTGGAGATAACAACAAGGAACAAAATAGATAAAATACCTTGCTCACTAGGAATTTATATTTTCGTATAAAGAATTGATACACTTTTTAAAATTAATGATTGCTACTAATTATCATACTACATGTGTAACAGTAAAAACAATGTAGAATAAGAAAAATGTTCTATTATTCTAACATAATAACTAGGCCACAAAAAGATCTATTCCAGGACTATGTTTCTGGATTTATTTTGTTGAAAGTTAGTTAAAATACACATGATTTAACCTGCTTCTGTGCAATATCACAAGAAAGAAATCATGTTAAGGCAAACATGGTAACCTTGCTATGCTCCCGGATAAACACAGCTGCATGAGAGACTCCAAGCAACAAGACATGAAGAGAAGAAACCCCCAGATAATGTACAGAAATGTGAAAAGAAAAAATATATATATAATTTCATATATATATTAAACCATACATATTTCATATATATTTTAAGCCATTAAGTTTATGTTGAGTGTTTTAGTTAGAAATAGATAGCTGAAAACAGAAATGATACTGGAAGGGTGGTGTCAATATAACAAAATCCTAAGCATGTGGTGTTCACTATGGATTGGACAGCAGATAGAAGTGGGAAAGACTTTAGTGACATTGTGAATGAAGTTTGAAAAATGTAAAGATGTTGTGGGGGGAAAGATAATTAAACTATTAGCTACAGTAATATGAATAATACAAAGTGTACCTAATGAACTTGGAGTTCTGGCTAAGAAAATCTTCAGGCAGAATGCTGAATGAGATATGAACTAAAGTAGCTATTCTCTCTCAAGAATAACTTAAATAAAACATTTCAAAACCAAAATTTCCTAGGATAGAAAAGTATACATTTCCAAATCCACAGACTCTCTAGCTAGTAAAACATTCTCAATGAGCAAAGATATAAATAGAGAATGCTATCAGTAAATGTGGTCTTTGGGTGAAGATCAAATAAATCCATAAGATCATTTATTTCTACTTTAGAAATACTTTAGCAGTGTTACATAGGCTCTATCAGGTAGAAAAATGAGCTTCCAAGAAACTTAAGCAAATCATTCCAAAGTATCGTGATTAACAACCCAATGAGAGAAGAGCATGACTCAAAAGATCTGTGAGTTAGACAGCTTCTATCTAAGACAGTGGATTATAATTTGATATACGGAAAGTCTTCAACATCATAAAAAGAACTGTACAAGCTTGGACTCCAAAGGACATAGATAAAAATAATGAGGCCATTGGGCCCTTAAATTTCTATGGATAGGCTGAGAGAATTATTTAGACACAAATATAGACAATTATTTATGGAAATAAAAGACTTCTTAAGAGGCATAACCAAGGACCTAGACAGAGGGTAAACCAAGAGCTGAGTAAAACAATGTTTCATTGAACTATGTCCAGCAAGTCCATCTGGTGCCTTCTGAAGGAACACTTCCTGCCCCTGGAGCATGGAAAATTGGTGATGTGCACCAGATTCAATTTCAGAATTGTAATGGCCAGATTACTTCAACATGCCTCTCATTTCTCCTCTTTCTGAATGGTAATGGCTATTGCAGTATTGTGTTGGGTGTGGGGGCAGTTGTAAAAGGACAGATGACTTGTTTTTTAGTTCATAGGACTTTGATTTTTGGAGAAACTACTCCCAAATTGTTGTGTTGGAGAAACTGCAGACAAGGTGCCTTATCTGCATCATCTTAATTTAGAAGATGGGATCCTGGACTTCAAGTCTGTCAAAGGTTGCAATTGGATGAACATTTTACAATCCTAGAATGAAGGTGGGTGGGTATATTTTGTATGTAGAAAAAAATGAATCATTAAGGCCCTAAGGAATGACTCTAGTAGAAGTTAAATAATGTAACTTCTCCCCTAGAACTACTCTTTCCTGTATTTATACCTTGACCGTGAACATCAATAACTGTGATGGAAGTAGAGGCTTGAAAAACTCTTGCTTACTTCCCAACATTTATAAGAAAATAAAACACATTTGTACAGTCTTAAACTACAGTCATGGCAGTTATATTTTATATAGACATACCTAAAATATACATAAGATAAAAAAAAGACAAGTTGAAATAGAAAAATACACAACAGAAAAATCATAACCAAAGTAAAGATGAGAATCTATACTAACAGTGGGCAACATAAACAAAACATTGTATTTAGAAAAAGAATGTCTTCATATAATGATAAATTGCTTGTTTCTCCCTAAACATTCTAAATTTATATATGCTTAATAACATATTTTTAATATGCAAAGCAATGATTAAGTAAATTGTGAGAGTAAAAAATAGGTAAGTTGAAGAAGATTTAAATAACATATTTTAATATGTAGGACATTGAATTCTTCAAATCAAGGCATACTAAACACAATAAATTCAATGGTCAATAATATAATAGTCTTTATCACATTTGGAAACTTTTGAAAATTATGCTGCAGACAAGGTTATAAAACATTTACAGAAGTTCTAAAAAATCTTTTGGCAGTGCAATCATCTTAGAACTCAATAGTAAAAAAAAAAGCAAAGAAAAAATAATCTGTTAAAGAAATTAAACAAATTGTTAAAGTGAACTAAACATGGCCTGAAAAGGACTCCATACTTCTATATTTGGGTCCTTGTGGATGAACTGCAGTCTAGCTTAATCAGTAGACAAAATTGTAAAACCTAGCTTAGAAGTATGTGCCTGTAACAATAGCTAAGTCTTGGCCAATCCCAGCGGCCGTACTTCAACCATTTATACACTGCTGAGTGTTCAATAAGGCAAACTTCCACCTGTAACCAATTCAGCTATACTGTACCTCACTTTCAATTTCTATATGTCATTTACCTTTTTTGTTTATAAATCTGCTTCCACCACATGAGTGTGCTGGTGTTTCTGTGAATCTGCTGTGATTCTAGGGGCTGCCAAATTCACGAATCATTCATTGCTCAATTAAAATCCTTTAAATTTAATTAGGCTGAAGTTTTTCCTTTATCAAAATGAAAGAAAAACCTACAGAATTTTTAAGGAAAGAATTAATGTTAATAAAAGCAAAAATTAAATAGGCCTGAGTACATGGTAAGGAAACAATAAACAAAATTATTATATTTTTGCAGATGTTTAAGAGATAATTCAATTAAGAAAAGAATATTTTTCAAATATTTTGTATGTTTGTTTATATAGCCCTAACCTGGTCAGTTGCATAGGGAGAAGAGAAGAAATAAATGGTCAAGTAAATAAGAACTAAAAATGAAAGAGTATTAGAAAACTGGTCATGTAAAATTTATTCTTCATATAAATAACATTGCTAAACTCATAAACAGTAAGAATGGCCTTGGCATAAAGAAGAGAAAAACTTCATTCTGACATAGAAACAAAAGATTGAATGGGTAAAGACATGACAGATATTTTTAGTTGGAGTTAAAATAAGCTGAGTAGTTATATGGCATCAAATTTGAGCACAATAAAAATGCTAAGAAGGAAAAAGACATAATTGGCATATAAGCTCAAGAAGCATGAAAAAGATGTGAAAAGGTTTTCTGTGGAATATTAGTAAAAGTCAATATAGAATTATTGCTAATTAAAATTAAAAGCTAAAGAATAAAGGGATAGATTTGCTTAGTCGGTGGTAGATTTAGGATATAAGATTTTGTAATTATTTTAACACACTATTGGCATTGAATAATCTAAAATCAGGAATATAGCATACAAATGAGAAAAGAAAAATAGCCAAGAGCAGTCTGAGCTATATGAGGTACAGAAAATTCATCAGGCCCGGAAAGACGTGAATGTGGGACTTTAGTCAGCCATCTCCCAGCATGCATGCCTGACTAGCTGCCTCACCTACTATCTTCATGTTCCTGGAATTTATGATACAAAGTACAAGGTATAGCCAATCAATAGCTAATGTTGTTTTAATGGAAATTATTGGTAAACAATTTAGGAACTACCTCTTCTTTTCCTTTAAAAACTTACTTTAACTGTTAATAATTCAAGTGCATATTCAGGACAACTTGAATCTATGCTCCTAAATTGCAGTCCTCAAAGTTGGCCCAAACAAACTCTCTACTGATACTAAGTTTACCTCAGTGTTTTCCTTAACAAATAAACTCTTTGCTTTTGTCTTTCGATATTTTTACTGTGCTATATCTGGACATGAATGTCTGTGATTATGTTATTTTGAGTTAATCAAGCTTCTTAGATATGTAGATAAATATTTTTCAGTAAAATCAGAGTTATTTTACTTATTAATTTTTTCAAAAATGTGTTGTTTCCTTCTTTTTCTCTCTTTCTCTGTTCTGTACTCCCATTATGCATATTTTGGACTTTAAAGTATTCTACACTTCTTTGAGGCTCTGTTCATTTTTTTTTACTTTATTTTCTCTTTTTCAATTGCATTATCTCTATCAATCTATCTTCAAGTCTGCTGATTCTTTCTTGTTCCAGTTGAAATGTAGTGTTGAGCCTTTCTAGTGAATTTGTAATTTCAGTTATTGTACTTTTCATCTACATAATTTGCATTTTTAAAATCATATTGTCTGTCCCGGTATTGATATTCTTTACTTGAAGTGACATCTTCATGCCTTCTTTTACTTCCATAAGACTGGTTTTCTTTAGTTCTTTGAACAAACTTATAATGACTACTTTGAAGGCTTTGTTAAAACTGATATAAGGTCCTTTTCACAGGCAGTTTCAGTTGCCTGATGGAACTTTCTTACCTTTTTGGGTGTCTCATAATTTTTGGTTGAGCACTGGGCACTTAATACAATATATTATAGTAACTCTGGATACTGATCCCCTTTATCCTCTCTGAGGTTTGCTTTGTTTTATTGTTTGCTTGTTTACTTGTTTGCGACTTGGCCAAACTATTTGTAGATAAGGTATTTTAAAGAAGTTTGTCTTGCAGCGTTTTGGGAAGTTTTCCTTAGCGTGTGAATGAATACTTTATGTAGTTCCATGAAGAGTAGGGCTTGGGAGTGCTCACAGTCACTCTCTTATCAGTGGTTTTACTGGTTGTCTCCTTAATTGTCTTTTTCCCTAATGTCTGTTCAGTTGTCTGCCTAGTTAGTATTAGGCTTTTACTAATTACTAGTGGATTGCTGTATTGTTTGAAACAATGCTCTGGGGAATACGTTCCTCAGTAGTCTGATCCAATTACATCTAGGTCCTGGTAGTTTTTGGGTCATTTCTTTAGGGTTGTACTAAACCCAGGAAGACTCTACTTAGCTGTCTCTTTCACTGATTCTTGGTGGTGTACTAGCTGGGCTATGGTTAACCTTGTTGCTCTAAATTAAAGAAAGCAATTGTCTCCAAGAATACCCATATGCTTTAACCTCCTCTTCGTCTGATTCAAATAAAGTCATTGTCTTTGGGAAGAGTTTAAAAAATCTCTTTTATGGACTAATTCTCCCCTTGGATAAAAATCTCTAAGTCATTACTCTGGGTTCTGAGTGGAGTGGTACCTCTGGTCTTATAAGGTTTGCTATCTGAATGAGCTAGGGCAAGCAAGGACAATTGTTAATTCAGTACTCTCAGCCTATGTACCTAGAGAACAGTCTCTCTCCTCTGGGTAGAGATTTAGTGCAAGAAAGGAGCCCAGGACATTTGACAGCACTCACCAGAAATTTAGCCTATTGTGTTTCATGTGGACAGGGTGAGAAATGCTGTTGTTGTCTTGACCCTCCCAGTGAGATACAGTAACCCTTGATTGAGAACTAAGGAGAGAGGGGGAAAGCAAGCCCCATCTTTTTAGCCACACCCACCTGGAGTAAGGCTTCCATTTAGCTGAGCTGGCGGCAGGTGCAAAAGGTGGTGATATGGTTTGGCTCTGTGTCCCCACCCAAATCTCATGTCAAATTGTAGTCCCCAAATATCACGGGAGGGACCTGGTGGGAGATGAGTGGATCATAGGGGCAGTTTTCCCATGCTGTTCTCATGATAGTGAGTTATCATGATATCTGATGATTTAAATGTGTGTGGCAGTTTCACCTAACCCCGCCGGGCTCTCTCTCTCTCCTGACGCCATGTAAGACATGCCTTGCTTGACCTTTGCCTTCTGCCATGATTGTGAGTTTCCTGAGGCCTTCCCAGCCATATGGAACTGTGAGTCAATTAAACCTCTTTTCTTTATAAATTACTTAGTCTCAGGTAGTTATTTGTAGCAGTGTGGAAATGGACTAATACAGGAGGTAACAGGTCATAGCTCAAATATCACAGATTTTGGCTGTTCTTAGAGAGTTTTAATAGCTTTCCTTAAATAAATATTTCTTCATTTGTTTCAGGCCTTTAGGACAAACTCCAGAGACTTTACATGGTTTTTCAATAGTTGACACAGTTTTGCTTGTTTTCCTGGAGAGTGGAACTGTGGAACTTGTCAGGCTACTATCTGGAAGTGTGTACTAATACCTTGCTGTACTAGTCTATTCTCACATTGTTATAAAGAAATACCTGAGGCTGCATAATTTATAAACAAAAGATGTTTATTGACTCATGGTTCCAAAGGCTTCTGTTGTGGCAGAAGCATAGTAACTCTGCTTCCAGGGAGGCCTCAGAAAGCTTACAATCACGGCAGAAGGCAAAGGGAGAGTCAGGCAATTAACATGGCCAGAGTAGGAGGATGAGAGAGAGAGAGAGCACAGGGTGGGGTTGGTGGTGGGAAGTGCTACACACTTTTTAATAACCAGATCTCATGAGAACTCGATCACAAGAATAGCACTAGGGAGGTTGTGCTAAACAATTAATGAGAAATCACCCCCATGATCTAATCACTTTCCACCAGTCCCCACCTCTAGCATTGGGAATTACATATCAACATGAGATTTGGGCTGGGACACAGATCCAAACCGTATCATTTGCCATATTGGAAGTCGAACTAAATGCAGTCGTACCTCTGTATCCATGAGCTGAGAATCCGTGGATTCAACAAATCACAGATCAAAAATATTCAGAAAAAAAATTCTACAAAGTTCTAAACAGAAAAACAAATTTGCTGTTCACCAAATACTATGTTGAATTCATGCAAATGAAGTGTGTGCATAAACATTGTATTAATTATTATAAGTCATTTAGAGATGATTTAAAGTACACAGGAGGATGTACATAGGTTATATGCAAACATTATGCCATTTTATGTAAGGGACTTGAGTATCTGTGCATTTTGGTATCTGTGGGGAGTTCTGGAACTAACCTCCCCCAAATATGGAGGCATGACTATAAAGTCTTATTAAAATTGAAGAGCTGGAAGATATTTTGTTTTAACAACAACAAAACACCTCCAAAGTAAATATCTTGGAGTTATAAAATACTAAAATATTGAAAATGTTCTTTTCAGCATCTGCTCAAATATGCCTTTTATTCTATATCCTGTACCTTTATAATGAAAATTATATATAGCTAGCTAGATAGATAGATAAATCAATAGCACTTGCTTTTTAAGTCTACTGAAAAAAATCAATGTATAGGCTGTAACTTGAACAGGGTTGATGAATTGTCTCTGAATGTAATCAATATAATAAACTCTAACATGACTGAGCTTTCAGAAGTTTTTTTTGTAATGGATTTTAAAAAGTCTTTTTAAAATTTAGTATATTTAGTATTCCAACGAAATCTACAAGTATGTATTAGAGAAACACTAATAGTCTCAATAATTACACATAATTGTGTAACTTTTCATTTTTCATATTTGTTGATTTCTTATTAATAGCAATAGAACTGAGTTATTTTTCCATTACTACAGTGTGATAAAAACCTATCACACTATATGCTTCAGAAGCCCAGTCAATTTTGAATGGTTAATTTTTTTATATTGATAGATATTATTCTACAACTGAAGAATGAAAACTCTCAGTGGTTTTTACATACTGTTTGTTGAAAAACTAGCTTTTTTACTATACGCATTTTTGTTCATGCTCTAGAACTCACCCCAAAATAATTTCAATTATATTGAGTCTTTTGTTCTTAAATTATCTCCATGATCACCTTTGTTCATCCATCTGTTGTGACACATTGACTTGTCTGCCTACTGAAATGTAATTGAGTTTATTTGGCTGAATACCGGAATGCCTCTAACAATACATGTACAGTTCATTTATTTCTGTGCTATCACTGTTTTGTGATTGGTAGGTCCAGGACCACATATGCAAAAGTAGTTCAGAATTCTCCCAAGTTTTCTACCCAAAATACATAAGAGTAAATCAACTTGTTATTTGACTTACTTTTTTTTCCTATAAGTTTTGGTGATATTCACTGTCAAACTTAAATTTAAATAAATACATACACCCACACAAAGCATAATTTGGTTCTTCCCGTAAAAAAACCTTTTGTGTATATTGCAAATGAAAAAAAAATTAGCTGTAGGCTATAATGAAGCACTGTATCTCCATTTAAGAAAAAAGGGAACTATTTGAACAATTTTCAGTTTTGAACACAAATGATCATAATTATAATATTGCATATCCAAATAAACATTACATTAAGAAAAATAAGTAACTACAGGTAGGCTTATTATTGGTATTATCAATATTTTTGTAAGTAATAGGTGGACTAGAGCAATAAAAAATAATAATGTTTGAACTAGGAATATGTATTTTCATGCTTATAACTATAATTAAAATGCTGCTTAATAACTGGAAGCCTTTCCATAAGTTCAAGCCTCACATCCTTTGTTAATAAGATGAGGATAATGATGCCATCTTGTTTTATAGATTTTTGATGCAGTACATATTAAATAGTCTCTAAATATACTCCCAACAATTATAGAAATTTAGATATTAGCATAAAAAATTTAGATATTATAATTATCTTTGCTATGACTACAAAATAATTTAGTAGCCACGGCATTATGTAATATAATGTGCCTAGAAAGACTCGTGTCAAGTATATGCAGTGTGCATGGTTGATATTTAATGAACATTAACTGTGTTTTAAAACCAGCAGTATTGTGTTTTAAAAGCAGCAAGTGAATAAGTAAGCTTTCATATGCAAATGTATTAATTAAAAATGGTAATTTAGAGTCAGAAAGAAATCCTAGAAGATTCATCCATCTGACTGTTTAGAACAATGAGACTCAAGGATATAACAAGCACTTGCTTAATGTCATGTAGTCAGTGAAGGGCAGAAATGACATTAGGATCAAGATCTTCAAATTTTCTAGTCAAATTCTCTCTCAAATTGTGTTATTTTATACAAATATTGATTAGTTTATGACACAATTACTCTTGGTTGGTTACATTTCCATGTTCTATAATTACAAATTATTCTTCAACAAAATTTTAGTCCTACCTATAATGTATTCTCTCGGAAATTCTCAGTAACAAGTTCCATTGAAAAAAAAATGTATTTACCACACTTTATACAGCTTACGATTGCAGGCATTTGAAATTGAACCAATTATACAAATTTTAAACAGAAATTCTGTCTATGTGTAGCTTTAGCTAGGGAATCAGTTCCTTGATTGTTGGAAACAAGACAAAGATTGGGTTAATATTAGAGATGGAAATGTTCATTGGAAACAGTCAGTTCAGCCTAACCATGAGTGTTCTAAGTTTGCCACAAGTATTAATATACTCGTTCCACTTTGGATGTTGGTGTAAAGAAGACAGGAAAAGGATACTATGCAAAGGAAGGCAAAAAAGCTGTATTATTCTGAGTCAGAGAAAAATAACTTTTTTTTATTATTACACTTTAAGTTCTGGGATACATGTGCAGAGTGCGCAGGTTTGTTACATAGGTATACACGTGCCATGGGGGTTTGCTGCACCCATCAACCTGTCATCTACATTATGTGTTTCTCCTAATGCTATACCTCCTCTAGCCCCCTAACCCCCCGACAGGCCCTGGTGTATGATGTTCCCTTCCCTGTGTCCCTATGTTCTTATTGTTCAACTCCCACTTATGAGTGGTTTTCTGTTCCTGTGTTAGTTTGCTGAGAATTATGGTTTCCAGCTTCATCCTTGGCCCTGCAAAGTACATGAACTCATCCTTTTTTTTTTTTTTTTTTTTTTTTGAGACGGAGTCTCGCTCTGTCGCCCAGGCTGGAGTGCAGTGGCGGGATCTCGGCTCACTGCAAGCTCCGCCTCCCGGGTTCACGCCATTCTCCTGCCTCAGCCTCCCAAGTAGCTGGGACTACAGGCGCCCGCCACTACGCCCGGCTAATTTTTTGTATTTTTAGTAGAGACGGGGTTTCACCGTTTTAGCCGGGATGGTCTCGATCTCATGACCTCGTGATCCGCCCGCCTCGGCCTCCCAAAGTGCTGGGATTACAGGCGTGAGCCACCGCGCCCGGCCGAACTCATCCTTTTTTATGGCTGCATAGTATTCCATGATATATATGTGCCACATTTTCTTTATCCCGTCTATCACTGATGGGCATTTGGGTTGGTTCCAAGTCTTTGCTATTGTGAATAACGCTGCAATAAACATATGTGTACATGTGTCTTTATAGTAGAATGATTTATAATCCTTTGAGTATATACCCAGTAATGGGATTGCTGGGTCAAATGGTATTTCTGGGTCTAGATTGTTGAAGATTTGCCACACTGTTTACCACAATGGTTGAACTAATTTACACTCTTACCAACAGTGTAAAATGTTCCTATTTCTCTACATCCTCTCCCACATCTGTTGTTTCCTGACTTTTTAATAATCGCCATTCTAACTGGTGTGAGATCATTTTTAAGCAGAAAGAACAATGTATACCTAACAGTAGGCAACAAATGAAGCTATTTGGATATTAATGAACTCAATTTAGAAGTTCAACTTTCTTCAGATTACAAATGTAATGAATTATGCTATAATTCTGTTTAATTTTCTATTTTGTAAGTTTTGTCAATCAGAAATCTATTTCCTGAACAAAATGCTAAGTTCTTAACAGTAAATGAAAAACTGCCTCTTGACAGTTTCAAATCAGAACTTTCAGAATCATCAAGTCACACAGTATTAAAGTATGCCACCAGCCGACAGACAAAATAGAACCATCGTGGCTAACTGAGGTGCTCAAAGTTAAAATAGAGTCAGGTGGCCATGACTGGGTGTGGGAACTGTCACATACTCTGTTCCTGGAAAGACATTGCAAAAGTGTCATAGGATTTCCCTTTCTATAATCAAGCCAAACCAGTTCCTCTTGTTAGTGACAAGATGAACTGCAGATTTAAACTGCCCCCACCCCATGGCTATTTGAAATAAACATCTAAAAGACATTTTTGTTTTGGGGCTTGAAAACAATCAGAGCCTGACTATTTTGACCAATCAGAACTGAACAACCTTGAATCCTTCATTTGCATCAATGGATCTGATTGAGAACTGAGGTGAGAACTTCCCCTATTTAAGCCAGACCCTCCTCTTGTTCTTTAGAGAACACACTTTAACTTGTACTGAAGGGTGTGCCTCTCCAACCTGCAGATTGATGTTTTAGAAAATAAAATTCTCCCTTTTCCTCCTCAGATTTCATGGTCTTTTGAATAGGCAGTTGCATAGCCAATAACAACGCATAAAACAATCCCAATCCCTTATGTAATAACAGCTGATCCTTGAGCAATGAAGGGGTTCAGTTAAAAAAAAATATATATATATATTTATATTATATTTTGGAGAATCACAAGTATGTATATATATTTATATATACATATATATATTTATATATAAATACATACATATATACACAATTGTGATTCTCCAAAAACTTAACTACTAATAGCCCACTGCTGACTGGAAGTCTCAGTGGTAACATAAACAGTTGATTAACACATTTTGTATGTTACATGTATTGCATAATGCATTCTTACCATAAAGTAAGTGAGAGAAAAGAAGATGTTATTAAGAAAATATTAATGAAGAGAAAAAAAAAATATATATATATATATACTAGTCATTAAGTGGAAGTGATCATTACAAATGTCTTCATCCTCAATGTCTTCACATTCAGTAGGCTGAGGAGGAGGAGGAAGAGGAGGTTTTGCTGCTTCAGAGGTGGCAGAGGTAAAAACAAAATCCACATATGCCAACCTTCACAGTTTAAACTTCTAAGTTGTTCAAGGGTCAACTGCTCAAAGAGTTGGTGAAGATGCCAGGAAACCAGAACCCTCAACCACCAATTAATCTAGATGTGATTCATGATGTTTTATCATGAGAGGGTTCAGTGGTGTTTACAACCTTCCCAGTTTCAAAAAGAAACTCTCACCAATCCCCAATTGCTTCCTAATCTTTATTAATACTTGGTCAATTCCTGAATGAAACTCAAGCTAAGGTACAACTTATAACTTAATATCTGGCATAGAGTACTTCATTATAATTTTTTTCTTCGGCGCTAAGACTGGCCTGCTTTTATCAGCTTTTGCTGGCCAATAGTTTTTGCTAACTCTACCATTTAAATATCAGTTTTACCACTTATTAACATTTTAAACTTAAGCTAGTCACAATGTTATTTAACCTTAGTTTCTCGTCTGTAACACAGTGGTAATAGATCCTGAAAACAGAAGTTTGTGTTTTGAGAGTGAATCATAAAGGATTCATAGATGTGTATCTTTGAATGTCAAATGTTTTCCTTGCAAAGTGTTTTGTGTAGTATGTACTCAAAAAATACTATGCTATGCTTTTAAGTGAAGGAAGTGATAAGAACAATTGCAATACACTAAATGTAATGCTAGATACATATCTCATGTAATTAATTTAATTTAATTAACTAATGTACTCTGTGTGCATAGTTTACAGACAATGCTAATTGTCACAGATAAAGTAAAAATTGTCTTGAATGCATGAGGAATTCTCACCACTATTGCTGCTGTGAAACTGATATAATGCCAGTCTTTGTGAAGAAAGCAGAGAGGGCCCACTTATTTCTCACCTCTTCCTTTCCAAATTTTTATATTACCAGTTTATTGGAGTTTGAAAGTGTTTTCTGGGGTATATATGTTACTAGTATCTACTATAATCAGAAATGCCAATCTGAGAATTCTACGCATGGAAATAAAGAAAGACAGGAAGAGTGAGAGAGAGAATCACTGTCCCCATTGAAAATGTGGATTTATGAGAAACAAATCATATTTATTTTAACTGGTATTTTAATGGTTAAAATGGAAAAAGAAGATGCAATTTAGATAACTGTAGAAGTTAACTGCTCTTTCATCAGAGTTTAGATACTTTAAAACTTGAATATTTTTAAAATATTAATTTTACCAATAAAGATATATGTTTACATAATTAATAAATGGTGAAACCAGCTAGAGACATTAGTAAAGATTTTTTAAAAAAAACGTTTACATGTGTGAATTATTAGTTCTACTGTAATAAGATCAAATAAAAATATTATTAATAATTTTGGCTCAAACCCATTCTGGCTTCCATGGTAAATCTCCAGAATCCAGTGGGATTAGATTACATTTTACACATGATTTACCACAGAGTATAAAGGCAGGACTGTTATAATTTTGTCTTTATAGCTACTCTCTTTGTGCCCAGTACCCAGTGTGTCACTAGAGTATATGTTTAATCAACCCTTTTCCAAATCTGCACTCTTTTAACATATGAGCTGCCAGAAAAAGAAAAAAAAATCCAAAACCATAAAGAACTAGCTTTAAACAGGTGATTGTATTAGGAGTAAAATAATTAACCTGGTTTTGTGATCAGTGGAAGAAAGTACATGCAGTGTTCACAGAAGGAGGCTGTAGATTTCTGTAGATGCAGAAGTCCTATCAAATTGGTATCATTATTTCTCAGCTTTTAAAAGTCTTTTCGAGGTAAGAAATAAATCGAGTTCGGATCATCCTGTCAGAGCACTGTTTCAAAAAATCAACAAACGTTGCATTTTCAGCTCTGCCACTGACTCTGAAGCTTGTTATAGCAACCTACTTTACCCAGTTCTGTCATTTAAATGTTGTCGTTAGTTTGTGATAGATGGAGAGGAGTTTTCAAACTGTGTTCAGTTTCCTTTCAGTTTTTCTCTCACTCAGAATAATTTTCTATTTACTCCAGATCAGCATATCCAAGCCTTTTAAACATATATTTAGTTTATTATATATAAGGAATTAAATAATTGTAATTTTCTTCTTCTCCCATGACCATTTAGTGTTGTTGTCTTTACAATTTAAACAAAAGCCAATGCCATTGCTATAAATACAATGGTAGCCTGGATGCAATTTTGTAGAATTGATTCAAACATACAATTACACTTACATGTGTTATGAGGCACAATCCAACATATAATTATAACTCATGAAAGCATGTAGTTTCAGTACAGGTTTTCTGCTCCATTTCTAAACTAGAAATTGATTGTCAAGAATCAAGACTTTGTATTGAGCAAAATAAGAAGAAAATAACTGAAAAGTAGGCTTTAGTTTCATATTTTATTTCATTTTGTATTAAAACATATTTTTTTTCTTAAGAAATGGGGGCTCACTATATTGCCCATGCTGGAGTTCAGTGGGATTCACAGGCACAGTCATGGCACACTGTAGCCTCAAACTTTTGGCCTCAAGCAATCCTTTGCTTTAGCCTACTACATAGTGGGGAGTACAGGTATATACCACTGCACCTGGCTTTTATATGTTTTCTTATACTGACCTTCTAGGAGAGTATTTTATAGCATAAAAAATTAAAATATCAGGGTCAATGATACTTGATCTTCTTGTTTTAATTTTACTAACAATAATGTTAGCTATAGTCAATTATTGTAGTAGAAGTCAATTACAGTACAATTTATGAATCCTAGTTATTCATTTTACTATATACAGACAATTTACAATAATGCAACATGCATATTTTTAACAAAATAGTATGATGCAAATATGTACATAACAAATATCAAAACCTATGAAGACCGAGTAAAATCCTAAGAATCGTTGGAAGAAGAACATTAAGTAATGCCTTAATTATCCTGATAATAGTAATAAAAATACCAGTGCAGCTAAAAGAACATCCTAAACTCCTAATAAGTAACAAAATATATTAGAATTAATGAAAGAATTTACCTTGACAAAAAAAGGTGAAAACAGCTTGTTCAAATACTGTACACAGAAGGGATGGCATTATTGAGTTATAAAAACATGGGCAAAATATATAAATATCAGGTGGAACAGTGCGATCAGAACTTTCTGAGCAGAACATGTGGCAAAACTAAGACAAAGAGAAAGGGAAGACCGTGGGGTTGAACAGGCATTATGCACAGTACTGAGTTGGCTAAGGCCAGCCATTTAGTGCTCTTTGTCTTTAACTGATTTACTTGGGAGCAGAAACCATTAAGTGTATTGGAAAAATGCCATATGGATTAACAAATTTCAACTTATGATAACTTCATTGCCCTTTTACCAGTCACTTATGACTTAATTTGAATTACAGAAATATTCACTGAAACAAAATTAACTATTGATTAAATTATTGTTATTTGGATAAAATAAATTGTATTGTTTACCCCCTAAAACACTTGCTTTAGTATTTGTATCTTTATATTGTATATACATATAAGTAATGATTTTTGGCTAAATATATTTTAAATCCACATAAAAATTGTTTTCAATGATTGACTTTTCTGTTGTTAGAAATATTCCATGTTCATGTAAAACCAAAAGGATTTAAGTAGGAATTATGATAAAATAAAAATAACTAGCACATTTTATGAAACTTTTTATTCCTGTTTCTACTTTTGGAGGTTTAAATTTCAGATATTTTTAGTTTTCTATTTTGCTTTTGTTGTAAGTTTGTGTTTTTCCCAGACTTATATCTGAAAATTCCCCCTTGGACCCAAATCCAAATTCTGTTAAGAACTAGATTAGGCCCTGTCTTTGGTGGACTTTTGTTCCTCTTTTGCTCTTTATAACTTTTTTCTTTCTGATCTTCTCTTGGACTTACAGTAAGCCCCCATTCTCAAAGCTCTTGCTTACACACAGCCTTATATAATGGTCATTTCTAATTTGGGGCATATTCAGCATTTTGAATAGTCATTTGTGAAGACAGACTGCCTCGAGATTCTTAACATGACTTGTGGTTTTGAAAAGGCCACTCAAAATGTTCACTTTTCCTTATGCTCTACCAGATTTTTTTTAAGTTCTTTGAAAAGTTTACCGGTATCCAGGGAGCAAAGAAATAGCTTTGGTTACCTTTTAAAGAGTTATCAGCTAAGATTACAGTGTTCCTGCTCATCAATTTGTTTTTCCACACTGATCTCTGACTTGAAAGTTTCAGGCTGTCTTGAAGGTCAAGTAATAAAATAGCACTATTCATTATAGGGAACATCACTCTTGCCCTTTCGTTGGGAGGACCCTGCTGTTCCATAGGTATGACAGCAAAAGGAGGGGCAGGAAGGCTCTATCTGCTTCTGACCTTTGTAAGCTCCACTTCAGTAGTAGCAAGGATTAATGTAGAGAAATGTCTCTCGTTTTTTCAAAAACATCTTGTTAAAATTTTGCAACTCAAAAAGGTGTCCAAATGTTCCATTTATTTAAAGAAGCTAAATTTTAACATACAAAAGACAGATTATGCACTCTTTATAAGCCAGGATTGTTAGTAATTTAACAACACTCTTCTCTCATGGGAACATCAGGCTTAATATTTAACATGCCCTTTTATACCCTGTTTTCAAGATAACTCAAACATCTGCTTTATGACAGGACTTCAATCAGCATGGAGTCAAGTGTAACTATCCACTATTTCTTTTTATAGAAAAGATTAATTGTGTTTTACAATTTTTGAGTGACAATTATTCTGATGGATTCCTTTCACAATTCTGTCCTCTCCAGGCTCAGCAGGGTGATAACTGATGTTCTTCCTACAACATCAAAATATGTTCTATAAGAACCTGACCTAAACCAGTATATAAGCAAGAGCCTAAACTGGCATACGAGCAAGAAATGAAATTTTAATTTATGTGAAACTTTATATATTTTGACTGTCCTTTTTATCATAATAACCTACTCTGGTTAATTCACTTTCATAATTTGGGTTAGCACAACTCGGAAAATAGAAGCATTTTTCATTTAAATATGGAATTTAGCTAAAGTTTTTATGATTTTAAAATTAAATTCTAACAACTAAAAGCTCACTTTTTCAAGATCAATTTTGATAATTCCATAACATAAAAACTGTACTCATAATCATTCCATTAATATGCAAGCAGCATTAATTTGCATGAGCAATTTGCTGCAATATGCATCATAAAAGAATGCAATCTATCAGCTTAACCTTCAAATTTCATTTTTTAAAATTCACTTCATACCTACTCAATTTTTTCCAAAAGTTTTGCCTTATTATTTTATTCTTTTATTGCAATTTTATCTCTTTGGATTCAGAAACAACATTTAGTCAGGTAATCCTTTTCAAATACAGACTTTCATCTGGTTTCTAGCTTATTTCTGCATTTCCCTCTGGTCACTATTCTTTGGGCTACTGATGTCTTAGATGTATGTAACAATATCTTGAGCATAAGTGGTTCAGAAGTCGCAGTACGATCGTTCTTTATAATCTTCCCAAAAGAAAACTGTAGACATTCTTCAAGATTAGAGATCCTAAAATCCTGTCTCTTGCTTTGCTCAATCCCTTTTGTGAAATTCCTGGGCACTAAAACTAAGATCAAAGCCATTGTCAAGCATTATGTATTTTGAAAAAGGATTCTTTTTCTCAAATGTAACTATCT
This sequence comes from Homo sapiens, assembly GCF_000001405.40. Taxonomy (NCBI): domain Eukaryota; kingdom Metazoa; phylum Chordata; class Mammalia; order Primates; family Hominidae; genus Homo; species Homo sapiens. The sequence goes on along the minus strand of NC_000001.11, from coordinate 188,366,504 downwards.
GAAAAATCATAGTGATATCCAAAATTGTATAACTCTTAAAGAAATCTGAGACTTAATTTTCATTTTTTTCAAGAAAAATGTAAAAACATTATTGCAACTGAGATTCACTGATGAATTTATAATTCATTTAATGACTCATTTATTTTTAATTAAAGTTCATTATTCTGCCAAGAAGTAAAATTAACAAAAAATATAGCAGAGAATTCCAAATCTGCAAATTAAAGAAAGTCAGAAATAATTCTTTCTTAATATAATATTTATAAAATCATCTGGCCTATAGTATTAAGGAAAACTCTATAGCAGACAAAACAAATTGAACAGACTCATCTATATTATTTTAGTGGATTCCCATATTATTTTGGTGGAAAACATGCCTAGATTTGGTATTAATCCACACTTGGTTTACATAAGAAAAAGGGAAGGATTGGTAGGAATCCTTCCACCTAGTGGAAGCTAAGTGGGAAGGAAAAAATAGGAAGCCACTGTTAGTTGAAGAAACTATGAATTGTGAGTATTTGTAGGTATAAGTATAAATTAAGGAAATGACAATGTTTGATTCTATTTCCATATGAACTAATTTTTGCCAGTCTCTCAGTCATAAGAGATGGAAGAATTATAGTGCATCCTGATGAATGTTATATAACAAATAAACATACAGAAATAAAAATGTAAACTAAATAAATTAGCGGAAGTATGTGAAAGATAGAAACCTATAGTGAATAAAAATAAAAACAGACTATAGAAAGAATAAGAAAATGATGATCAAAGTTAAAATACCTAATAATGTGTGTTAGACTAGAAAACATTGGGAGAAAGTACAACTACATCCTTTCCATAGTGATGAAATCAACATAAGATGGGACAGTTCTTGACTAACAAAGCTTATTTTCTTGTTTCTACATATCTGAGAGAACATGTATTTTTAAGTTGCAGCAGAAAGTTTTTCTTTTCATTTTCTTCTCTTGGAAATCACTGAAAAACAAATAGAAAATAAGGATCAAAATAAAAATGGCAACTTCAAAGGACAAGAGAAACGTAAAACTCTGAAGTGCAAAATGGAGGCAGGGGGTATTTCTAAATGTTTAGAAGGTTGAATAATGAGTGCAGAAATATATAGCTCAGCATACCCATTGCGAGGAATCTTATAAAAGCATACGTAGTACACTTTATCAAGTAAGTAGTACACCCTGAAGTAGGAAGCAACAGTCATATCTTCAACAATGAAAATTAAGGCAAAGACTGTAAGATCTTGCTGATTTGACAGTTTGGCAGGTAGTGATAAATGAACACACGGACTGCCCATATATCTAGAGAGGAACATAGTTTTGTGGCTAGGAGGAGAAGGGATACCACCATTGTGAACAGCCCTATGGTGCTAATCTTGACTGGCTGGGGTGATCTCATTGACATGCAAATAATCCTAAAACATGAGGGAAATTGTGGCAACCAAGTACCTGAGCCTAGATTATCTTACAGGAAGAGTTACCTGGTGCAAAGAAGAGAAATAATTCAAAACAAACAATAATAGACTAATACAAAATAAACATAATAAAATAGGAAAGAAATGGAAGAAGAAGGAGAAACAACCAAAGGAAGAATACTAACCACAAAAATGTTGCTGTAGATCTGCTAAAAGTCAGCACGAAAATATCATACTTAATTGTAAAGTTATTGAGGCAGTTTTATTAATAACAGAGCATTAAATATGTCTTCATAGGGAAGAAATGGTGAGAAGAAAAGAAAACATGAGCTGTTCAGAGAGAAAATAATTGTAATAAGAAGTAAAAAATCTCATAGATATAAAGGCTAAATGAGAAGCAGCAGAAATAGTATAGACATCTCCAGAATCACAGTAGGTAAAACAAAGGACAAGACTTAAAAATTGAGCAAAATAGAGTGAAAATTAAAAAAAAAAAAATTGAACAAGATACAAAGAAAATTCAAATAAGCATTTTTTCCAAACAAGATTTAATAAACACATAACTATTATCTCCTCATTGGTATGATCTAAATAGTGGAACAAAGAAAAAATATTTAGAGATTCAATTAAAAAAATAAAACTTTTCGGATATAAAGGACCACTTGAATTTACTTCTTTAAAGGGAATATTATATCCCAGGAGAAGCTGACCTAAAATTGTCTACTAGAAAATAAACCCTGTAAGTTAGCTGATTGTCAAATTTCATATATATAAATGCTTTGAGTAGCCAGAAAAAAAGATTTAATTCTTCTATAAGGTGAAAAAATAGGCCAACCTTCAACTTCTCCACAGCAATACTCAGTGTTATAATGATAGCGAAAAACTACCTAGACAATCTTCAAGGAAGGAAAGCGTGACCTAAGACAGTTACAGCTAGCTAAACTACCACTCAGATACGAACGCAATAGGGACAAAGGAGTCATGTTTTGAGCTTAGCAGAAACCAGCCTTCCTAGTAATTTCATTTGAACTGTTAAGTTCATTTTGAAGAAAATCTCAGAGAATACATGCTATTGACTAAGAGAAAGATGGCAAATGTAAGTCAAGGGACATTGAAGTATTTAATTGTTTCATTGAGTAGGATGTAAAGCACAGCTTGTGGTTATAAACATGATGTCACTTTAATAACTGCAAACAATAAAGAAATATACAGAAATATATAAGGTACTATGTGTGCTGATTTCCAAATTTTCATAGCTGGAATAAAATGCGTATCATTTAGGTGCATAAATTAAATATTTTTAAAAGCGTACACGTAAGTAACAACAATAATAACAAACTTAAATAAAACCGAAAGTAGAATGTAAGAGTGGAAATGAAAAATCTAACAGAAAATGAAAATGAGAGAAAATTTTCTTTTCATTGTATACTTTAGTGTATCTTTTAAATTTTGAACTACATACAAATATTACCCATTCAAAATGAAGTAAAAAGAAAACAAATAAATGAATAAATGAACAACAAATAATAAACAACTATCTGAGTAAATGAATGAATAAATAAAATTCCTGATCTAATCCGGAAGACAGTGCAAAATAGACAAAATATTTCTGGATAGTAAAAAGGCCTTAAGATTTTCTAATAAAATGCATTAAAACACATAGATTATTTACATCCTGCTAGCAATCTTTAAGCAAGTATCGAGTTGTGATTCATATAACCAATGAAAAGTAGATTAGAAGTTAACCTATTGTGGTATATTAAAATATATTACTAACAAAATGCATAGTTCAAAAGCTAAACAGGTATTGCTATAGTATGAGGACACCTTGATTAAAACCATCTTTTACTAATGTGTGTGTGTATGCATGCACATGCATATCAATATATGCATACAAATACTGTTATATATATATGTATACTTTTTTTTTTTTTTGAGACAGGGTCTTGCTCTGTCACTCAGGCTGGAGTGCAGTGGCACAATCATGCCTCACTGCAACCTCTGACTCCTGGGCTCAGTTGATCTTCCCATCTCAGCCTCCCTAGCAGCTGGGACTCAGGCACACACCACCCTGCCCAACTAATTTTTATTTTTATTTTTTGTAAAGATGAGGTTTCACCATGTTACTCAAGCTGATCTTAAACTCCTAGGCTTGTCTATGGCTATACCACCCTGAACGTGCCCGATCTTGTCAAACTCCTAGGCTCAAGTGATCCTCTCTCCTCGGCCTCTGAAAGTGCTGGGATTACAGGCATGCACTACTGCACCTGGTCTATATGCTTTCTATGCATATAATTTGTTAGAACCGTGTTCAAATATAATATGCATACATATTACACTTTGTTTTTTGATGCTCTGTTATTCATTGAGATCGCACTTAGTATCTGATATGGGATCTCATTTATTAGTAATTTCTTTTGTGTTTTCTTGTCTGCTATTTACTAATATTCATTGTACATTTTTACTTTTTGTAATTTTATGCTCTATTAAAAGTTAAAGTGTTCAGTATGATATTTATGATTTAGACTGTATTCCATTATTCAAAATACCATATTTATGGAGGTAAAACAATGCTTTCCTCTAAAAATGTATGTTACAATTATTTTCAATATATGTGTAATAAAATTAACTTAGATTTCCTTTTGTCTTCCGCAAATTTTGCTTGTAAACTGGTGTATCATATACAGCTATGTTTTATGTGTTTACAATATGGGAGTTTTTTCCTGCCAATTAACTCAATTCCATTTTTCTTGTCTGTCAATGATATAAATTGAAGTTATTTTTTGAAAATTAACTTTATGCCATAAATATGCCAAAATTAATTTTAACATTGAATAAAATAAAAACAAAATAGAAAATGATTTTGAAATGGTTCATGGCAAACGCTTTGTACAGTCTATATTAAAAATGTCCATTTTTAAAGAGTGTCTTCTTTTGCAATTTTTTTTGCTAAGGTTTTTAAGATTATGAATGCAGTGAATTTTCAAATACTAATGTCTACTTCTTTGCTGGCAAATTTCTCATAATAATTATCATCAAAAGTCTTTCCTTTAGGAGCTTGTGAGCTGTACACCAAATCAGAGTCATCAGTCTTAAAGTTCTGAAAATTTAATGCACAGAATTAAATGGGCTAGATATAGTGAGTTCTTGAGATATAAAGACAAAGGTTATATAGATATTCCAGAACTAAAGATTTAATTTGTTAAAAATATTTAGTCATTACCAATAAGTTTTAATTTCCCATAAGAAAATTTACAAAGGTGGAGTACCGTGTCTATATGACATGGCATGATTATGTATCTGCATAATAATGTTTTTTTTTCATTTTTTCCCTTCTGTTTAGAGTAGTCACAATAAGAGACGATACTATTTTATCCATTGGATCATTTTTGAAAAATATAGCATGAAATGCATACATTGCAACCGACTAAGCAATGGGCTCATTGCTTGATGCATGTAAGCCAATTTTATCACACCAGCTTTTGAGAAAGAAAGGCTTTACTGTGAATTGACTGGCAAAGAGACAGGAGGCAATGCTCAAATCTACCTCTCCAAATTGGGGACTTGGGCAGGATTTTTAGGGAGATATGTCATGATTGGGTCATGACAAAAAGTGATGCCAGGACATGATCTGATTGGAGCATGCCATAAGGTGTTACGAAGGCTTGCTTCTTAATTTGGTCTGTGTTCCTTGTCCCAGCACTTTGGTTCCACCTGTGGTTGACTTTTTAGTTTTGGCTGGCTTTGGAGTCACAAGTTAAGCACATTTATTTCATCTGGGCAGACTCAGGTTATATGACCCGAAATTTGGGAATTCATGGCAAATGAAAAACAACTCACCATTTAATTACAAAAATTAGTAATTGTAACATTCATTTGATTGGGCTGGTTACATGATTGGGCTGGTTACATGATTGTGCTGGTTATGTGATTACAACATTTCTAAATTTAATAATGTAAATAGGCTTGATGTTTTAGGGTAAAAAAAAAACAATTCTATAAACCAGGATTGATACCTCTTTGGTTCACTTTTGTATCTTTAGCCAAAGTCTAATACTCAAATTCATATAAATACAATGAATGGCTGTTAAATGTATAAATAAGAAATACTCATGAGCTCTTGGGAAAATGGGAATCAAGAAAGGCTCAGGCCGATACAATTTTATATATGGGTTGTTTGGTTTTAATCACTAAAGCAAATACTTTTTAAACACACTCACATATAGGAAAACCCTTGAAATAAGACAATTTCCCATCTTTCCAAAGAAAGACACACAAAAATAGACTGTTGGTCAATTTGACTGCATCAATTTTCGGGAATATAAATTAAATTTGTAAAATGTCTCTTGAGTAAATTTAAATTATTGATTATGTGCACAAAATAAAATAAGTGACATTTATTTCACATTTTATGAAAAAATTATTTAAATTTTTTACATAAATTTTTAATATCCTTGTGTATTAGCCCATTCTCACACTACTATAAAGAAATACCTGAAACTGGGTAATTTAATAAGAAAAGAGATTTACTTTGCTCACAGTTCCACAGGCTATACTGGAAGCATTGCTGGGGAGGCCTCAGGAAACTTATAATCATGCCAGAAGGTGAAGGAGAAGCAAGTACATCTTGCTGTGGTGGAGCAGGAGAGATAGAGAGAGGGGGGAAAGGGGGAAGTGCTACACATTTTTAAACAAGGAGATTACATGAGAACTCACTCACTATCATGAGAACAGCAAGAGGGAGGTCTGCTGTCCCCATGATCCAATTACCTTTCACCAGGCCCCTCCTCCAACATTATGGATTACAATTCCAGAAGAGATTTGGGCAAGGACACAAATACAAACAATCTCACCTTGTGTTCTTCCACAAAATACATTTTTAAACAAATGTCTATTATTTATAGCCATAAACTGTTCATTTCTAAGTTGTGTGAGAATAGCACTTTTGATATGTATATATAAACATATATGAGACAGACAGGGAAAGCAGGACAGGGACCCCTCCCCATTTCCCTTACATGCTGTGCTGACTGCAATCACAGCCTTGTAGGCTTGCAATCACAAATGCTTCCTTTCACAAAAATAGGCCAATCAAACCTGAAACAAATGAGTACTATGGCCACAGTCATTGTGGCTATTAAGAATGAGGACATTCCAGAAGACCCTTCCCAAATACATATGCCCAGTAATGTCCTAACCTGATCTTTTCTTCATTTTAATAGTGAAAATCACACCGACAGGCAGAAATTTAAGATACTAATGAGACCTGCATCACCTGAAGAAGCATGATGAGAATAGTGAAAATCACCCACAGGTAGAAGAAATTCAAGATACTAATGAGACCCGCATCACCTGAAGAAGCATGATGAGAATAGTGAAAATCACCGACAGGTAGAAATTTAAGATACTAATCCTGAAGAAGCATGAGAATAGTGAAAATCACCCACAGGTAGAAGAAATTTAAGATACTAATGAGACCCGCATCACATGAAGAAGCATGATGAGAAACCACGCAGGTGCAACTGACAGACCACTCCAAACATGCAATGGTTTTGCCTGGAGGAAGTCCAAAGAAAATAAAACTCTAGACTAACCTGCTTCCAGAGAGCTAGCTGTGGGACGCCTCCTCTTGCTGTCTCCCTTTCTTGGGAGCTGAATGTCCCAATAAATTGCCTTGCTCAAGCCCATCACAGACTCTTGGTCTATTTCTATTCACTGAGGGTCAAGAGCTGATATGGTTTGGATCTGTATCCCTGCCCAAATCTCATGTCAAATTGTAACCCACAACGTTGGAGAGGGGGCCCAGTTGGAGGTGATTGTATCACGGGGGCCAGCATCTCATGAATGGTTTATCACCATCACTTTGGTGCTGTTCTCATGATAGTGAGTTCTCACAAGATCTGGTTGTTTAAAAGTGTGTAGCACCTCATCAGTATCTCTTTTGCTCCTTCTCTGACCACATAATACATGCCTGCTTCCTGTTTGCCTTCCTCCATAATTGTAAGTTCCCTGAGGTCTTCCCAGAAGACAAGCAGATGCCACCATGCTTTCTTGTACGGCCTGCAGAACTGCAAGACAATTAAATTTCTTTTCTTTATAAATTACCCAGTCTGAGGTATTTCTTTGTAGCAGTGTGAGAATGGACTAATATAGAAAATTGGTACTGAAGAATGGGACATTGCTATGAAGACACCTAAAAATGTGGAAGCACCTTTGGAACTGGGTAGCAGGCAGAGCTTGGAACAGTTTGGAGAACTCAGAAAAAGACAGGAAGATGAGGGAAAGTTTGGAACTTCCTAGAGACTTGTTCGATGGTTGTGACCAAAATGCTGATAGTGATATGGACAGTGAAGGCCAGGCTGTGGAGGTCTCAGATGGAAATCAGGAACTTATTGGGAACTGTAGTAGAGGTCACCTTTGCTAGGATTTAGCAAAGATTCTGGCTGCACTGAGCCCCTGCCCTAGGGATCCATAGAACTTTGAACCTGACAGTGATGATTTAAGGTATCTGGTAGAAACAATTTTTAATCAGCAAAGTGTTCAAGATATGGCCTGGCTGTTTCTAACAACCTGTGCTTATATGAGTAAGCAAAGAAATTACTTGAAACTGAAACTTACATTTAAAAGGGAAGCAGAGTGTAAAAGCTTAAAAAAAAATGAAGACTTGCCATGTGGTAAAAAAAGAAAAACATATTTGAATGGGAAGAATTCAAGCAAGCTACACACATTTGCATAAGTAAAAGGAGGCAAAGTGTTACTAGCCAAGACAATGGGAAAAAAGGCCTTGAAAGCATTTCAGAGAACTTCATGGCAGCACTTCCCATCACAGGCCTGGAATTGTAGGTGAATTGAATGGATTTCTCAACCAGATTCAGGCCCCTGCTGCCTTGTACAACATTGGGACAAGGCTTCCTGCATCCCAGCCACTCCAGCTCCGGCTGTGGCTAAAAGGAGCCCAGGTACAGCTTGGGACCCTGCTCCAGAGGTTGTAAGCCATAAGCCTCAGTGGCTTCCAAGTGGTGTTGAACTTGCATGTGCATACAATGCAAGACTTGAGGCTTTGGAGTCTCTGCCTAGATTTCAGAGAATATATGGAAAAGCCTGAACATCCAGACAGAAGCCTGCTGCAGAGGTGGGGCCCTCACAGACAACATCTACTAGTGCAGTGCAGAGGGAAATGTTGGGTTGGAGCCACCACATAGAGTCACCACTAGGGCACTGCCTAGTGCCCAGATTCCAGAATGGTAAATCTACTAGCAGCTTGCACCCTGCCCCTGAAAACGTGGTGCTCAACACCAGCCCTGTAGATCAAATGTGAGGGCTGAACCCTGCAAAGTCACAGGGGTGGAGCTGCTTAAGGCCTTGAGAGCCCACCCCTGGTACCAGTATGCCTTGAATGTAAGACATGGAGCCAAATGAGATTATTTTGGAGCTTTAAGATTTAATGACTGTCCTGCTGGGTTTTGGATTGCATGGGGCCTATAGTCCATTTGTTTCATTTAAAAATTTCTCCCTCTAGAATGAGAATATTTACCCAATGCCTATATCCTTATTTTTGTATCTTGGAAGCAACTAACTTGCTTCTGATTTTACAGGCTTATAGGCAGATGGGATTAGCCTTTTCTTAGATGAGACTTTGGAGTGTGAACTTTTGAGTTAATCTTGAAATGAGTTAAGACTTTGGGGGACTGTTGGGAAGGCATAATTTTATTTTGAAATGTCAGAATAACATGAGATTTGGGAGGGCCAGGGGTGGAATGATATGGTTTGGATCTGTGTCCCCACCCAAATTTCATGTGAAATTGTAATCCCCAATGTTGGAGGAGGCCCCTGGCAGGAGCTGATTGAATCATGGGAGCAGGCTTCTCATGAATGGTTTAGCACCATTCTCTTGGTGCTGTTCTCCTGATTGTCAGTGAGTTCTTGCAAGATCTGGTTGTTTAAAGGTGTGTAGCACCTCTCCAAACTCTTTTCCTCCTGCTCCGGCCATGTGAAGTGCTGCCTCCCTATTTGCCTTTTGCCATGATTTTAAGTTTCTTGTGGTCACCTCAGAAGCCAAGCAGATGTCAGCAACATGGCTCCTGTACAACTTGTGGAACCATAACCCAATTCAACCTCTCTTCTCTATAAATTACCTTGTCTTAGGTATTTCTTTATAGCAATGCAAAAATTTACTAATACAAGAGCCCACCAGCTGGTAGTATATACACATTATATTTTTGGCCTTTAGCCTTGAAATCCCCATCGAAACTCTGTGTTTACCAAGTTACTTTGATCAGCTTCTTTCCTTCCCTCTCCACCTCTCCTCCCTACTACTTCATTCAGTAAGGTTGTTTTTCATACATTTGAAACATAGTTACATTTATCTGGCACAGTCTGTATTTCATCCAGGGATCCCTAGACATTCTGGCTGATTTTTTTTAGCTTGCATAAAATAAGGTATATTCTTTGTGATATGCTGTTCTAAGAGTTATGATAAAGACATAGAGCTATGTATCCACCATTCCAGTACCTTATAGAACGGTTATTTCATGCTAAAGTTTCCCCCACATTGCCCACTGTAGTCAATCACTATCCCCTCTCCCAACTCCCGACAACAACTGATCTATTTTCCAACTCAATAGTTGTACTTTTTCTAAATTTCATATAAATTTGATCCTATTGATGGCAGTGATGGCCCTTCTGGAGATGCCTTTGTGAGGATGCTGGCTGCAGCACGGAAGGCACAGCTGGGGCTGAGCGCTCCACAGAGCTGGTGGGAGCCAAGTACAGGTAAGAGCCCCACCCCTTACTGGGTTGGCAGGGCAGGAGCCTGCACTCCTAGGTATAGCCTCAGCCACACAGCCACGGCTCCAGACACCAGCATCCCTGTGTTCTTGGGGGACCCAGGAAAAACTCTGCCCCCACAGGCTTGAAAATGTTTGCTCCTGCTCCTGACCTCTCTCTGCTCCTAGTGCCCACTCTGGGGTAGAGCAAAGTTGTGGCGAAGCCTAGGTGCTGCCACAACTCAGCCAGGTGTGCATGTGCTCAAGGCAGCGCTGCCACAACAGTCCCCTGCAACCTCAGCCCCCTTCAGACTTTGGGTGCCACATGAGCACAGGAGGAGGCCCCAGGGCATTGAGGTGGCCTGGCTCAGGGCTGCAGATGCCTCTCAGTGGAGACAGCCTGGGCATCATGGACAGCACGTTAAACGCAGACAGGTTCTTAGGTGGAAAGGAGCAGGTCTCTGGTAAAACCTCATCTTCAATCCAGATACAGCCTGAAGGCTGGGGGGCTGGGCTGCCAGTTCCAGATGAAGTCTGCAGCCCATACTGAGAACTTCATTAATGACCATTCAGCCAATTGGATGGTGCTTTTTCCAGGCCTGTCTGTGGTCACCCATGAACCAATTAGCAAGCACTTCCTCCATTCTAAGCACATAAAAAACCCATACTCAGCTAGACTCACATACTTGTTGAGATGACTTGGCTGAAGAAAGGAGCTACATGCTACGGGCTTTCTGTCCACTGAGAAAGCTGGACACTTGTTGGGACAACCTGCCTGCAAAAAAAAAAGAGCTACCCACTATGGGTCTCCTCTTTGCTGAGAGCTGGAAACTCATCAGGACAACCTGCCTACAGATAGGAGCTACACACTCTGGGTCTTCTCTCTGCCTATGGTTACACTTGTCCCCTCTTGAACCCTGCCACAGGGCCTACATAGAGTTTGCTCCTGCCAACACTGAATAAGTTGACTGCTTCCTGCACTCGCCTTTCTACACACTCAAGGGGTGGAGCATGCTGGCCCAGAGTGAATGGAGTTTGCCTCTGCTGGCAGGTTCCTGCAATGGCTCTCTCCTGTTGCCATACTCATTCACTCATGCATTCCCTCCTACGAGAGGTTGAGTGGGGCAGGCTGAGTAAATGGGGCACTCCTGTCATGAGTCCCTCAAAGGAGTCAAGAAAATACCCTGTATCACTTGCATCTGCATAAAGACATGAACATATTGAAACTGGGTTTGTCTTTTTTCCCAAGGACTTCTTTTTATACATTCCCAACGGAGTGGGAAAGGAGAAACAGATTGTCATTAATAACAAGGCAGTTTTTCACCAAGGATAAGCTATTTCACATTTGCTCGTAATCAAAAAATTCCTAAAAGAAAGATCTTCAGTTTTTGACAAAAAAACAGGAGTCTGAGAAAAGAAATTAGAGCTCAGACTTAGTCCTGGACTTTCCTCACTATCACAAATGGACAGAGACCTGTGTGGGAGGCTCAAGGAAGTCTCAGTGGACTTTTGATGTCCCCATAAATAACAACACAAAGTTTAGTTGGCCAAGCAAAATTAAATACATTAATATTATTAATTTATTCATTTTAATGATGTATTTAACCTGGCAAGACAGGGAACAATATTTATTAGTTATGGGTTCTGTAATAATGTGGATTAAGACATGTCATTGAAGTCAGGAGAGTATTAGAACTATTTGTGAAATAGTAGTTAAAGATTATTGAACATTACTAAGCAAAGGTCTTAGAGTGATGCCTCACAAGCATACTATTTATTCTGATAATCAAACCATTTATTGGGATAAGTTGATTTATAAGAATTGACTGATGCAAACTGTTAGTGACATTCTACTGAAACAGAAAGCAGGAAATTGTTTTATGGTAGTTTTTATCAATGTGGCTAGAAACAATCAAACTAGGGGTTGAGTTGTAAAAATAAGGAGGAGGGGTCAGAATGTTAAACAGGATACAAATCATAAAGAGTCTTACAGGATGTAATGAGGGTTTTGGATTTTATTTTAACTGCAATAGGAAGCTGTTGGGGAAGTTTAAATATGATCAGTTTTTTGCAATAAATAATACTTTTAAGAAGCTTTAAAGTAAAATCTGAAGACTAATCTTGTAAAAAGGCATATAGATAAATAAATAAATATTGGTTGGCTGAGTTTTGAGGCTCTTTGGTTACCTGCTTTTACATTTCTGACTGCCTTAGGGTCCTTTTAGGCAAGGTATTTTACAACTTATCGAAGATTTAAAGGTTGAATTTAGGATGGTTCTTTCTCCTAAACTAACTGACTCTAAGATTTTGTGAAATTTAATTTTTGTCCCTTATGAATTTTTTTAAAATATAAAATTAACAATCTGTACTTTTTTAAAGAGGTGGGGTCTCTCTATGTTGCCCAGATTGAACTTGAATTCCTGGGCTCAAGTGATCTACCAGCTTCAGCCTCCAGAGTATCTGGGACTATAGGTACACACCACTATGCCTGGCATCCAAACTTATTTTAATCAGAAAACAAACCTTAATATCTATACATTTTCATGTTTTCATATATAACCTATTAACATACTAAGGAAAATTAAGTAGAATTGAATAGCATCTCAATTTATTTTCAAGAAAAAATACAGATTACAATGACATAATGCAGCAAAATATTACCTTAGTTCATTTACACCTGCAAATTGCAATGGACTGTCAAAGGAGAAGTTGTCAAATAATCTTTTTAAAGACAGATATGCACAAATGTATTCTAAGTTTTCCTTTATTTAGCTGAATTCATTCGCTAGCTTAATAAATTCTCACCATAGTGAAATTGGTGTCATAACTATTTGATAGATTGGAGTATCCACCTCTTCATCTTTTATCGAGAGTGGTCAATAATAAACATCAATATCAATACTAAAATTACAGAATTTTTTCATTTAATTAAAATAGCTAAAACACTCTAAATCTCTGTTTACTTGAAAACATTTGATAGTTTTTGGATAGTAGTTCAGATTGAGAGATACAATGTTATAAGCACTGGTAAAGTTGCCACCAAGTAGATAACTTTTTTTTTTTTCAAGACAGGGTCTCATAGTCCTTTGGGTATATACCCAGTAATGGGATGGCTGGGTCAAATGGTATTTCCAGTTCTAGATCCCTGAGGAATCGCCACACTGACTTCCACAATGGTTGAACTAGTTTACAGTCCCACCAACAGTGTAAAAGTGTTCCTATTTCTCCACATCCTCTCCAGCACCTGTTGTTTCCTGACTTTTTAATGACTGCCATTCTAACTGGTGTGAGATGGTATCTCATTGTGGTTTTGATTTGCATTTCTCTGATGGCCAGTGATGATGAGCATTTTTTCATGTGTTTTTTGGCTGCATAAATGTCTTCTTTTGAGAAGTGTCTGTTCATGTCCTTTGCCCACTTTTTGATGGGGTTGTTTGTTTTTTTCTTGTAAATTTGTTTGAGTTCATTGTAGACTCTGGATATTAGCCCTTTGTCAGATGAATAGGTTGCGAAAATTTTCTCCCATTTTGTAGGTTGCCTGTTCACTCTGATGGTAGTTTCTTTTGCTGCTATAAAGACACATGCACACGTATGTTTATTGCGGCATTATTCACAATAGCAAAGACTTGGAACCAACCCAAATGTCCAACAATGATAGACTGGATTAAGAAAATGTGGCACATATACACCGTGGAATACTATGCAGCCATAAAAAATGATGAGTTCACGTCCTTTGTAGGGACATGGATGAAATTGGAAATTATCATTCTCAGTAAACTATCACAAGAACAAAAAACCAAACACCGCATATTCTCACTCATAGGTGGGAATTGAAAAATGAGATCACATGGACACAGGAAGGGGAATATCACACTCTGGGGACTGTTGTGGGGTGGGGGGAGGGGGGAGGGATAGCACTGGGAGATATACCTAATGCTAGATGACGAGTTAGTGGGTGCGGCGCACCAGCATGGCTCATGTATACATATGTAACTAACCTGCACAATGTGCACATGTACCCTAAAACTTAAAGTATAAAAAAAAAAAAAAAAAAAAAAAGACAGGGTCTCATTCTGTCACTCAGGCTCGAGTGCAGTAGTGCGATCTTGGATGACTGCAACCTCCACCTCCTGAGCTCAAACAATACTCCCATCTCAGCCTCCCAAGTAGCTAGAACTACAGGCCCATGCCACCAGGCTTGGCTACTTTTTGTAGTTTTGTAGAGATGGGGTTTTGCCATGTAGCACAGGCTGGTCTTGAATTCCTAGACTCAACTGATCCTCCTGACTAGGTCTCCCAAAGTTCTGAAATTACAGGCATGAGCCACTGTGACCAATCCTCGAGTAGATAATTTTTAAGACAGAAAAATGGGTAAACAAATTCAGTTTTTTGAAAAATGTTTAATCATAGCAACAATATATATTAAATTCTAACACTATCCTCCTTTCTTATTTTAAAAATTGTTACAGTATCCTCAGATTGCATTTCCAAGAGTACTTACATTGCATAACAAAAGTAAGAAACACAGATTGTTTTATGTTTCCAGATAATTATCTTGCTCCTTTTGCTGCAATTTCTCACTCTTTCAAAAATTATTAAATTTAACACTCACTACAAATCTGGACTGAAAACTTCAGTGAAAACAAGGAGCTAAAATAGATAGCACTGCATGTGGTTTAAATTCTGTGATTAACTAAACAAGAATTCTTTTTCTCAAGAAATAAATATAAATGCAATGATGACATTTGCAAAAACATGATAAATAGATTGAGCAATTCAGTAAATATTAATTTGAGTTCACTGTGTGAGGTACTATGTTTATATATGAGAGTTATATAGTTAGATATAAAAATGTGTTCTGAATAAAATATACTTATCTATCTTGCCTTATTTCAGAAACTTTTTAAAATTAAAATTACATTTATCACTTACAATTCTTCACAAGGTTATGTTTTCAAATAATTTTCATGGAGAAATGCACATTAACTTCAAATTATCCTTACAACACACACAAGGTTAATAAAACGGTTAAACAATAGCCCCAAATCTTTGCAGTACGTTTTGGAATAAGAAATTCAGACATTTCATAAGTTTTACAGTTATCTTATGTTTTATCAGGAAAAACACTATTTTTATTTGTTTTGTTTTGAAAGGATTATTTAGAGGATCATGATAGTGGTTCTGGGCACACATTTGAATAAAAGAAATCAAGTAATAGATTCTATTAATTTTCCTAGATCTTTCCAATTTTATGTATCTAAAGCCTGCTTTTATAGAACAGTTTTTTCACACAGTAAGTTTGTAGGATTTTTCACTAGAGTAAGAAAATATTTTCATTTTCAGTTGTAATCATAGATTTTAAATGCACAGCTCCCCAATTTATATTATTCTCTAACATTCAGTATTGATAAATCAAGATCTTATAGTTTTAAAACATCACTTCTTAGACACTTGCACTAAAATCTTTCAAAAGTTATTCTGTATATGCCTTCATGGCATATGCACATATGGTCAAAATATACATGGATAACTCAATCAAAAAATCTATTAGGTATATTCACCACTTATTAGTCATATAATTGAACTAAAACATAAAATTCTTAAGAAATTTTTCAATTAACTGAAAAAAAAATTGTGTTTTTATGGCTGTATTTTTTCTATTTTATATTTTTCTCAAATATTTTTTATTGTACAGATAATTTTAACTCATGAACTTTATTAACTTTTATATAAAAACTAATAATCTATCAGTTAGGATCTCAGGAGGCATAAACTGGCAGAATA
This sequence comes from Homo sapiens, assembly GCF_000001405.40. Classification (NCBI taxonomy): domain Eukaryota; kingdom Metazoa; phylum Chordata; class Mammalia; order Primates; family Hominidae; genus Homo; species Homo sapiens. Next base: position 188,350,535 of record NC_000001.11, on the reverse strand, counting down.
TTATTATACAAAATATTAACTACTTGCAAACGAAAAAGGCCAAATGTGAATACGGAGGGATCATAGAGTTAGTAATTTTAGAAAACAGCTTCCACTCCTAGCACAGAAGAATAAAGAGAAGAAGTTATTAAAATTATGCAGTGTAAAAGAAGATTCCTTCTGGAGCTGGAATCCAGACTGCTGAGAAGTTGTGGCTGGCACAGGTATCTCTGAAGAGCATGATGGGGCTTGTTCTGGAATGATGGACAAACTGCAAACTGCAACCAATTGTTGCTGCTGTAATCAAGTGTTTCTGGCAGAATGAATAGCCACTGCTATGTTATGTTGACATTGACAGAAACTGGAAGCAAATGGAAAAGAGTGTGTCTGTTGCTTTCTTTCCACTATTCCGTTGTCCCTTTAGAGCCCTCAACTGGTATCCCCTAACACTAAGCCAGTATTACAAAAATAGTATAAGAGTGTAAGTCTGGAATTGAGAAGCAGAAGTTGAATAAGCAGCAGAAATGAAAAACAACTGCTAATTTCTAATATATATTGGATTCTAGGAGTTCATAATAGAATAGGAGGTAAAATGAACAGTGGAAAGGTCAGTTGTATCAGAGTTATAGTTTGAGTTGCCTGGACAATTGAGACAGAGATGGACTCTAGTGTACAGAATATTAAGGAGCATCCTTGAGACAAAAACTTGTGCAAGATTGTAGGAGAAAGTAAGAGAGGCAGAGAGAAATCAGTTTGAGATACACCCTTAGGAACTCCACAGGAAGCTTTGAAACTAAAGTGGTCATTCAGTGTTGCCCCAAGTAGGACCACGGCGGCAAGATCTATAAACTCCCTCATCAGTCAGTAATGATGTGGATTACCCTGGGAAAAGATGTGACTTTGTGCAATCTCTTCAACTCAGGCAATCTCTAAGAGGGCGTATGATTTCTCTTGTTGGCTGGTTTCCTATAACAATCCCAACAGTTGGGGTAACAGTTCTTAATTGACTAATCCAGGTGGCAAATTATGATGTCCACCAAAGTCAGAATAGCTATTGAAGGCATTTGTAGTAATTCCGACTATCCAAAAAATATGACATGAAGATGGGAATGTGGTTAAAGTAATAGCTACAATTTAAAATAGTGACAACACCAAATTTTGGAAAGGATGCAGAGAAATTGAATCACTCATGCAATACTCGTGGCAATGTAAAATAGTAAAACCACACCAAAAAGCAGTTTGGCTGTTTTTAAAAATAAAACCAAACATAAAATTTTCATAGTACCCAGAAAATTAAGTTTTAAACATTTACTCCAGATAAATGAAAGCTTATGTTGAAATAAAATCTGTATGAGAACTTGCAGCAGTTTAATTTGTGTGCAATAGCCAAAAACTGGAATTGTCCCACATGTACTTCCAAAAGTGATTGGCGAAACAAACAGTGGTACATTTACACCATGGGATAGTACTCAAAAATAGAAAAGGAATGAAATATTCTTACACATCATCACTGGGAGAATCTCCATAGAGATAGGCTGAGAGGGAAAAAAAGCTAACTCCAAAATCTTACATAATGTTTGTTTCTATTTATATAGTATTTTTGAAATGAAGATAGTTTAGAAATGAATTACAGTGTAGTACTTGTCAGCGGTTGGGGACCAAGGATGAAGAAAGTGTTGAGGGGTGGGTCTAGCTATAAAAGAGAAATAGAGAAATCACTGTGGTGTTGGATCTGTTCAGTATCTTGATTTTCATGGGATACAAAACCTACAGGCAATAAAATTGTATAGAACTTATTATACCCTCCCACACATGCATAAGTATAAGTAAATCTGGAGAAATCTGAAAATGATTGGTGGATTGCCTCAGTTCCAATATCTTGGTTGAGATGGTAGTCTATAGATTTTCACAATGTTATTATTGGGAAAACCTGGAGAAAATGTACAAGGGATCTCTCTGCAGCATGTTTTACAACTGCATGTAAATCTACAATGATCGCATTAATCATTTCAGTGAAAAAAGACTGACAGAATAATATAGATTAAAATGCTTATGTCTGTACCTGAGAGATATCAGTGTGAGATGGAAGAATCAGAAAAGAAATAAAAGAAATATTGTTCTTAGATATCAGCCCATTAGCTCGACAGGTAGACATGGAGCAAGAATGCAAACATATACATACACTTGATTACTATACCTGGTATACCCCATTACAAAGACAGACTTATTCACCTAGTTCTTGATAGAGTCCAGGAACTTCTCTTGGAAGTCTGATTCTTCTTTGCCTTATTCATCTTTTTACAGGCCTCCCCACAGCATTCACCGTACCTTGCATACAGTCCCTAATTTCGAAGTGTTTGTTGACTGGATATGTAATTTAATCATTGGGTTCACTGATACAGAGTAGTGTGCAAGTTTATTGCATGATAGACTGAAAAGGATGGAGTATTTTGTATGCTTAGTAAAGTAATAGAACCGAAATGAAGAGTAACAGTAACAAAAGTTTGACTGGAAATCATTGTGAGACTGAAAATTAATTCAAATTAAAATTTTGGAGGACTTTAATTGATAAGTCTTTAAGAGATACTCATCAGAGATTTTAGGGAAGGATATACTATGCATTACCTTATACACATGCAGAGAAAAAAATCAATTTAGTGTACTAAGACTTGATTCTCTTCAGTTTCTGATCTAAATTCAGTTTTACCATCTATGCAGTTGTTTATGACTCTGGAGACATTTTTTATTCCTCCTTCTCTTTTACCAAATATGTCAAATTTGTCTACAATCCCTTTTGATATTACTTCCAAATTGTTTCTTTATCTTCATTTCTACGGTCTGTATTCTAATTTCAGTTCTCATTATCTTCAGCTAAACTATAGCGATGATCTCTAGACTGGTATTCCAGTTGATCGCCTCCTCAGCTTCAAATCTATCTATTTTGCCACCCACAGGTTTAGTTTTCCAAAACACAGATTGGATAAAGTTATACTACTGTTCAAAGAGTTTCAACAGCAAAAAAACAAAAAACAAAAAAAACCTCCAAACTTTTCATCAAAGTATTCAAGGCTTTGGCTAGTTTGGTTTCAATTTGTTTTTCTAGCAGGAATGCTTGTAAATGTTTTTATGCTATAACACTCCCAATAGGTCAGCATGCCAAGCTGTCTTCCAAAAAAAAAAAACCATGACTTTATTTTATCATTACGTCTGTTGAAATGCTCTTCCATATATGTGGTAATTGCATTCTTTACAGTTGATCTCAAAAATAAACTTTCATTATATTCCTTTCAAAATTTATTGGTTCTTTCAAAAGTTATTTTGTTTATATATTTCTCTTAAATAGAAAGAAATATGGTTTTAAATGTTTCTACCTCCTACATTTGATTTTTTAATTATGTGAGAGTAGAGATCAGGTCTTATTCATCCAGTGTCTGAAAGGTTTACTTTTCACTGAATGGACCTGAATTCATTCATTCTTTAAATTATTATTATTGGGGAACTACCAATTGCTAGTCCTATGTCCCCATACTGGAGAGCCAATAATGAATAAGGGATCAATCCCTGCTTTTATGCAGCATTCATTCCAGTGGCAGAGACAAGCAGTAATAAATAAACATGCAGTCACCTGTCAGATACTGAAAAGTGCTATGAAGAAATAGATAATACTGGATGGAATTTATGTATATCAGCAGTTAAAACATTTTTTATTGAAGTCAAATTGATATGTAAATATATCTGGGAATGTGTTTTAAATGTGCTTTTAGTATCTAGTAACAGCATAACTAACACAAATTTTGTGACTGCTAGCTGTGGATTTTGAAAGGGATATTTCAAATGGGTGAAAAACTCTCAGCAATCATACCGGTAAAACAACATAATGAAGCAGACAGAAACTGTCAGATTCTAATGCTCTTTTTCCCATTATTGGAATGCCTTTTTAATTTAGAATATAATATGGAAATACTGATCAAATTATCTTTAGAACTTTTGCCTCATATTGCTATAATTACACTATGTTAGACTAAAAGCATTTTGAAAAAATAGTGTAGAGTGGCCTGAAGATTTAAGGACTATGAAAAGAAACTCTTCAGGGTATCAAAAGTTTTAAAAAAGAGGTTTCAGAGGCAGAGGAAGATGGTGGAACAGAAAGCTTCACTGATTGTAGCCCCTACAAGGACACCATGTTAACAACTATCTACACGGAAAAAAACACCTTTTATAAGAGCCAAAAATAAGGTGAGCACTCACAGTACTGGGTTTTTACTTCATATCACTGAAAGAGGCACTGGGGAGATAAGAAAATACAGTCTTTAATCACTGACGCCATCCCTCCACTACCCCTGACAGTAGAGGCATGGTGCGGAGAGCATCTCTGGGTGCTGGGGGAGAGACAACACAGAAATTGTGAGGCATTGAAGTCAGCGCTATGCTATTAGATCAGAAAGGAAAACCAGACCAAACTTAGCTAATGACTGCCCAGAGAGGGAGCATTTAAACCAGCCCTGGCCAATCCCTGTGGACTGAACTTGAGTGCCCACAAACCTTGCCACCAACAGCCAAAGTGCTCTTGGTCTCCAGTAAACTTGAAAGGCAGCCTAGGTTATAAGGACTGAAACTTTTAGGTGAGTCCTGGGGCTGAACTGGGCCCAGAGACAGTGGACTGGGGGTTAGGGGGGAAAGTTCCATACTGAGACACTAGCTGGGGAAGCCAAGGGAGTGCTGGCATCACCCTTCTCCTAATCTCAGGCTGCATAGCTCATGGCTACAAAAGAGATTCTTTCCTTCTACTTGAGGATAAGAGAGAGAAGAGTGGGGGGGACTTTGTCTTGAAACTTGGATACAAGCTCAGCAATAGCAGGACAGGGCATTGGTCATACTCATGAGGCCCCCATTTCAGGCCCTAGCTCCCAGATGACATTTCTAGACACATCCTGGGCCAGAAGGGAACCTGCTGCTTTAAAGAAGAGAATCCAGTCTTCTCAGCTTTCATCACCTTCTAACTGAAGAGCTCTTGGGCTCTGGATAGCCAACAGAGATACCCAGGTACTACATTGAAGACCTTAGTGATCCTTTGAGACTTGCTGGCCTCAGATGAGACTCTGCACATTACCAGCTGTGGTGGCTATGGGACAAAACTCCTTCTGTTTGAGAAAAGCAGAGGGAGAAGTAAAGGGGACTTTGTCTTGCACCTTAGCTACCAACACCACCACAGTGGGGTAGGGTGCCAAGTAGGCTTTTGGGGTGGGATTTCTGTACCTGCCTTGGGCATGAAGGGTGAGTCCTAAGCCAGGCAGCATTCACCACAAGCTGGCTTAACAGATTTGGAGCATTAAAAGAACATCACTGGTAGTCTGGCAGTACTCCTTGTGGCCAGTGGTGGTGGTGGCTATGGGGTGAGGCTCCTCTGCCTTGGAGAGGAAACAGAAGAGTGGGAAGGTGTATTAGTCAGGGCTCTCTTAGACGGACAGAACTAATAAGATATATATACATATATATATATATATATACACTCACACATATATATACATATATATATACACACACACATATATATACACATATATATACACATATATATAGTGTAAGTTAATTATATGTGTATATACATACACACACACACACACACACATATATATATGTGGGAAAAATAAGCAAGTACTACTTAAGGACAGACCAATAGAATATATATATATATATATATATATTATATATATAATATGATTGGACTATATATATGTGTGTGTGTGTGTGTGTGTATGTGTGTGTGTGTATGTGTATGTATGTGTGTGTGTGTGTATGTGTATGTATATATATATATATATATATATATAGTGTGTAAGTTAATACAGAAGATATACGGGAGTTAACAGACCTTATTAACACAGGGTCCCAAAATAGGGTATCTGCAAGCTGAGGAGGAAGGAGAGCCAGTCCAAGTCCAAAAACTGAAGACCTTGGAGTCCAATGTTTGAGGTCAGGAAGCATCCAGCATGGGAGAAACTTGTAGTAGGCTGAGAGGCTAGGCCCGTCTCTCCTTTTCACGTATTTCTGCCTGCTTTATATTCACTGGCAGCTGATTAGATGGTGCCCACTCATATTAAGGGTGGGTCTGTCTTTCCCAGCCCGTTGACTCACATGTTAATCTCCTTTGGCAACACCCTCACAGACACAGCAGAATCAATACTTTGTATCCTTAAATCCAATCAAGTTGACACTCAGTATTAACCATCACAGAAGGATTGTATCTAGTGGTTTCAGTGCCTGCTCAGGCACAATACAATAGAATATCAGGTAGATTTCTAAAGGTTTTGACTCCAGTCCCTGACTTCCAGATGGCACTTCTGGACTCAAATGTGGCTTAGGGAGCTTTGCTGACTTGAAGATAAAGACACAAGCCTGTCTGGCTTTGCCACCTGCTGATAGTAGAGCCCCAGAGCCTTGAGTAAATATAGGAAGTAGCCAGGCAGTGGTTACCGCCTTGGGTGAGACATGACACTGTGCTGGCTTCAGTTGTGACCCAGCAGAGTCATAGTGTTGGTGGCCACAGGGGTGCTTTTGTCACTCCACCCCCATATTTAGGTGGCTCAGAAGAGAGATAGAGGCTACATGTTTGGAAGAAGGTAAGGAAAGAGAAAAAGAGTCTCTGTCAGGTAATCCAGAGAATTCTCTCGTATCTTGTTCAAGACTATCAAGGTGGTACTTCTACGAATCCACAAGGGCCATAGTGTTCTTGTCTTGGGGGACCCCTAAAGCACATATAGATTAGATCACAACACTCAAGTCTTTTCAAATGTCTGGAAAGCCTTTGCAAGAAAGACAGCTACAAATAATCCCAGACAGTGGAGACTACAGTAAATACCTAACTTTTCTATGCCCAGACACTAAGAACATGTTAGCATTAACACCATTCAAGAAAACATGACCTCACCAAATGAACTAAATAAGGCACCAGGGACCAATCCTGGAGAAACAAAAATATGTGATCTTCCAGACAGAGCATTAAAACAGCAATGTCAGCCAGGCACAGTGGCTCACATCTGTGAGCCCAGCACTTTGGGAGGACAAGGTGGGTGGATCACCTGAGATCAGGAGTTCGAGACCAGTCTGGTCAACATGGCAAAACCCCATCTCTACTAAAAATAAAAAAAATTAGCTGGGTGTGGTGGCAGAGGCCTGTAATCCCAGCTACTCAGGAGGCTGAGGCAGGAGAATTGCTTCAACCCGGGAGACAGAAGTTAAAGTGAGCCAAGATCATGCCATAGCACATCAGCCTGGGTGAAAAGAACGAAACTCTGCCTCAAAAACAAACAACCAAACAGCAACAACAAAAACAAAAATGGCTGTGTTGAGGAAACTCAAAGAAATTTAAGATAACACAGAGAAGAAATTCAGAATTCTATCAGATGAATTTAACAAAGATTGAAATAATTTTTAAAAATCAAGCAGAAATTCTGGAGCTGAAAAATGCAATAGGAATACTGAAGAATGCATTGGAATCCTTTAATATTATGATCGATCAAGCAGAAGAAAGAATTAGTGTGCTTAAAGCCAGCCTATTTGAATATACACACTCAGAGGAGATAAAAGAATAAAAAACATTGAAGGATCCCCATAAATCTAGAAAATAGCCTCAAAAGGGCAAATCTAAGATGTATTTGCCATACAGAGGAGGTAGAGAAACAGATAAGGGTAAAAAGTTTTTTCAAAGGGATAATAACAGAGAACTTAACCTAGAGAAAGGTATCAATATCAAGGTACAAGAAAATTATAGAACAATAAGCAGATTTAAACAAAAGAAGATGACCTCAAGGCATTTAATAAGTAAACTCCCAAAAGTCAAATATAAAGAAGCGGTCCTAAAAGCAGCAAGAGAAAAGAAACAAATAACATGCAATGAAGCTCCAATACATCTAGCAGCAAACTTTTCAATGGAAAACTTACAGTCCAGGAGATAGTGCCATGACATAATTAAAGTGCTGAAGAAAAAAAAAAATTTACCCTAGAGTAGTATGCCAGGGAAGATATACTGTATCAAACATGAAAAAGAAATACAGACTTTTCCAGACAAACAGAAGCTAAGGGATTTTATCAATACCAAACTCATCTTATACGAAATGTTAAAGGGTGTACTTCAATCGGAAAGAATAGGATATTAATGCACAATAAATAATAATCTGAAAGTATAAAACTTACTGGTAATAGTAAGTACACAGAAGATTATAACACTGTAACTGTGATGGGCAAATTACTCTTATCCTAAGTAGAAAGACTAAACAATGAACCAGTAAAAAGTAATAACTACAAAAACTTTTCAAGACATAGTACAATAAAATATAAATAGAAACAACAAAAATTAAAAAGTTGGGGGTAAACAGTTAAGGCAAGTTTTTGTTAGTTTTTTTTTTTTTTGAATGTTTGTTCATTAATGCAAACAGTGTGATGGTTAACACTGAGTGTCCACTTGATTGGATTAAAAGATATAAAGTATTGATCCTGGGTGTATCTGTGAGGGTGTTGCCAAAGGAGATTAACATTTGAGTCAGTGCTCTGTAAAAGGAAAACCCACCCTTAATCTGGGTGAGCACTGGCAAATTAGCTGCCAGCAAAGATAAAGCAGGTAGAAAAACATGAAAAGACTAGATTGGCCTAGCCTACTAGCCTACCTCTTTCTGTGGTGCTGGATGGTTCCTGCCCTCAAACATTGGACTCCAAGTTCTTCGTTTTTTGTTTTCTTTTTTTTTTTTTTGAGACAGAGTCTCACTCTGTCGCCCAGGCTGGAGTGCAGTGGCGTGATCTCGTCTCACTGCAAGCTCCCCGCCGGGTTCATGTCATTCTCGTGCCTCAGCCTCCCAAGTAGCTGGGACTATGGGCTCCAGCCACCACGCCCGGCTATTTTTTTGTATTTTTAGTAGAGATGGGTTTTCACTGTGTTAGCCAGGATGGTCTGGATCTGCTGACCTCATGATCTGCCCGCCTCAGCCTCCCAAAGTGCTGGGATTACAGGCGTGAGCCACCGCACCCGGCCAGTTCTTCAGTTTTTGGACTCCATCTGGCTCTCCTTGCTCCTCAGCTTGTAGACAGTCTATTGTGGGACCATGTGATCTTGTGAGTTAATACATAATAAACCCTCCTGTATACGTATATATCTGTCCTATTAGTTCTGTTCCTGTAGAGAACCCTGATTAATCAGATTTTGTTACCAGGAGTGGTTCTAGAAGAACAGAATATTAAGCATGACGTTTTTTTGTTAGTGTGGGGTTCTGGAGTTGGCTGCTTAAATATGATTAGACCCAAAAATGCTAAGGGCTCTACTTCTAATAGTGTGAAGAGCACTGATAGACTGTGGTGTGAACTGTTTAGAGAGTTATGCAAAATGAATGCATTTGACAGTCATGATTCACTCCTTGTGAGAGACAAGGAGTTTTCTGACTCTCTGCATAATACCTTTGACCATGTGTGGAGAACCAAGGAACATAATGAAGCTGGTTGTTTGCTCCTAAGTTCAATGGACAAAATGATAGAAAAAAAATGATGAACTCAGATATTCTAACTCCTGGCTTCAGAAGCAGATACTGAGCCTCAAATCTGTTAAGATTGCCCTGAGTGAGAGTCTTTTTTTTTTTTACACTTTAAGTTTTAGGGTACATGTGCACAATGTGCAGGTTAGTTACATATGTATACATGTGCCATGTTGGTGTGCTGTACCCATTAACTTGTCATTTAACATTAGATATATCTCCTAATGCTATCCCTCCCCCCTCCCCCCACCCCACAACAGGCCTTGGTGTGTGATGTTCCCCTTCCTGTGTCCATGTGTTCTTATTGTTCAATTCCCACCTATGAGTGAGAACATGGGGTGTTTGGTTTTTTGTCCTTGCGACAGTTTACTGAGAATGATGGTTTCCAGCTTCTCCTTTAAAGAAGGAGCCAAAATTGTGCAAAACAGACACAAGCTCTTATTGTGTGAGTGCTGACCTACAATAAAAGATGCATGCACAGCCTCGCCGGGTGGCTACTGTTAAAGTGAGGGCATTGATTGGAAAAGAATGGGACCCTGCAACTTGTAATGGGGACATGTGGGAGGACACTGATGAAGCTGGGGACACTGAGTTTGTAAAATCTGATGAAACTTTTTTTGCCAAAAGGAACAGCTTCCCCATCCCCAGCAGGGGCAACATCCCCTCCCTGACCCATGCTGCCATCAGCCTTTCCACCTTTGCCTGAGGAGGCAAACCCTGTACTGCTTGAGGCAACAGTAATGGCATGGCCTCACCTAAGGCAGCTGCCAGGCAAGATAATGTTGATTCTCCTCAGGAGCCACCCCCAACACTCCTGTTTTCTTCTAGACTTACAACTAGACTAATGTCCCGGCGAGCCCCTAGAGGTGATGCTCAACATGTGACACATGAGGAGGTGCACTACACTCAAAAATAATTGCTTGAGTTTTCTAATTAATATAAGCAGAAATCTGAAGAATAGGCATAGAAATGGATATTAAGGTTGTGGGATAAGTGTGGAAGGAACAAAGGGTTGTATCAGGCTGACTTCACTGATTTACGCCCACTGAGCAGGGACTCTGCATTTAATATTGCAGCTAGGGGAGTTAATAAAAGGTTCTAATAGTTTATTTGCTTGGTTAGCTGAAATATGGATTAAAAGATGGCCCACTATAAGTGAGCTGAAAATGCCTGATTTCCCTTGGTTTAATGTAGAGGAAAGGATTCAAAGGCTTAGGGAGATCGGGATGTTGGAGTGGATTAGTCACTTTAGACCTACTCCTCCCAGCTAAGAGGGCCCAGAAGATATACCCTTGGCCAATGCCTTGTGAAATAGATTTGTGAGGGCAGCACCTGCATCTTTGAAGAGCCCTGTAATCACTCTTCTCTCTATGTCAGAACTGTCGGAAGTGCAGTCACTCAAATACAAAATTTAAATACAATGGGAATAATTGGATGCCGAGGTGGCAGGGGCCAAGTGGTGGCACTTGACTATCAAAAGCAAGGTGGACGTAGACACAATAATTGACAACAGAGGCAAAGCAGCAATCAGAATATTCTGACTCATGTAGAGCTCTGGCATTGGCTAATTTATCACTGTGTTCTTAGAAGTGAAATTGATAGGAAGCCTACTGCATTTCTACTTAATTTATATATAAGCAGAAAACATCTAGGTAGAATGGACAAAGGACTATTGAATTATAAAAACAGAGAATCATGGCTCCCCAATCAATTTCCAGACTTGAGGCAGTTTACAGACACAGAACCCCCTGAATGAAGGGGAGGCAGGGTCCCCTTGAGGAAGGACCGCACTACACTACCAACAATGTATGCTGTTAATGTTTCTTCAATACTTCCCCAAGGAGACCTTTGGCCTTTTATCAGGGTAACTATGCACTGGGGAAACGGAAATCATTAGATATTTTAGGGACTACTGAACACTGGTTCTGAGCTGACATTGATTCCAGGAGACCCAATACGTCATTGTGGTCCTCCAGTTAAAGTAGGGGTTGTGGAGGTCAGATAATTAATGGAGTTTTAGTTCAAGTCTGACTTTCAGTGGGTCCAGTGGGTCCCTGGACTCATCCTGTGGTCATTTCCCCAGTGCCAGAATGCATAATTGGCATGGACATATTTAGCACGTAGCAGAAGCCACACATTGGCTCCCTGACTGTTAAGGTGAGGGCTACTATGGTGGGAAAGGCCAAATGGAAGCCATTAGAGCTGCCACTACCTAGAAAAATAGTAAATCAAAAATAATATTGCATCCCTGGTGGGATCACGGAGATTAGTGACACCATCAAGGAGTTGAAAGATGCAGGGGTGGTGATTCCCACCTCACCGTCATTCAACTCTCCTATTTGGCCTGTGCAGAAGACAGATGGATCTTGGAGGATGACAGTGGATTATGGTAAGCTTACTGAAGTGGCGACTCCAATTGCAGCTTCTGTACCAGATGTGATTATTGCTTGAGCAAATTAAGGAATATCCTGGTACCTGATATGCAGCCATTGACTTGGTAAATGCCTTTTTCTCCATTCCTGTCCCTAAGGCCCACCGGAAGCAATTTGTCTTCAGGTGGCAAGGGCAGCAATATATCTTTACTGTCCTACCTCAGGGGCATATCAACTCTCCGGCTTGCTGTCATAATGTTATTTGCTTTTCACTTCCACAAGGTATCATATTGGTCCATTACATTGATGACATTATGCTGATTGGATCCAGTGAGTGAGAAGTAGCAAATACACTGGACTGATTGGTGGTACATTTGCATGCCAGAGGATGGAAAATAAACCTGACTAAAATTCAGGGACCTTTTACCTCAGTAAAATTTCTAGGGGTCCAGTGGTGTGTGGCCTGTCAAGATATTCCTTCCAAGGTGAAGGATAAGTTGCTGCATTCGGCCCTCCTACAACCAAGAAAGAGGCACAATGCCTAGTGGGCCTATTTGGATTTTGGAGGAAACATGTTCCTCATTTGGGTGTGTCACTCTGGCCCATTTATCCAGTGACCTGAAATGCTGCTAGCTTTGAGTGGGGTCCAGAACAGGAGAAGACTCTGCAATAGGTCTGGGCTGCTGTGCAAGCTGCTCTGCCACTTGGGCCATATGACCCAGCAGATCCAATGGTGCCTGAGGCATCATAGGCAGATAGGGATGCTGTTGGGAGCCTTAGGCAGGCCCCCATAGGTAAATCAAAGAAGGGCCTCTAGAATTTTGGAGGAAGGCCCTTCCATCTTCTCCAGATAACTACTCTCCTTTTGAGAGATGGCTCTTGGCCCGTTACTGGGTTTTGGTGGAAACTGAATATTTGACTATGGGTCATCAAGTCACCATGCAACCTGAACTGCCTGTTATGAACCAGATGCTTTCTGACCTATCTAGCCATAAAGTGGGCCATGCACAGAAGCATTCCATCATGAAATTGAAGGGGTATATAAGTGATCGGACTTGAGCAGGTCATGACGGCACAAGTAAGTTACATGAGGAAGTGACTTAAATGCCCATGGTCTCCATTCATTCCACCCTGCCTTCTCTCCCATAGCCTGCACCAGTGGCCTCATGGGGAGTTCCCCTATGATCAGTTGACAGAGGAAGAGAAGACTAGGGACTGGCTCCCAGATGGTTCTGCACAATATGCAGGCACCACTCAAAAGTGGACAGCTGCAGCACGGCAGCCCCTTTCTAGGACATCCCTGAAGGATAGCAGTGAAGGGAAACCTTCCCAATGGGCAGAACTTCAATCAATGCACCTGGTTGTGCACTTTACATGGAAGGAGACATGGGCAGATGTGCGATTATGTACTGATTCATGGGTTGGAGCCATAGTTGCCCTGGATGGTCAGGGACTTGGAAGAAACATGATTGGAAAACTGGTGATGAAAAAATTTGGGCAAGAGGTATGTGGATGGACCTGTCTGAGTGATCAAAAACTGTAAAGATATTTGTATCCCATGTGAGTGCTCACAAATGTGTGTCCTCGGCAGAGGAGTGTTTTAATAATCAAGTGGATAGGATGACCCATTCTGTGGACAACAATCAGCCTTTCCCCAGCCTCCCATCCTTGCCCAGTGGGTTCATGAACAGTGGTCATGGTGGCAGGGATGGAGGTTATGCATGGGCTCAGCAACATGGACTTCCACTCATCAAGGATGACTTGGCTACAGCCACTGCTAAGTGCCCAATTTGCCAGTAGCAGAGACCAACACTGAGCCCTCAATATGGCACAAATCCTTGGGGTGATCAACCAGCTACTTAGTGGCAGGTTGATTATATTGCACTTCTTCCATCATGGAAAGCGCAGAGGTTTGTCCTCAATGGAATAAACACTTACTCCAGATATGGGTTTGTCTGTCCTGCACGCAATGATCCTGCCAAGACTACCATCCATGGACTCATGGAACGCCTTATCTACCACCGTGGTATTTCACACCACATTGACTCTGAACAAGGCACTCACTTTGCAGCTAAAGAAGTGTGGCAGTGGGCTTGTGCTCATGAAATTCACTGGTCTTACCATGTTCCCTGTCATCCTGAGGCAGCTGATTTGATAGAATGGTGGAATGGCCCTTTGAAGTCATAATTACAATGTCAACTAGGTGACAATAGGGGCAAAGTTTTCCAGAAGGCCACGTATACTCTGAATTGGCATCCAATATATGGTACTGTTTCTCCCATAGCAAGGATTTATGGCTCCAGGAATCAAGGGGTAAAAGTGTAAGCGGCACCAATCACCATCACCCCTAATGACCCACTAGCAAAATTATTGTTTTGCTTCCTGTTCCCATGACATTATGTTCTGCTGGCCTATAGGTCTTAGTTCCAGAGTGAGGAAAGCTGCCACCAGGAGACACAACAATGATTTCATTAAACTGGAAGTTAAGATTGCCACCTGGACAGTTTGGTCTCCTCCTACCTTTAAGTCAACAGGTTAAGAAGGGAGTTACAGTTTTGGCTGGGATGACTGACTGGGACTATCAAGATGAAATCAGTGTATTGTTTCACAACAGAGGCAAGGAATAGTATGCATGGAATACAGGAGATCCTTTAGGGCATCTCTTAGTATTACCATGCCCTGTGATTAAGGTCAATGAGAAACTACAACAGCCCAATCCAGGTAGTACTATAAATTGCCCAGACCCTTCAGGAATGAAAGTTTGAGTCACTCCACCTGGAAATAAAATCATGACCTGCTGAGGCACTTGCTGAAGGCAAAGGGAATACAGAATGCGTAGTAGAAGAAGGTAGTTATCAATACCAGCTACGACCACGTGACCAGCTGCAGAAATGACTGTAATTGTCATGAGTATTTCCTCCTTCTTTTTGTTAAAAATATGTTTGTGCATGTACACACTTGCACTAATAAAATATCCTCATTTTATTTCATTTTTCCTTTATCATGCAACGTAAGATTTATTGACTTCATGTCAGCATTTTTAACTGTAATAGCGTAAAGTTAACAATACTTTGTTAACTTTTGGGGATTCGTGCATTTCTGGTTGTATGAAGGATAGTTTTATTATGTTAGGTGTATTTATGACATTATTTTTGTCTTTATTTGAAGATTATGTATGATCTCAGGAGATGTGTATAGGTTCAAGTTGACAAGGGGTAGAACTGTGATGGTTAATACTGCGTGTCAACTTGATTGGATTGAAAGATGCAAAGTACTGATCCTGTGTGTGTCTTGAGGGTGTTGCCAAAGGAGATTAATATTTGAGTCAGTGGGCTGGGAAAGGAAGACTCACCCACAATCTAGGTGGGCCCCATCTAATAAGCTGCCAGTGAATATAAAGCAGGCAGAAAAATGTGAAAAGAATAGACTGGCCCAGCATCCCAGCCTATATCTTTCTGTGGTGCTGGATGCTTCCTGCCCTAGAACTCTGGACTCTAGGTTCTTCAGTTTTTGGACTCAGACTGGCTCTTCTTGTTCTTCAGTTTGCAGACAGCTTATTCTAGGACCTTGTGATCATGGGGGTTAATACTTAATAAACTATATATATCTCTTAATAGTTCTGTCCCTCTAGAGAACCCTGATTAATACAAATACTGTTGTTATTAGGTTAAAATAATGGGTTATAAAATAGTACTTGAAAGCCTCATGATAACCTCAAACCAAAAAACATACAATGGATACACAAAAAACAAAAAGCAATAAACTAAATTATAACACTAGAGAAAATTATCTGCACTAGAGGAAGACAGGAATGATAGAGAAGAGGAAGAGAAGATCACAAAACAACCAAAAAATAAGAAAATGGCAGGAATAAGTCTTTACTTATCAGTAATAGCATAGAATGTATATGGCCTAAACACCCCAATCAAAAGACATAGACTGGTAGAAGGGATGAAAAAATAAGACCCATGAACTGTTGCTATAACAAACATATTTCACCTGTAAAGACACAAATAGACTGAAATTTAAAAAAAGAAAAAGATATTTTATGCCAATGGAAACCACAAAAGTGCAACAGTCACTATATTTATATCACACAACATAGATTTCGAGACAAAAACTCTAAAAAAGAGACAAAGAACATCACTATATAATGACAATGGGATCAATTCAGCAAGAGAATATAACAGTTATAAATATATATATGCATTCAACACTGGAGCACTCAGATATATATAGGAAATATTATTAGCACTAAAGAGAAAGCTAGGCCCCAATAAAATAATAGTCGCAGACTTCAGCTCTTATTTAGTATTAAGCAGATTTTCCAGAAAAAAAATCAACAAAGAAACATCAGACTTAATCTGCACTATAGATCAAATGGATCTAATAGATACTTACAGAACATTTCATGCAAGAGCTGCAGAATACACATTCTTTTTTTCAGCATATGGATCATTCTCAAGGATAGACCATATGGTAGATCACAAAATAAGTCTTAAAACCTTTAAAAATTTGAGGTAATATCAAGCATCTTTTCTAACCCTGATGGAACAAAACTAGAAATTAATGACAAGAAGAATTTTCAAAATTCTTTATGTATACAAATACATAAATATTAAACAATATGCTCCTGAATGACCAGTAGTTCAATAAATAAAGAAATAAATTGAAAATTTTCTTGAAATAAATGATAATCCCAACACAACATAAAAACTGATGGAATATAGCAAAAACAGTACTAAGAGGGAAGTTTATAGCTGTAAGTGCTTAAATTAAAAAAGAGAAAACATTTCAAATAAACAATCTAACAATGCATCTTAAAAATGAGAAAAGCAAGAGAAAATCAAACCCATAATTGGTACAAGAAATAATAAAGAACAGAACAGATATAAATGAAACTGAAATGAAATAATAAAACAACAGTACAAGAGATCAATGAAATAAGAAGTTGGCTTTTTGAAAAGTTCAACAAAATTGACAAACATTTAGCCATACTAAGAAAGAGAGAAGATTCACATAAATCAAATCAGAAATGTAAAAAGAGACATTACATCTGACACTGCAGAAATTCAAAGGATCATTAGTGGCTGCTATGACCAATTACATGCCAATAAATTGGAAAATCTAGAAGAAATGGAAAAATTTCTAGATATATACAACCTACCAAAATTGAACCAGGAAGAAATAAAAAAACCTGAAAAGATGAATATAAAGTAATGAGATAGAAACCATAATAAAAAGTCTTCCAGTAAAGGAAAGCCTGGGACCTGATGGCTTCACTGCTGAATTCTACTAAACATTTGAAAAACTAATACCAATCCTAATCAAATTATTCCAAAGAATAAAGGAGAGAATTCTATTAAACTCATTCTGTGAGGCCAGTGTTACCCTGATAGTAAACCAAACCAGGCAAAGTCATATCAAAAAAAAAAAGAACACTACAGCCCAATATCTCTGATGAATATTGATGCAAAAATTCTCAACAAAATACTAGCAAACTGAATTCAACAATACATTAGAAAGATCCTTCATCTTGACCAAGTGGGATTTATCCATGGCATACAAGGATGCTTAAAAAGAAGCATATCAATCTATGTGATACATCACATCAACAGAATAAAGGATTAAAAAGAATATGATCATTTAAACTGATGAAAAAAAGCATTTGATAAAATTTAATATACCTTCATGGTAAAAATCCTCAAAAAATCTGGATATAGGAAGAACATACCTGAACATTATAAAAGCCACATATGATAGATCCACAGCTAGTATCACACTGAATGGTATGAAAATGAAAACGTTTCCTCTAATATCTGGAACGCTACGAGGATGTTCACTGTTACCACTGTTATTC
This sequence comes from Homo sapiens, assembly GCF_000001405.40. Lineage (NCBI taxonomy): Eukaryota > Metazoa > Chordata > Mammalia > Primates > Hominidae > Homo > Homo sapiens. The sequence continues at coordinate 188,332,806 of NC_000001.11, read as the reverse complement.
AACAGAGCATTGGAAGTCCTAGCTAGAAAAATTAGACAAGAGAGATAAAAAGCGCATCCAAATCTGAAAGGAAGAAGTGAAATTATTCTTGTTTACAGATATATTATCTTGTATTTTGAAAAACCTAAACAAATCACCAAAAAAACTATTAGAACTGATAATCAAATTCAGTACAGTTGCAGGATACAAAATCAACATTCAAAATCAGTAGCATTTCTAAATGCCAACAGTGAACAATGTAAAAAAGAAATTTAAAAAAGTAATCCCAATTACGATAGCCATAAAAAAATTAAACACCTAGGAATTAACCAAATAAGTGAAAGATCTCTATAATGAAAACTATAAAACATTGATGAAAGAAATTGAAGAGGACACAAAAAATAGAAAAATATTCTATTTTCATGGATTGGGAGAATCAATATTGTTAAAATCCCCATACTACCCAATCTACAGATTCAATGCAATCCCTATCAAAATATCAATGATATTCTTCAATGACATAGAAAAAATAATTCCAAAATTTATATGCAAACACACAAAAAACAAGAATAGCTATTCTAAACTCTCCTAAACAAAAAGAACAAAAGAAGAGCTATCCAAAACTATCCTAATAATAATAATAAAAAAACTGGAGAAATCACATTACTGTCTTCAAACCATAGTAGAGTGATAGTAACCAAAACAGTACTATACTGCATAAAAACAGACACAAAGCCAATGGAACAGAATAGAGAATGCAGGAACAAATCCACACAACTACACTGAACTCATTTTCAGTAAAGGTCTTAAGAAAATGCACTAAGGAAAAGGCCGTCTTTTTAATAACTGGTTCTGGGAAAACTGGATATCCATATGCAGAAGAAAAGAACTGACCCCTATTTGACATATACAAAAATCAAATCAAAATGGATTAAAGACTTAAATCTAAGACCTCAAAACATGAAACTACACAAATAAAATATTGGGGAAAACCTCCAGGACACTGATCTGGGCAAAAATTTTTGAGCAATATGCCACAAGCACAGGCAAGCAAAGCAAAAATGAACAACTGAAATCATATTAGGTTTACGGCCAAGGATACAATCAAAGTGAAGTGACAACTCACACAATGGGAGAAAGTATTTGCAAACTACCTATCTCATAAGGGATTAACAACCAGAATGTATAAGGAGCTCAAACAGCTCTACAAGAAAAATCTAATAATCTGATCAAAAGATGGGCAAAAGAGTTAAGTAGATATTTCTCTATAGCAAACAGGCATATGAAAAGGTGCTCAACATCATTGATCATCAGAAGAATGCAAATCAAAGCTACAATGGGATAGCATCTCACCCCAGTTAAAATGGCTTGTATCCAAAAGACAGGCAATAACAAATGCTGGTGAGGATGTGAATAAAAGGAAACCCTAGTACACTGTTGGTAGAAATGTAGATTAGTATAAACACTATGGAAAGCAGTGTGTAGCTTTCACAAAAAAACTAAAATCCAGCAATCCCACACCAAAATATACACCCCAAATATCTGAAATCAGTATATCCAAAGGTGTCTGTACTTCCATGTTTATTGCAGCACTGTTCACAATAGCCAAGATTTGCAAGCAATCTAGTGTCCACCAACAGACAAATGGATACAGAAAATGTGATACATATACACGGTATTAGCCTGTTCTCATACAGATAATAAAGACATACCCAAGACTGGGTAATTATAAAAGAAAGACCTTTAATTGACTAACAGTTCCACATGGCTGGGGAGACCTCACAATCATGGCAGAAGGCAAGGAGGAGCAAGTCACACCTTAGACAGTGACACAGAAGAAAGAACTTGTGCAGGGGAACTCCTCTTTATAAAAACAACAGATCTCATCAGATTTATTCACTATCATGAGAACAGCACAGGGAAGACCCACCCCCTTGATTCAATTACCTCCCAATGTGTCCATCCCACAACACATGAGAATTGTGGGAGCTGCAATTCAAAATGAGATTTGGGTGGAGACACATCCAAACCGTGTCAACACAATAGAGTACAATTCAGCCATAGAAAGGAATAAGATACAGTCATTTGCTAAAACATGAATGAAACTGGAGATCATTATGTTAAGTGAAATAAACCCGGCACAGAAGGACAAACATTGCCTTTTCTCACTTATTTGTGGGATATAAAAACCACAACAATTTAACTCAGGGACATAGAGAGTAGAAAGGTGGTTACTGGCAGCTGGGAAGGGTAATGGGGTGGTGGTGGGGAAAGGTGGGGATGGTTAATGGGTACAAAAAGAACATAGGAAGAATGAATAAGATCTACCATTTGACAGCACATTAGGGTGACTATAGTCAATAATAACTTAATTGCATATTTTAAAATAAAGAGTATAATTGCATTGGTTGAAACTCAATGGATAAATGCTTGGATTGATGGATGCCTCATTCTTCATAATGGGCTTATTTCATACTGCATGCTTGTATGAAAACATCTCATATATTTCATACATAGATGCACCTATGATATACCTAAAAAACTAAAAATAAAAAAAGTATAAAGAGTATACTTGGTTATTTTAAACTTTGTATCAAATTTATATTTTGTTTGCCCTTGTTTTATTTTTATGTTGTTTCATTTTAAACACACTATTAAATAAGGACTGTGGGGATAACAAATCTTTTTGATAATTTTAATTTTTTATAATCATTCAGACTATAGAACTGGCTATTCTTTTAATCTGTGTATTTTTTATGATACCTGGATGTTATGTAAACACTTTTAAAGTGTTTTTTTCCATTTGACAATATAGAAATTCTGTTGTTATTATAAAACATTTTAATATTTACAGTGGGTTTTGTGGTATTAATGAGCAAGGATAGGCTTTTTTTAATAAGTACTATGGGCACTACATATTATAAAATTTTTAAATAGTACAGAAGGGCTTAGAATGAAAGGGTTCTTTGTTCTATCTTTCCTATTTTATTTATTAGTCAACTTATTTGTTTTTGGCAATTTGTGTTTTTCTCCTCTTCTGGAATAAACTTCTTAATGTAGGAAATACATATGTATTCTTGTTATTTAATTTATTATTAGGAGGCCTTATATATTGAATACTACCTACGAAATAGGAGGGGGAAGTATAGTACTTAGATTCCTCTTCTCAAATTTTAATGGTTATAACATTAGTTATTATAGAGGTTGATTTTCAAAAAATTAAATAATAAATGTAGTGATCCTAGAATATCTAAGATGTACTAGAATAAATAATGGAGCTGCCAATTTTAAATATGTCTCAATTATCTAATACCACAATATATTGTATAATAAACTCAATATTTAGGGGCTTAAAACAACAATCATTTATTATACCTACAAATCCAAAGAATGGCTAAGCTGTTCAACTGATCTTGGCTCAGCTTAGGTGGTTTTTCTGGTCTCTGTAGGACTCAATCACATATGTTGGATGGTATTGAGTAAGAAGATTCAGCTTGTTCCACGAATTTCCCATCTTTCAGAAGGTATATCTGAGCTTATTCTCATGATGGTAGCTGAAGTTCATGAGTGACAGTAGGAGATTTCAAGGCCTATTGAGAGCTAGTTTGGGAACTGACATATCTATGGTATTCTATTGGCTAAAACAAAACCCAAGGCCACCCAAATTCAGCGGTGGAATGCACAGTCTCCCTCTCTTGATTTTGAGGAGATGCAAACTCATTTTGCTGAAGTCATGGATACAAGGAGATGTGAAGAACTGGGGTGATTTTTCCTATTAATTTACCAAAATATGTTTTGAAAATAACCCATATAAGCAAACATCTGATGGTCTCATCAGAATTAGAAAAGAAGAATAATTTTGCAATATACTTTTTTATTTAAAAAACTGAAATAAAGTTTTTTTACTACTTTTTAAACCTCTTATTTAAGTGGACCCATCTGGAATGGAGATTACACCTCTCAAATCGCTATACATAATATAGACACCAACAAAATATGGCTATGAATAAAACTTTATCTCTCATGCCAAACTTTCCCCTAAAGTACAGAACTTCAATGATTATAATATATTTAAAACTAGATGGGGGTGCAACAAGAAAGAGTTCATTAAATCCCAATTTAATACTCTCTTATTTTTGTTCCCATAACATCAGTATATGGGGATGCTATTTACAGAGATTTGTAAAATATAATGGTGATTAGCCATTCACATACATAATTCATGAGGACAAGTTGCAAACATTTCTGGTACATGAAGATAATCTATTTTTCATTTGCATTTTTTCAATGACTATGCTGAAAAAATTTTCATTTTTTTGATGCCCCAAAATAATCAGATTTTATATCTGCATATCATTAATCATAAATAATATCTATTCAAGTAATTTATTCACTTAAGTGTACTATAGATTTAGAAGACCAGTGATCTACTTATAACAATTATAATAGTTATCATGAATGCATGTGAAATTCATCAAATCGCAGAGGTCAGAGAATCAAAATTGGCCATTTTTCTTATTGATCCATCTGTGACAATGTTAAATGGCTAAAAATAACTTTGTAAGGAGACTCATATAACGGACAGTTTACCAAAGTCAGTCCAACTAGTATAATCAGACTCTGACCACATTCTTTAGAGCATTCATGTGAGTTACAATTTCTGTAACCTTGGTATTTTATCTGTTGAAAGGTAATAAAATCACAAATTAAAAAAATATAGTGAAGATAAATCTATTTGAATAACTTAATTATAATTACACATTTTTATACACCCTCATGAGAATGTTTTACTTTTAACAGAAGGTGAACTTCTGATACAGACGGAAAGTGTTTTTGTAGTGTAGGTGTAAGAAGATGTAAAGTAATCAGGGTCTTACTCGGCAATGGTTTCAGAGACAGATTGGAAGCACAATTATGCAAGGCAAAGCCTCAAATACTTAACTCAGATAAATTAAGAGGGAAAATACTTAACTCAGATAAATTAAGAGGGAATAGAGGTAGGAAAGAGTAAAGTTTATGATAAGAACTGTGATTATGGGTAGGTTAAATGGGACATTACTAATGAAGATTTTGTTGGGAGCCCAGAAGACCAAAACATCTATCACCTCTCTATTTAATTCGTTTATGTCTATAACACTAGTAATATGCCATTCTTCTGTTATTCAAACTATTTCAGCTTTTTCTTTTAATCCACCGCCATGGAAATGTCATTTGAATGGCAAAGAAATCATCCATTTAAAGATGCTTGTAAAAAAGTTATACAAATTGTAAACAAGAAACATATCTTTGAAAATCAGGTCTTGTAATTGTTCAAATTAAGTTATATAACTTCAACTTACTTTTCTATTATTTATTTTCTATTCATTCATTAAGGTGTACATAGTCTACAAACTTAAAACAAAAGGAATGCTCAACATACAAAATTTTATTTTAGCCTAAACATTGGTGCCAGATAACAAAACGTACATGAAGTGTTCCACACAGTGTTAAAATTATGTTCAAAAATAGCTAGCATTCAATTGATACTAAATGTGAATAAGGCTTTAGGCATTACATAAATTGTTTTATTTATTTATTTATTTATTTATTGAGATGGAGTCTCGCTCTGTAGCCTAGGCTGTAGCGCAGTGGCACGATCTCGGCTCACTGCAAACTCCGCTTCCCAGGTTCAAGCAATTCTCCTGCCTCAGCCCCCTGAGTAGCTGGGATTACAGGTGCACACCACCATGCCTGGCTAATTTTTGTATTTTACTAGAGACGGGGTTTCACCATGTTGGTCAGGCTGGTCTCGAACTCCTGACCTCAGGTGATCCACCGGCCTTGGCCTCTCAAACTGCTGGCATGACAGGAATGAGCCACCACGCCCGGCACATAAATTATTTTATAACAATAGTAACAAGTTAGTTAAAAATATTGTATTTTATGCTGTCAAGTTCAGTTGTTTTCATATTAAATAGAACTAAAAATTCCAATCACTAAAATGAGATGATGATATGACTTAAAGTTACCAATATTAACTGTTAACAAAGAGAAAGGAGAGAGAAAATTCCATGGGAATGTAAGAATATTCATCTGGGAATAGAGAAAGCTTGCTTCCACTGAAAAAAATTTAATAAAAATAGAGGATAAAACAAAATATCTTAAAATACTCAGTGTTTTGATTTAAACTATTAAAAATTGGCATGAGGTAAAACAATTTTTGAACAGAAATAATTTTGGAGCTTTTCTGTTTCAAAATTTAATGCTGCTACTGAGAACACTATGTAGCACAGAAACAAAATGACTTATGCAAGAACATGTCTGATTTACACTTAGACCTAACAATAGAACCAGATTCCACTGATTGCAGAGTCCCCTTTCAATAGACTTAGACTTTCAGATCATTTCTTGGCCTCTAGCTGTTCTTAAGCATTGGAAGTTAACAAATGGGTCACACTATTCATTTTGTGGGTAGTTCTAAAATTTAAGTAAAAAAAAAAAAATGGAATTGTGTTTGACAAAATAAACAACTACAAATTTTCAGTGTTCAATAAAGGTTTTTTTTTTTTTTTTTTTTTTGCCTAAACCACCATGAAACTTTTAACAACTCATGAAAAGTCTAAAGTTTGAGGGGAAACCTGAATAAATTCTGAAATTCAATTGTGAGTCTCAGAATAACAAAAAGTTTACTGTACCATCTGTCGAACCAGTAGAATGAACCTGAAAGATTGCTCAAGTAAAGGCGTAATTTAGTTAAAATAAAGGGTGGTGGGGGTGGCATAAGAAAATATAAACTTTGCTCTATATTTTGTTAACATTATCCTGAGTCTACTTTTCATCCATGCAAAGGCAACCTCCTGAATCACAGGAATTTCCCACAAAGGTGGTAGTTTTTGTACCAGGTTCTACAATTCTTCATTTCCTAATCCCTTATTATCTTACACATCCTCTACAGTAGGTTTTCTAATTTGTCAATATTTCTGTTAAAATGAAAATCCAGGCAATAATTAATTTAAAGGCACTCTAAAAATATCTCAATATTTTAACTATGTGGGAATTTAAGATCATGTATGAAGAAGATATATAGAAAAAATAACATATTCTTATCATTTGACTTGCAAATTCATCAAGAGCAATGGATTTTACAATCTCCAAGCAAAATTTATAAATATTTACCTAATGATTTGGTTTTTATTTAAGCTATTTGTGTAGAATGAAAGCATTTAATAACATCCTGTGCAAAATTCAAATGTTAGGTAATTCTAAATTCATCTGGAAATATATTCCAGAAGTGTTATAAGATTTAAAGATTCTTTTAATGGCAGGACACAGCACAATGATACTGGAGAAGATGAAAAGCAGAACTCTCTTACAGACAAGATTGAGAGAAAACTGTCAGATAGAATCAAATGCGGGTTGCACCGCATAAACAGGGTGATAACAAACAGTAGCCATAGCAGCAGCTTATTTATGGCAAATGAGGTGGGGTAGTTAGGTTTTGTATGCTATCCGTGGATTGACTAATATGAGTAATTTCTCAGCCTCCAGGAATCAGTGCTATTCCTAGTTGTCTGGTACCTGGCTTGGGGTAATTAGGATGTGTGTACAGTGGACTTAGAGTGTGAAACCTCCTTAAAAGAGTGTGAAACCTCCTTAAAAAAGGAAAGTGGTTGGGGTTGGGTGTATTCAACTGCTCAAAAAGTCAAACTGGCCAACTCCCACCAAGGAGCTGGCTTAAGACCGCATTTTTTTGTTCTCACCTTGTACCAAATAATATCTTAATAAAATAATAAATATTGAATGAATATTGAGAATAAAACAGATTAAATTAAAAACCCATTTGAATTGAAAGTGATTCAAAGGCAAGTAGAATAAAATCTAAAAATATGAAAAGAAAATGTATGTTTAGATGTGAATGGAGATTATAAAATTGTAGATATCTCTTTTCAAGTAATATAATATAATCATTCATAGCAAGTAATAAGAATCCAGAATTTTTTCAGATATTGTATTCTCACTTTATAAAACACTGTGAAGCTAAAATCTAGATAATATTAAATCTGACTTCGGCAAAGTCAAAATACACCATGTATAGTAAAACCTGAAAATTTATTTATTTATTTTTTAGAATCTTTTGTTTTGTTTTGTTTTGTTTTGTTTTGTTTTGTTTTGTTTTCGGAGACGGAGTTTCACTGTTGTTGCCCAGGCTGGATTGCAATAGTGCGATCTCGGCTCCCGCAACCTCCGCTTCCCAGGTTCAAGTGATTTTCCTGCCTCAGCCTCCGGAGAAGCTGGGATTACAGGCATGCGCTACCACGCCCGGCTAATTTTGTATTTTTAGTAGAGATGGGGTTTCTCCATGTTGGTCAGGCTGGTCTCAAACTCCTGACCTCAGGTGATCCGCCCATCTCGGCCTCCCAAAGCGCTGGGATTACAGGCATGAGCCACTGCGCCCTGCCCGAGAATCATTTTTAAATGTACGTCTCAACAAGTTTTGAAGAATTCATGCACCTGTGTAAACACCACAATACTAAAATACAGAACATGAGAGCACTTCCAACAGTTCCTTCAGCATCGTGTCAAGCAACTCTACCACCTGCCCCAATCTCCTTCACTATAGATTAGACTTTTCTAGAATTTTTAATAAATATAATAATTCAGCATATATTCTTTTTGTCTGTATTCTTCCAGTCAGCATGTTTTTGAGCTTCATCCATGTCATTATATACAAAAGCAGTTTTTTTTAATTACAGAGTATTTTCCATTGAGTGAATATACAATTGGTTGCCCATTTATCTATTGATGGATATTTGAATTGTTATCAGGTTTTGGCTATTCTGAATAAAGCTGCTGTGAACCTTTCTGTACAAAGTGTTGTGCAAATTTATGTTTTATTTTTATTTTTTAAATACCTAGAAGTAGGATCGTTTGGTTTTGTGGTAAGCATAGATTGAATTTGATAAGAAAATGTCAAACGGTTTTCCAAAATGGCTGTAGCATTTTTTCTTCCCACTATTAGTATATGATAGCTCCAGTTGTCCCAAATCATTGCCCTTATTTGGTTTCCACAGTTTAGGTATTTTTTAAAAAACAATTTATGCTATTTTAGCAGATGTATAGAAGTATCTCATAATATATTTAATTTATGTTTCCCTGATGGCTTATGACATTGAACAACTTTTCATGTGCTTTTTGGTTATATGTATATTTTTTGGGATAATTTGTATAATTTTTGTTTAAATATTATGTCCATTTTAAAGTTTTTTCTAATTAAGTGTGAGTTCTCTATGTGTTCTGAACACAAGTCCCTTTTGATAAATGTTTTACAAATATTTTCTCTCAGTCTATGGCTGGCTTTGAAGTTTCTTAGAATGTGTTCATAGAAATAGATACCTAATTGTTCAGTGTTCTTTTTCATTTTTGGTCTGAGATTTTGTATTCAATAAAATCTTTGCTTTTCTTTGAAGATCAGGAAGATTTTCTTCTATGTTTAATTTTAGTGATGTAGTAAGTTTTAATTTTATATTTCAATTTATTATTTTAATTACCTGTCTGTTTAAACATACAAAATTAAATTGCCAACATTTTAATTTTAAAATGAATAAAATGATTAAACCATGGTTCAGAACTTTACAGACTTGGAAAGACGAAACTTATACTAAATTTCTTAATATCACTGGGATTCCTGGGATTAATATACAAAACATATTTTAACAGGGTACACATTTCTACTATTCCAATCCATAAAAACCTAATAAATTATAATAAATGATTTATTGAGTGAAGATTTTACCAGTATTTGTAATTTAATAAACCCAAACTCATGGAAATAAATATGCAGGATAAATAAATAAAGTGTCCAAAAAGCAAATTTAGCGAGGAAAAAAAGGGAAAGGATTTAAAGTCCAAGCCAGTAAACTCCTGTCATTAACTATGCTTGTCATTTGTTTATGTGTAAAAGGAAACAACTAAAAAAAATATAAGTTTAAATGCAATGCCACAAATTAATTTTAGCTAATTTTTCATATTTTTGATGATGATTTCAGATAATCAAAACATTCTATTGTTGCTTACACTTCCTCTGTTTACCTATATTTATAATGATGCAAAAGAGATAATATTCAGCTTTAGATTTAGAACAAATAAAATATATTAGGATGTTTTTAAATTAATCAGTGCATTTTCTAAACATATATGGAGTTACTGAAATGTATCACTCATTGTTCCACGTAGTGGGCAAATAGTAGTTAAAAAAAAAATCCTTTTCATGATGGAACTTACATTCTAGGTGGCTTACTGAGTCAAAATATATTCTTCAAATACTTTACAATTAATAAGAATTTTTAAATAACTGCTTTGTTTCATAAGTATTTCCTTGGAATACACCCACACACAAGCACACACACACAAGTAAATATAGGTCTTCTTGAATATAAAATATATCAAAGCTTAAATACTTTAAATTAATGATAATAATACCTTTAAAAGTGTTGGTGGTAAAATCCAAAACATTATAATTCATTGTTTAGTGCCAAAATAATTTAACTACAAAGTAAAAATATCCCTACATGGATTAAAATTATTGATGCAAAACAGTTAAATAGGAAAATACAACAAAACATTATGATACATTTTTATTTCAATAGAACTGTCATTATTCTGTTAACATGATGGCTATTCTCTTTTAAGTAAAATACTTATGAGATGGTTAAGATATTTATAATATTTTTTAAACCCTGAGTATGTTAAATTGTCAATAAATATTCTACATAAATAGATGATAGATAAATAGAACTGTATTCAACTTCCACTCAGATATTTTCTATATAAGTTATTCTGATATGAGTAATCAGGTTTCCTAAATGCAATATTTTTTTCATGTTATTAACATTAATTCTAATGTAACAAAATGAAAATGTAAATAAAAACAATGTAGATACACAGAAACTCAGATCTGATGATGGTAGATAAGATAGCAGAAGGTATGAAAGATCTAATGCATGTGGTAAAATATAAGGGAAACCAAGAAAATGGCTGCTATGTTCAGAATCAGAAAAAAAGAGAAATAATTGTCTAAGATTTTTTTTTTATTTAGAGAACTTTTGTAAAATGAGGAAATTTGCTTATATTTTTATTTCTTATTCCACCAATAATATGCTACATTGCTTACTACTATTTAGTAAAATGATATCATCAGCATCTCTACTTTTTCTTTCCACTTACAAATCCTCCTTTCTATTACACCTTTCAACGTAGAGTAGCTAATGCTTTTACAGGGCTTCAGACTTTGGTTGTCTAATTTTTTCGTTGCTCCCACACGAGTGTCTATTTTGTGGTACCCATTATGCAAGGTATTAGGTACATATAATGGAAAATGTCAAGTATGACCACTAGACTGTCAATGGAAAATGTCAAGTATGACCATTAGACTGTCAATGAGTTAAATTCCTTGTATTGTTTCAATAATAATTGTTTGCACAGTTTTCCTGTGTTTTCTAGGGTTTTGAGATTTGCTGTGATACACCAGTAGTTTAAAATCAAAATTACAGTTTCATCCAGTAATGAAATATCAAGTTTTGCACGGTAAAATTTCTACTAGAGTTTTGTTCATGACCAATATTGAAATTTAGTGGTTCTAAAGTCAAAGCTATTCTTTTAGAATAGTTTGTTAGTATTAGAGGTCGTCTTCATCTTTAAATGATAGTAATAGTGACTATGAAAACTTTGACAGACTTAAATAAATAGGGAAGCCTTATTTACATTACATTACATACATTAGCCTTATTTACAAATCTGACAATACACCCTTAATATTAAATGAGAGAAAGTGATATTGTATTGTAAAGTGTCCTATTGTTTAGTTGGTATGTTTCCTTAGTTGGTATGAATAAAAAGAGGTGGGACTGGGACACCATACAAAAATAATGTAACAAATTCAGAACATCTGCTAAGGTCATGCCGTGTACTTTTCAAAATAATTTCCACATCAAGGAAGCTATAGAGGAGCAATTCTCCCCTAAAATTGGTGCCAAAGAAGCTAATTATAATAAGCATAGAGATCCGCAGAGACGTTAAGGAAAATTACGTATTCACTTAATCAAATACCTCAGCATGGAAGAAAGTGACTTAAAACCTAAATGGTAATTCCACAGGGGAAGCCTCAAGTAAAATTTTGTCCACAAAGATTTTCTATCATTAAATAAATTAAATAATTTTGAAGTGAAAAAAAATTTTAAAGCTTTAAACGGAATAATTTCATAAAAGGAAAAAAAATGGTGGATGAATTCAGAATTTTAGAAAGGTTTCAATGGAAACTTTCTAGCATCTGTAGAAACGCATAGAAAAAAGGATCATTTGAGATAAAAAGAGAGAATACATCCTCGGTAAATGTGAAAAGAAAAAATGTATGGAAAAAGAAATAGTTTCCTATGAGGACTGATGAATGCACAAATTTGAATCCATGCTGTTTCCAAGATATTAAAACTAAATATAGTACATCTGCTCTATGGCATCAAAGATAATATATCACAGTGTGAAGTTTCATGATGATTATGTGTATTCAGCTGGTTTTTTTTTTTTTCTGGATATTGCTATTCCTTTGCTTTTTTCATTATCTGAGAGCAAAAAAATGTGTGCTTTTAAGGAACTTGTAAAAAAAATAGTAAAGCAATCCAGGTGACACAATAACAAAATGTGCAGCAAAATAAAAATCCCATATTGGAAAGTCAGCTGGCTTTCAGACCCAGAACTGATTACACTGTTGGATGATTAAATACTCCAGGGTAGTACACTCCAGTGGCTGAGGTATAGTCCAAATCATTCATGCACTCGTTCAGCTATATGATACAATTTCTGCATGGTTTAAGAGAAACTGCTAATTCAAACTCTTATTCTGATTTAAACCAATACAGGTACAGGAGACAGAGGAGGGAGGCAAGGTAGTACAAACACATACATTAAAGGAAAAATAAATAACAAAAGATTACTTGCTATTACAAAAAATTTGTTACGATGCTGTGCCATGAGACCATCACCTACTCCAAATACTACCATGAACACATTTTAAAATCACAGTTTTTTTCCTCTATGACTTGTAAGATGCAAAACAATAGAATTATCTCTATTCCAACTTAAAGAAGGAAGATAAAATAGTCTTAGCACTTAATCCTAATAATTAATTTATTTTTAAGGTAAACAAATGCATGAGGTCATTTAATAGTGGAAACTTGATACCAGTTAGCTTTCAGAAAATATATAGCAAGTATAGTTTTCTTACTCCATCACATGTATCGAAGCCAGGAAATTTAGATTTCTGTGATCATGGACAGAAACTTATTATTAATGTGTTTTTCTTTTTCTCAGTCTCTTCCCTGAAATAGAATTCATGGCTCATGCTGCGACTCTGCAATATTGTTCCCTGCAAGAAGCGATTTTGTTCTGCCTCAGAGGCAATATGTTTTTACGCTTAATTTTGCCTTGGGTAACCACAATGCTTGTTTATATCCTTAAAATGTCTTTTAAAGAGATTGATTTTTATAAATCATCAATAAATCCTGCTTCTAGAATTTAATTCCTTCAGTTATGTATTGAGTAAAACATTTACATTTTCTTGTTCTGTCATAGGTTTATTAATTGTGATTAAGCAGTAGCATTTAATCCCACGTGTGGAAAGTTACAAATACATCTTTTTAATATTTTCAACATTACTTTAATTATATGCTTTTATTTAAAGTTTTATCACTCCTCTTGATTAGTTTAGCTCTAAGTATACTTAAATAATTTACATTTACAATGTAATAACATTATGTAACTAAGTTTTACCTTTTGAGCAAATACAAAATAAAGCGCTGTTCAGAAGAGTAAGAGGAATCTCCCTCCAATGGCTGAGGGGAGATTAAAAAAATCCAGTCTCTATCATTAATTGTTGAGATAATTATTATATTAATTTTCATAGTTCACCAAATAATGGGGAAATATGGAGAAACTGATTTATGTTTCAGAATACAAAAACTTCATTTTAAAGGTAGTTAAATTAGAGAGGTGACTGAAGGTAAAGCTGACTATGTCTAAGTAGGAAGGATCATCACACATTTAGATATTTGGTAATAGTAAAAAAAAAAAGTTAATTAATTAGGAAGTTCTACTTAAAGAAAATTTGCTCCCTCTTGGAGGAAAGAATCAATTCTAAACTAAATAAAAATAATTTAAAAAAGAATAGCCAACCCTTACCACTACTACGAAATTGCCCTTGCCAAAGATGCCAATGTTCCCCATGTTGCTAAAAGGGTAGTTATTTCTCAATACTTAACCTACCTGATTGTCAGGGAGGATTATTCTTTACATCTTAAACCCTTTTTCCCTATGGCTTCCTGAACGTCAGAGCCACCTGGCTTTTCTTCTTCCACTTTGGAAAGTATTCGTAACTGTATTTTTCTATTTTCTTCTCATTACTCCACTTAATAAATGTTAAATAACCCAGAGTTTTAATGCTTTACCCACTCTCTCTTCTGTTTACACTAACTCCTTAGTTGATTTTAACTAGAATTGTGGCTTTAATACAGTTCAGATGCTAATGAACTCAGAAATGTATATTTCCAGGCCAGACTCTCAATTTAAACTCTGGAGTTTATCTCTTGTTACTTATTTCAATGGCTAATACATATCACTTAATTTCTTGATATTTCAACCCCCAATCCAGCTCCTCCTAGAGTAATTCCATCTCAGCTAATGCCATCTACATTCCAGTTAATTAGGTTAAAATCTTGTTATCTTTGATTCCTCTCCTTTTTTTCATTTTCTAGATCTAGTGTGCAGTAAATCATGATGGACAGTATCCAACAAAATTTATCTATAATTTGGCCATTATAACTCTGTCTACTATCTTTTTCCTGGTTTAAGAAACAATCTTTTGTCTGCATTGTATAGTAGCCATATATACAGGTTTTTTTTGTTTTAGCTTTCCTGATCCTTCTCAACACAGCTCCCAGAGTTTTTACAAGTATGTTATATATGAAATAATGTTATTTCTCTTTAAATACTCCTAATGGCTTTGTGTCTCTCTCATAGTAAAATCCAAAGTACTTATGACCCTGCATGACCTGAATTCATATTGCCACATTAATCTCAGCTCTTACTTTTTCCATTCTTTTCTTTCTATTTCAACCACTTCAGCCTCCTCCTTGCTGTCCTTTGAGTACACCAGCCGTTCTTCATCTTAAGGGCTTTTGCCTCACAGTTTCACTCAAAAACTCACATTCTCAGTTAGGCCTTCTATAGTCATTCTATCAAACATGTTCACACATATCCCAACTTTGTAGTATTCCTCCTTCACTCTTTTTAAATATTTATTCTGCCACTGATAGAGGTAGTCTATAGTAATCTTATTTTTCTTATGTCTCTCTTTATCCTCCAGCATAATGATCTAAGAAGATAGACTGTTTTTTCTGTTTTGTTTACAATTGTATCCTGAATACTGAAACAATGCTAGACACAGTGAGTATGCAACAAATATTTTGAACAGGCAAATGAATGCTTCCTGCATTAATCCTACCTTATTTATCAATATCTTATCAATTTTTCCATTTCATCTGACCCAGAAAATTAATACCTTAACTCTGCTGGAGAAAAAGAATACCTGACTACATCTGAAAATATACAGCAAAAGAATACCTGGATATATCTAAGGCATAAAATGCCAAATCCTGAGTGTTACAGAACTGTTAGAGAATTTATAATTCTTACCATCCACATAAACTTACCTGATGGTGGCCAGGCACAGTGCCTCACACCTGTAATCCCAGCGCTTTGGGAGGCTGAGGTGGGTGGATCACAAGGTCAAGAGATCGAGACCAGCCTGGCTAACGTGGTGAAACCCCGTCTCTACTACAAGTACAACAAATTAGCTGGGCGTGTTGGCGGGCGCCTGTAGTGCCATCTACTTGGGAGGCTGAGGCAGGAGAATGGCTTGAACCTGGGAGACAGAGCTTGCAGTGAGCCGAGATCATGCCACTGCACTCCAGCCTGGGAGACAGCAAGACTCTGTCTCAAAAAAAAAAAAAAAAAAAAAAAACTTACCTGATGGTAAGAAATATAAATTCTATGACAGTTATAATTGTTATCCTATAACAATTCTGTAACACTCAGGAATTGATATCTTATGGGCTTGAAGCTTGAGCAATAAGTCATCCAAGGCAATAACCAAAATAAAAATCAAACAATGGGGTAAAACTAAACACTACAGAGATATCAACATCTGAAAATCTTTGGCCAAATTCAGTGGGTCAGTAAAATTAGAGACAGTACTTCTGAGCTGAATAGAAGAACACAAAATAATAGGGTGAAAAGTAGAAAATGAATGGTTACCTGATAATATCTTTGAGGTACTTCTAGATTTTATTTTGTCAATTAGGACATGTTTCCTAGAGTTGCTTTGCTAAACTATCAAGAACATTATATACACCATAGAAGAGAGACTAACTTTATAAAAGGAATATGTTTACTCTTGTCTTTAAGTATAACTAGAATTTTTTTGCATTCAGTTAAATATAGTATTTCATAAAGGAGAAAAGTCAAACACACATCACAATGGAAAGTTAACTTCATATATTTAAAATACATTTCCATGTGTGCAGGACAGATGTAAGAATTGTAGCATTTCTTTAAAAAGAGAGATGGGAATTTACTTCTTTTTATTTCCTTAGGACATGTGTTTACAGTGAAAAGAGAATAATAAGACATTTCTAGCTACAGCAGAATTCATGTTTGAAAATAGCAGAAAGTTATTTAGGGTATTTTTTAAGTTTTCTGGATGTCAGGACCTTAAGGTAAGACATAATTCAATAGCAATAACGTACTTTTATGGTTTATTGAACAGGAGAGTGTCTTGGATAAAGTCATTTTATAAAGATTAATTTGACAAGAACAATTAGTTAAAAAAGAAAAAAAACAGACTGACAACAGGAACAACACAAGGTCTGACCATCTGACCATTTGACATGAAACTTAAATACATATTGACTGTAGCACAAAACAGAGAAGATAGACTAAGGGTCAGGGTGAGGGAGAGATCAATTTGACTTAGGGGTTACTTTATTATGGACAATGAAGTAATAGATAATAAATAAGTAGTAGTTACATATAACTTTAATTCTAAATATATCAAAATACAAGATATTTTGATTTAGTTTGTCATTATTAAAGACTGTTAATAAACATGTTAAACATTAGAATACATAGAAAACACACACACAAACACACACATCATGACACTGAGATCTCAAAATATTTCCTTGATTTATTTCCATATTCCAATGTGTTTTGTAATGAACACTGTTTTTGAAGAAATAGTAACATTGTTTGTTTACATATATTTGGATTTTGTAGAGTTTCTGAAAGAAAAGAAGTAAAATTCATCAATTATAATCACATTCTACAAATTATTGATTACATTTTCACTGTTTCTTGTCTTTGAGGAAGTTGTAGAAACATTTAGAAACTTAAGTGTCTTTTAAAGAAAAAGTTTAAGTGAAAGTTTAGAACACTTACTGCTTTCTAGTGAACAGAAAATAATACCTCGAGTTGATTACTTTCTTTCATGTAAAAGATGCCCTTTACTCAGCAGTAAATTTCCTTCCCAATTAGCGCTGATTAAAAAGTGCCCTAGGGAACAGCTGTCAGGGTCTCTACAAATCTGTTACTATATAGCTTCCTGTCCTTTTGAAGACATTTGTTTTCTATTTAATAAATTACAGACAGTATATTAATGATGCCACTTAAAAAAATCCCTTGTATTTTAGAGTGCAAAATCAGCCAATACAAACAATTCCAAGTCAATATCTAAAATGGCAAGAAAGGATTTTCTGTGAATATTAATGGCATTATAAACACTGCCTGGCAGTCTCTGAATGCACATCTTCAGAAAAAATAAGTATAGCTACTAATTTTTAGATAAGATGATTTCAACATACTTGATATGCTTTATCTCACTAGTGTTCACTAAGCTACTGTTCCATTCTCATTGGACTAAGATATAGAATTAGCATTTTTTTTTTCTTGTGGAAGAGCTTTAGGGCTTCATGGACCAGCACCTGAAATAATCTCCACCAGGAATTTTGCACAGCTGGTTTCCTTCAATGTTTCAGATCTCAGATTAAATGTCACATCCCTAGAGAGGTCACAATTACTCATACTCATTAAACTTTTCAAGTCCACATGTATTATGTATCAGGTCATTCATTCTTTTATAAAATGAATTATAATGCATATTTTATATTTGTTTATATTTTCTGGCTTTTATTTTTTAGTTTTTCGTTATTAGTAAAACATTTGTCTCCTTGAGTGCACACACACCCACACACAAATGCTAAATCTGCTTTATTAGGCTCTACCTCCAAGGATTATTTAAATATTGCTGCTTAAAGATAGAAATGAAAATAATATTGGAATTCATAACAATTTAGTATTTGCACTTTGCTCATAGTTAGATGAAAGAGATCTTTCATTTATTATAAAACATTTTATAAATTTCTATTTTATGTAAATTTTTTAATATTTTGATGTCTTTTTTCCTTGGGGAGTTGTTGGATTGTCTTGTCTTTTCTGTTTCTAGATCACAGCCTTCTAACTATAAAATACTAACTACTCCATATAAGTTTCTTCATTTCAAAGCGTGCCTTGGCCTTGAATTATATATTTATCAATAACATTTTATTTCTACTTTCAGAAAAAAAGTCTTCCCATGATTTGGAGTTTATAACAGTAGGCTTATAACTTTTTTATAATATAGGAATGAGTTAACATTTAATTTTAATTTTAAAACTCATTGAATGTACATATTGTTCTAATTATTATTGTTATGTGCAAACCATTTCAAATTTCATGCCATCACACAACAATCTTTTCACTGTGCTTAAGAGCAGTGAGTGAGGGAATTTAACGGGACCCAGCAGAGATGGTGTGTCTCTGCCCCATCATAACTGGTAATGTCTAGAAAACCCGAAGGCTGAAATCTGGAGCCTTCTTTATTCCCATATCTGACCCATTAACTAGGATGACTCTAAGGGCTTACTTGGATCTCTCAACCAGAGATGTAATGTCTTCATGTGGCTTGGACTCACCTGATCATGGTGACTTTGTTTCAAGATGAAACATACTAAGCAAATATATGCAAAGCTGGTGATTCAAAAATCCAGGTGAAAACGGCATCACCTTTTAGGGCCTAGTTTCAGAACTCACATAATATCGCTTGTGTCATTTTCTATTGGTTTAAACAGTCACAAGCCTGTCCAGTTTTGTGGTAAGAACACTTAACCTGAGCTACACCCTCTTAATAAATTTTTGAGCGCCTAACAGAGTATTGTTAACTATGGGCAAAATATAGTATAGCAGATCTCTAGAACTTATGTAACTGAAACTTTATGTCCATTGAATAGTAATTTCCTATTTCCTCTACCCTCTAACCCCTTAATTCTACTCTCTGCTTCTATGAGTTTGCCTACTTTTGATATTTCATATAAGTGGAATTACGCAGCACTTGTCTTTCTATGAGTGGCTAATTTCACTTAGCATAATGTCTTCCAGGTTCACTCATGTTGTATATGGCAGAATTTCCTTCTTTTTTTAACGTTGAATATTCTATGTGTGCACCACATTTTCTTTATCTATTCAACCAATGATGGTCGTTTAGGTTATTTCTGTGACTTGACTATTGTGAGTAATGCTGCAATGAACAGGGAAGTGCAGATATATTTTGAGATCCTGATTTGAATTCCTTTGGCTATATACAGAAATAGGATTGCTGGATCATACGGCAGAACTATTTTTAATGTTTTAAGGGTACACCGCATGTTTTTTTTACAGTGGCTGCACCATGCTACATTCCCTTCAATAATGTATAAAGGTTTCAATGTATTTACATCCTCATCAACACTTGTTATCTTTTTGAATTTTTTGTTTGTTTGGTAAAAGCCATTCTAATAGGTGGCAAATGATATCTCATTGTAGTCTTGATTTGCATTTCCCTGATGATTTGTGATACTGAACATCTTTTCTTATACTTGTTGGACATTTGTATACCTTCTTTAGAAAAATATCTGTTTAAGCTCTTTGTCTAATTCAAAACAGTCTTGAGAAAGAGCAATGCTGGAGACATAACATTTGCTGATTTCAGAATATGTTACAATTCTATAGTAATTAAGATAGTATAACAGGGATTAATATCCAAAATGCATAAGGAACTCCTAAATCTCAATAGCAGAAAAACAAATAATCTTCTTAATGATGGAAGTTTCAAATTACTCATAGCCACTTTAAAACCACCACACATGTATTTTCACGTATCTTCAGGTACATATTAACATGCTATGCAATTAAACAAAATTTCTAAAATTACATAATTTCTTCTTAATTCTGGCCATAAGAGTATTTATTCTAAATTCTTTGACTCAACACAAGAAAAAGATGGAGATAATGCAGGTTGTACATTTTGTAAGAATACTGCATATAAACTTAATCATGAATTAGGTGTATACTTACAGGAAATGTATAGATGAAATCTTTTCTATCAAAATTATAGGAAAATAATTTGGTAACACAAAATGCATTCTCTTAACAAAATTACTTCATATTATTTTATGGCACTTCCAATCATAGTATAAGTTTATTTTTCAACTGGAGAATAAACTTACATATGTGTTTTATTGACTTCTCAGTATTTTATATGAATTTGTTTGATATTCTCCTTCAAAATTGAGACAGCACTATGTGTAGGAAATATAAGAAGATTTCTAAATATCACCCAGGCTTTGAATCTCCGTAGTGAGTACATACAGGGATTAACTTCTGAATCATTCTGGTGTCAACTCTGTTAGAACTGGCTCTGGGGACATTAAAT
The DNA here is from genome assembly GCF_000001405.40 of Homo sapiens. Lineage (NCBI taxonomy): Eukaryota > Metazoa > Chordata > Mammalia > Primates > Hominidae > Homo > Homo sapiens. The sequence continues at coordinate 188,311,958 of NC_000001.11, read as the reverse complement.
GAATTTGCACTACCAGGACTTGAGCAGTGAAACCTGTCCTATGTGGTTTACAAGAAGTTGTTTTAGTCTTCTGTCACATTAAATTACTCTTCATTTTTTTAACCTAACCCTCTGCATTTACCTGGGAAATGTGATTATTTCCTAAAAGCAAGGAAATATTCATATACGTTTTGCGTCTTTCATATTTTTATTGCTCCCATAAAAGTGCCACATATGAAGAAATACTTATTGTAAGATACTGTACTGGGTTCACAAAATCTAATTACTGGGAAAGTGATATGATAGACTAGCAAGTGCAATTGAACGCTTTATTTATGTGTATCTCTAATTTTTCTCTATAAATGTCTTCCACATTTTGTAGCACTATTCTGCTTCAGGAGCTAGCATTTATAACTCAGTTTCATTGTCTTCCTTACCTTATTTTTTCTTAAACCTATTATGTTAGAACACTGTAATTTTCATACAATGTCATGGAAAGATGACTGATTTTATAAGGAAAAATTATATCCATTTATTATAAAATAATATATTCAATTTTAATTTTCAATAATTTTTGTGCTGCTACATCAACATTGATTCTGAATTTTAATATTATCCTTGATGTAAAAGAGATGCTTAATCCAATAGTGAATTCATTTTGATTACTTCAATGAATCTGAAATTTTCAATCTATTCTTTCCACAGAGCCCATGATTCCTCTTTACTAAGAATCACTCATCAAAAATAAAATAAACAGTTGCATCATTGAAGTGGATTTTAAAGGGCCAAAGTGACAAATACTGGAACATCATTGATATCCCCAACCATAGTCTTCTACTTCTGAAAAAGGAGTAATTTCTATTGCCTGCCTGACTTCTAAATTAAAAAAAAGAAAGAAAGAAAAATAGGAAAGGAAAAAAAAATGCTTTTGTACATAACGTTTTTTTTTCCCTGAAATTGTTACTGACATACCTGGAAGTTAGCAATATCACCGCAGCATTCTAAAGCTATCCTGCTTACAGTGTTTTTTTTTTAGAAACTTGAAATAAGAGTTGCATACTGACAGCCAAATAAAATAATTAACTGAATTCTGAACAATCCAGGTTGCTATTTAAATGAGTCTCGGCATCTTGAACTATTATGTGGGTAGGTAACATGATTAAATATTTCCACTGATAACAGAAAGTTGTTTCTAACCTATTTGAATACATTAATTGCTTTGAGTGGAGAGCAGTAAAGAAATTGCAGTTTGTCATGCTACTTTTCCAACATTTTAATATTAACTGGTCTCATAAACTCTGAAACTAAATGATATATTGCTTCTCTAATAAAACAGATTTGCAAGTCAATATAATCCCTATATTTTCAAAAATTGAAGATTTGTTTTAGTAGAGAATCAATTATGAAAAATTATAATATTTTTCTCCTTAAAGACATGAATCTTTAATAAGGCGACATTAATTTAGAAACAATGCTTTTTCTAGAAATAATACGTACCACTTATGGTTGAGATGCTGTGCATGCTTGTACAAATTTTACTGTGCATAATTAAATTGGACCTACATGTGAATCTTATAAATTTAATATTAATTATTCTGGAACTATGTTAACCGTTGCTGCTCAATTTTTTCAAATAATAATAAAACTGATGTCAGACTGAGTATACAACAACATCTTGTAAGCCTCCTTTATTTTTTTTTATTTTTTATTTTTTTTTTTTTTGAGACAGAGTCTCGCTGTCGCCCAGGCTGGAGTGCAGTGGCGCAATCTCGGCTCACTGCAGGCTCCGCCCCCTGGGGTTCACGCCATTCTCCTGCCTCAGCCTCCCAAGTAGCTGGGACTACAGGCGCCCGCCACCTCGCCCGGCTAATTTTTTGTATTTTTAGTAGAGACGGGGTTTCACCGTGTTAGCCAGGATGGTCTCGATCTCCTGACCTCATGATCCGCCCGCCTCGGCCTCCCAAAGTGCTGGGATTAAGGCCTCCTTTAAACTAATGGCAAATCTCCAGAGAAGAGTGAAGGTGTAAACCATTACCCCACAAACACAACAGCTTAGAGGTAGGGTCAGGGGCAGGTTGCTAAAGTTGTTATAGGGGGATCAAAAGCTTTTACTACAAGAGATTAAGCACAGAGTCAGTCTGGCATCTCTTCTATAATCAGGCAATGTATTAACTCAGCCCAGATTTGTCGAGAACCAACTATGTGTCAGCCACTATACCAGAAACTGCAGCTATACAGGCAAAGAAACATGGTTTCTTCTCTGGAATATTCTTCAGTGCAGATGAGAAGATCATAGCATACAAATAATAACAACAGTGAACTGAAGTACTGTGGTAGAGAAATCTACGAATTTCTCTGGGGACACAGAGAAGGTGAAAACGTTCTTTTTTTAACAGGCATCTTCCCTCTGATTCTAATCCTTTAGCTTTCTGTTTTCTTCCATGCTCCTTTAACTCTTCTCTTTCTATATTTATATGATTAGATAAAGTCTATCTTTTCTTTGCACATAATTGTATTAACATCTCACTTAATTACAGTAGAGTACAGAACCACATAGCTCATTTCTTAAGCACAATGCAGTACATGCATGCACAGCTTTCCTTGTCTTTTGCCTAAGCTTTTGCTTTTCTCGTAAGATAATGTGAAAATCCAGCCAATTTTTCACCTAAATTCTCTGCTTTCCATTGCTCTACTAGTCCTATGTATATTTCACACATAAATAGTTTTCAAATATAAACCTCTAATAATGTTTTTATTTACTCAAAAGTATTTAGCTACACATTTTTGTAGTGAATAACTACATTTGTTGTTTCCATACGCACCTGTGTGGGAGTTCCTTTTGCATATAAAACCAAAGCAAACTTTCTGAATCTGATGCCATGAGTTCACCTAATCTGAACAAGTTTTAAAAGATTATTCTTCAATATAGTTACATCTATCAGCACTTGTACAAGTGAGTCATAAGAATTATCATATGTTCACATAATCACTAACAAATGGTTCATCTCACTTTGTAATTTTGCCACTCAAATGACCATACGCAACTTCTCATTGATATTTCTGGTTCTTTGGTTTCTAATGTGTTTATTGTTTGGATTTCCCCTTTTATAAATTTTCTATTCACATTACTTGCAATTTTAATATTACAGTATCTTCTTTTCTTGCCAAACTGCAGAAAATGTCTTGATATCCTATATATTACCTACTGGTTTTAGAAATTATAGATACTTCTTCCAAATTTATAATCTATCTGTCATATGTATACCTGGGATGCTTTATTGTACAGAAAAACTTCACTTTATTTAATCACAGTCATAGATTTACCTTAAGGTTGTGCTTTGGGAATTTTGAATTTCTTCCTTACCCCTGGATTACAAATATATTTTTATATACTATATATTAACTGAATACTTCATCCTTCATATTTATTATTAAACGTAAATCACTTTTGGACATGGCGTCATTTAAGAAACAAGTTGAATGTTTCTCCACATAACTTACCTTTCTGAACACCAATGTCAAAAGAATTCTCTACTCATTTATAGGTCCATATTGATTATACATTTAAATTCTACATAAAGAAGCAAATCCAGAATGGTGGAGTACAGATCTCTGAAAATAGAATCCTCCACAAGAGCAATGGCAACAATGGCAACAATTTTCAATATTAGTTTTTTAGGAATTTGGAAATTAACCAAAAATTTTCAAAAATCTGGTAAGCATTTATTCAACAAAAATGTCTGAATCCAAGTGAGAACAGTAAGCTTTGTAGCATTTTAACTTGTTTTATCGCCATCTCCTTCCCCCTAACTGCTGTTGCCTTGAAAACCAACAGCCTAACAATTACGGGAGCTGTGAAAACAAGCAGTCTTCTAGCCACCGGGGAGAGCAGAACAGGTTCGGAACTCTCTAAGAGCTCATCCTCAGAAAATTGAAGCAATTTGACTTAAATGTGAGCTCCCTGAAAAGCTTCAGTCTTTGTGGTTGTTTTTGACTGGACTCAGAATTCACTCTGCAAACAGCACCATCCTGTTTGCATTCCTCAGAAACAATCAGTGGCAATTGTTGAACATTTCAGCTCCTAAGGCAGCAATAGCAGTTGTCTAAAAGGTTGACCAATGATCTCAAGAAGAAAACCTTTCTTTTTTTTTTTTTAAGTACAGTTTCCACAGGGCTTTGAAAAGCTCTGACTGATTCCAAGAAATCTAGAAGTTCATGTCCATGTGCTGGTCTTTGTGTATGACCAGGGAAAACCTGAAGAGGTCCTAAACTCTCATGTCTCACTGACCTTGAGGCTGTATACAAGCAAGAAGTGAAGACTAAAGCAAAGTTGTTAAAGCCCTATGCTGCCTGCTGAAGTGGTTAAAGTATTCCCTAATCCACACAGAGCCTATTGACAAAAGCTGGGAGATTTATTAGTTCAAAGCATTTAAGAAAACTTCTGATCAAACATTGTCAAATAGAAAGGTAATTGAGCAGAGATTTCAGTAGCCACATGTGACAAACGAGGCTTTACAGAACAAGGCCAGTAAAATCACCACACAGGAAACACAAACAACAACAAAAATAAACAGCAAAAATAAACAACAAAAACCCTGGGAAGAAGTATTTGGATTTCAAGTGTTACACACTTTTATTTAAAATTCCAAAGAATTTGGTGACATGCACAGAACAGAAAAGTATGCCATGTATGCAGAAAAAATAAAGCGGTCCAAAGAAAATGTCTCTGAGGAAGCATATACTTAGTACTCTAAATAAATGTGTGATTTACTACATGAAATCTTTAAATAATTTGTTATAAATGCATTAAAAAACTAATGTAAACAATGCCTAAAGAAATAAAGGACAACATGAGAATAATGGCCCACCAAATATAAAATAATAGTAAAGGAATAGAAGGCATATTTAAAAATTCAAGAGAAATTTTGAGTTGAAAAGTATAAAAACTGAAAGGAAAAAATAAATTTACTAGAGGAGAACAATGGTAAATTTGAACTGTTGAGTTGCCTATCTTTTAGATAGGATAATTGGAATTATCAAGCCTGAGGAACAGAAAAAAAAGAATGAAGAAAAATGAATAAACCCTCAGACACTTGTGGAACAACATCAAGTGTGCCAACAAATGCCCAAAGGAAATTCCAAAAAAGGGGAGAAAGAGAAATTGGTGGAAAGAATATTTGAAAAGATAATGGCCAAAATCTTCTTAAACTTGATTAAAAGCATTAACCTGAACATCCAAGAAATTCAACAAACACTGAGTAGGATAAACCCTAAGTTACATACCTAAACACGTCATAATCAAACTGTCGAAAAACAAAGAGAATCTTGAAAGCAGAAAGAGAGATGCTACCAATTATGAGGGAATCCTAATAAGATTAACAACTGATGTCTCATCAGAAACCATGGAACCCAGAGATACTGGAATGACATATGAAAAGTGCTGGAAGAAGACTATCAATCAAGGGTTCTATTTACACTATTTTTCAAAAGTGAAGAAAGATAAGACAATCCATGGTAAAAACAAAACAAAACAAATTTCAGAATAGGTGTAGAGAAAGAGGGTATAACAAATTTATCTCATCTTTACCAATTGATTTGTTATGGTATCCTTGGTACATTTACCAATCTCTTCTTTTTGCCAAGTATTCTCCTAGAAGCATTAAGAAAAGTATAGGCCACGTTAAAAAAAGCAGTTTTCACACATTATAAACTAAAGAGCATACTATTGGAGGCTAGAAACCTCAGATTCTTTTTTTTTTTTTTTTTTTTTGAGATGAAGTCTCCCTCAGTCACCCAGGCTGGAGTGCAGTGGCACGATCTCAGCTCACTGCAAGCTCCACCTCGCGGGTTCATGTTATTCTCCTGCCTCAGCCTCCCAAGTAGCTGGGACAACAGGGTGCCCGCCACCACTCCCAGCTAATTTTTTGTATTTTCAGTAGAGACGGGGTTTCACTGTGTTAGCCAGGATGGTCTCGATCTCCTGACCTCGTGATCCGCCCGCCTCGGCCTCCCAAAGTGCTCGCATTACAGCGTGAGCCACCACGCCTGGCCTAGAAACTCAGCTTCTAAATGCAGACTTATAAAGTAGCTCTAGAAGCTGGTGTTGCTTCTGGGTTTTCGTTTTCATGTTGTGATGGAGGATGTTATGCTGTATCAGTGATCCTCAATCTTTTTTTCTTTTCTTGCTAGCCAATCTGCGGAAGATGTCACACTCCATTAAGTACATTTTCTCAAGATGATATTTTCTCAGTAAGGGTAGGTTTAGGGTCATAACAGAATCCCAGTTAATGTACAGATCGTGTCTGTGATATTTACTATTGTAAGTTTTTAAATGAATAAATAAGGGTAAGATATATTCAAGTGGTTTTCCAATGTATTATATTGTATTACAATAAATTCTATTATATCCATTTGATCATATAAGAACCTATATAAAATTAAGTTAAAATTTTATTTTGTAGAATATTCCAACTAATGAATAAATAAGAAAGGGAAGAATTAGAGAGTCACCATTTTGCAATCCTGCTAATTTTGGATGACAATGTGATGGGAACATAGAAGTTTATTATTTTATTTGTCTTATTATTCTATCTCTTTAGAAGTTTCCATAATAATTTTTAAAAATCCTATAAAGACCTATACTCGCCTCTGACATTTCTAATTTGTACTATTGGCCTTTTTCTGGTCCTCTGCCAACAGATACAGAATTGATTATAGTTGTTATAGTATAAAAAGTATAGGCCAGGCATAATGACTTATGCCTGTAATCCCAGCACTTTGGGAGGCTGAGGTGGGTGGATCACTTGAGGTCAGGAGTTTGAGACCAGCCTGACCAAGATGGTGAAACCCCATCTCTACTGAAAATATAACAATTAGCCAGGTGTCATTGCGGGCACCTGTAATTCCAGCTACTTGGGAGGTTGAGGCATGAGAATCACTTGAACCCAGGAGGTGGAGGTTGCAGTGAGCCGAGATCTCACCACTGTACTCCAGCCTGGGCAACAGTGTAAGACTCTGTCTCAAAAAAAAAAATTATAGTATAAATGATTGACTATCCTGACTGATATTAATATATATATTATATTAGTATGTAGCATATTATAATATCAGTCAGGATAGTCACTCATTTTCACTTTTGTTTTACAAAGTAGACATATATTATGAATATTTCTTATTATTATAATTTTTAGAATACATTTGTCAATTTTTAAAGTCCAAAAAATATGTTAATTGGCAGTAAACTTAATTTATGGATTATTTGGGATAATTGACAGTTTTATAATATAGTGGAATCTTGCCCAAGAGTGTAAAAATTGCCTACATTCTTTATTAATGTTTTAATTGTTTCAGTATATAGCTCTGCATATTCTTGAATATGTAAATGTCTAGATATATTTACATTTTTATTGCTAAGAATACAATTTATTATTTTATTTTCAGATTAGTTATTGTTGATATAGATAAATAGTAATGAGTTTTTAAACTTGGTTTTCATCAAGAAATCTTGCTGAGTTTTCTTATGTCTAATTGTTTTTTATTTTGGTGGGATTTCTGTGAAGAAATCATATCTGCAAATAATGCTGTTTTTATCACAATTCCTTTCCATCATTACATCTGTTCTTTCTTGTTATTTCCTGAAGTGTCCTTTCTTCTGTTATGGTAAAATACATCACACAGAGATCTTCATTACAGTGCATCATTAGGTTTTATTTGTCTTTTCTCAAGTCCTTCACATTAAATGTTCATGTCTTATTTTCTTATTTCTCAACTCATTTTTTTCTCATCATGTTGGAACATATATTACAATGTAGAAATGTGAAAGTAACTCCTTTTAATGCTCAAAAAAATTCAGCTGAATATTGAGGAAGATAATGAAACTGACTCTCACTCCCTTGGGAAGGAGGATTCTGCAAAAGCACATTACATAGCCACGTCTGTTACACACTCGGGGTTAACCTGTGACTCCCAACAAGCAAAAAAGAACTCCATAGAGACATTTCCTCTTTATATTTCCTAGTTCTGTTGTTTCCAATCCTGTTTAAATTTACATATCTCTTTTACTTATCTTTGAATATTCAGTGTGTTTTTAGTACATATATGAACACTCAAAAGTCTTCGCTACAAATTTGCTAACTATCCGAAGTTATAAGTAAAAATAAACAGAAGGTTCATTTTTTCTTAATTATTATAGATCTTAATGCTTTTTATAAAATATATTCCAGAATTCTTCCTGTAAACTGTTTTAGAATATTTTAAAGGTAGTTGTTTGTGTTTTAATGTAAACACTAAGAATTTGTACATTTTTCTTTCCAATATATTGAAGATGGCATACTAGTCTAATCCCCCAAAGCCAAATACCAGTTAAAATGGCTAAATTGTTGAGAGAACAAAAATTAACAAAATTAATATTGTGGTTGTTAGTCAAATTATGTTTTTCATGTGCATATAATTTTAGAAATAACCATACTTTTGTTGGTATTTGGTTGTGCTTCATTTTAATATTTCAAATGATTATGGGAGTATATAAAAGAATCAGTGAGCTTCATAAACTAAGTGACATAAGGCAGCCTCACACTATGTATATACATATAATTCTAGTTGTGTAACTTTACTTGGATGGCTGTTGTAGTACAAAAATAATTAAACTTTGTTTAAGAAAATTTTTTAAAAATTGATTTTAACATTGAGGAATTTTTTACCTAACATGTAATGACATTTAACAGAACCAGTGATCATGGGACACAGTTTGGGATAGGCTGTTCTAAAAGAACCTTACCTTGTTTCTTGGTTTTTGTCCTCCTTCTAGTTTCTATTTTAAAATCCTAATGATTAACAGAAAAACCTAACGAAAAAGAAAATCTAATGATCGATAGTGTCCATTTGACTTAACTAAAGTCATCGTTATAAAAATCTAATATTAGGTGAGATAGCATTGCAGTGTATCACACTTAGCAAAGTGCACACAATTAGCAAATTGTGAAAACACAAAAACAGAGGTGGGAAATTCTATCCATGGAATGAATCCAGCCACACCCATTTATTCAGTTTGTCTTTGGCTGTTTTCACTCAGCAGGAGGAATGAGTAGTCACAACGGAGACTTCACGGTCCACAAAGCCAAAAATATTTACTATCAGACCCTTTAGAACTTCATTGGCCCCTGATGTAGAATATTTAGGTGTGATTTTTACCTTCAAGATGGTTAGTATCTAATAGTTTTCTCTTACACATTGTAAAAGACAGGTGTCTTTTTGAGATATGCAAAAAAAAAAAATAGATTTTTAGTTGCAAATTTTATCATAGACAGTTGGAGTTACTGTTGTATATTATTTTTATTTGTGATTCATGTTTATATACACTTAGGTCAATGTACCCCTGGAGGTGTATGTTCTACATAATTATGTATCAACAGAAGTTTCTAAACTCCTTTGGACAACTTAAAATCAATAAGCTAATGCCATCTCTACAGTTCTCAACCATTCTTAGATTGAGTTGTGCAAATTATTATAAGTATTTGAAACAATATATTTGGGCCGACATCATCTGACCCTATTATAGCATTTATCATATTTTAATGACATTTAAATATATACTTCCCAGACTAAATGTGAATATCTTTAGAGTAAGGACTGTGTTTTATTCTTAAATTTTATTATTTCATATAATCATAAAAACTCAACAAATATTTTGGATATGTTAATAGATATCTGATAAAACCAGATGGCTATGGATTAGTAACAAAAACTACTAATTAGTTGGTATAAGTTTAAACAAGCTAGATGTGAATGATTTGTACTATAATATTGATGCCCTCAGCCATTCATTCCTTTTTCACTCAAATGTAATCATTTTAACTTGATGTGTCTTGAAGCTATATGTCATTGCTGAAATCTGGAAAGATGAAAGCATTTTACTGAAATGTAAGCAGTTTACTTTGCCATCTGTTTGCTAATTGTGTCAACAGATTCAATTTAGGCATTGTTTTAAAATATGAACAAGTTTATTCTTACATCTGCCATTTATAAAAATCTATGTTAATACAGTAATATAAAAATGATCAAATAAATATTAAAAGGAATTACTAAATTTAGAAAAATGTTTTGAACTTCTATTAGACCAAGGAAATATCTAATCACATGGAGAAAGAGAATTTTGACATGAAAAACTTTTTTTTCAAATGTATAATATTTTCGAATGACCAAAGGGGAAAAGGAACCTTAGAAAACCATGAAAATTTAAGGAATGTGTAATTAAAGTTAATATAATAATACATGATATACTTTCTGCTATTTCCTATATTATATTATAAAGTAAACATAATATAGTAGAGTTAAAAAGTTACATTTTCAAATTTTATGCATCATAAATACAACATAATCAGATATCTAGTCCTTATTTTTTTAATTAAAAACTTGTTTAATGTTACTGACTAAAATTAGGCCAAATAAGAGAAATGGGTGAGTACCAGGCTATAAAGAAAAAAAATCACAGAGGAAATATTAGAAAGTTTACTGAACTTATCATGCATCAGTTGCATGGATAAGCTACCTTTTCTTCATTGGTTGGTTCATGGATATTTGAGTTTTTTCCACTTTATAGCTATCACAAATAATATTTTCATGAACATTCATGCACATATTTAAGTGTAACATGTGTTTTCATTTCTTTTGGATAAATACCTAGGAGTAAAATTACTAGTATGGTAACTCTATGTTTAACTTTATGAGGAACTTCCAAACTGTTGTAGAAACTGTCTGCATTATTTTACATCTTCACAGGTAAGGTATGAGGACTCTATTTTCTCCATATCATCACTTGTTTTCTTTCTGTTTTGTCGTAGACATCCTAGTGTATATACAGTTGCACATCACTGTGGTTTGGGTTAACATTTCCCTGATGGCTAATAATGTTGAGTATCTTTGTATGTGCATATCGCCGTTTGTATATCTTTTTTTGGAGAATGTCTATGCAGATTATTTGTTCATTTTTATTGGGTATTTTATCTTGATATTATTGAGCTGTAAGAGTTCTTTATATATTCTGGATACTCATCTCTTATCAGAAATATGATTTACAAATATTTTCTCCAATTCCGTAGGTTGCCTTTTTACTTTCTTGATGATGTTCTTTGAAGAACAGAGTTGTTTAACTTTGATGAAGTCCAGGCAATTTAATTTTTTAAAATTTTAACACTTTTGGTGTCAGAGTTAAGAAATCATTGCTTCTTCCATGCTCAAAATACTTATACCTGTGTTTTTTCATGAATTATATTTTTTTAGCTTATATTTAGGGCTTTGTATTATTTTGAGTTAATTTTTGCCTTAATATGAAGTAGAAGACCTACTTCATCTTTTTTGTGTGTTTCTATCCAGTGGTCCCCGTATCATTTGTTGAAAAGACTGTTCTTTCCCCATTTAATCTTCTTGGCACTCTTGTGAATGACAGTTAATTTTTTTATTGACTACTGGACATTACAGATAATATCTTGTAGAAATGCAGAATTATGTTATTTTTCACTTGAGGTTTTTATTGTAACTGGAAATTTAGTTGCTGGTGGATCTCCTTGAATTTTCTTAGGCTTGCTTTTACACTTTGTTAGTGTAAACCAAAGGAAAGACTAAGGCGTTTCTGAATCCCACAAAATTGGCACTATTAGAATTCCACACTCTACATTCCCTTAGGATTTGGTCAGGACTTAAGTTTCAGCTTTGTTAGGATGTGGTTTCTATTCCTAGGGCTGTTTAACATCTCAGCTACTTGTTAAAGATATCTCTCCAGTGGTGGAGCCAGAAGTCCCCAGATAGTGCTTTTTCTGCTTTTCCCCATGATCAGCCCTGCTCCATTACTACACACTCCTTCAGATGCTAGATTTGGAAAGACCCAAACGGTCTGACTTTTTGCATATATATCTCAGTCCTCATGCACTGGCAGGAGTTTCACCTTGACCCATGGAGCTCCCTCGCTGCACAGCTCCATTCTCTCTAATGCTTCATCCCACAGATTCCAGTCACTTCAGCTGCCCCAACTCACCATTTGCTCTTCAGCCTTTGTGGAAATGCATATTCTGCTGGACTGACTTGGCATTGGTTGGAAAACTATCCACAGATGTGAAGCTGGGAATCTGTATGGTTAAACTCGAGTTTCCCCCTATACAGAGAACACAGCCTTACGTTGTCTGTTGCCCATTGCTTGAAAACAGTTTTTCTGTCTTATAGTTCTTGACAGTGGCAGGGCTAACCCAATGCTAATACTTCATTATAGCTATTTAATGTACACTTTTATAAGAAACCCTTATAATGGGTATGTATTTGCTTACTTTATCTAAATACTTATAATATTATATTCACGGGGTATTTATTCCATAAATTATTTGTGATAAATGATGACATATTTCACTATATGTGTAATATCCTGGATTGTTTTTTATAATTCTGCCTTGGACAATTTTGTAAAATTCAAAGAGAGACCGATAATTCTAAAATGGCAGTAAAAATTACAACATACCTATTTTAATAGCAGAAGGCTAAGGAAAACTGAGAAATGCCTTCTATAAATTAGCTGAATTATTTGAATGCTATTCAAATTACTAGAAATCGCTTACTAAAGAGTACAAATAACACGGTTGCTGAAATGATAACAAGGGAGAAATTATTCTAAATAAGTAGAGTGCTCAGCTGGAGGAAATAATTAGGTAATGAATGGTTAATTGGTAGAGTAGGAAGTTGGTGTGTAGGTACACTAAAGAAGATTAAAAAGTCTCAAGAGACATGGAGCAAGAGAGAAAGCAATTTGTTGTATTAACCACGACTCTTCCTTCCTCCACGTTTCTGAGAGATATGTAACAACATCATCTTTCAAGGAGAAACCTGATATCTTTTATTTATTCACCAAATGATGAAAATTATGCAAGCCAGAATAGAATTACTTAACACATGCAGCTAGAAGATTATCATAGAAGAAACACATATGTACAGTAGGCCACTCCTGTTCTCACCATTCAGTAGACTATGGCAGAAATAGCACATTGTCTGGTAGAATATGAACACACTTCCCCCAAATAACTTTCTTATGTAGTATTATTTTATTTATGAGATACAATAAATCACCAAGTCATATGAAATTCTGCTCGATGGGAAGAGACTCTCTGTTCTCCCGAAGACTTTAATTTCTCTAAAGTCTCTTGCAAGTTTAAGTTTTTATAATCAGATCTCCCAGCCCTATGAACAAGACAGTCTATATTTGTAGGGTTGCCAGAAGATATACAAGACTTCCAGTTAAATTATATATTATAGTCATAGAAAGATTTTTTTAAAATATAAGTATGTCCTAAATGTTGCATGAGATGCACAAATACAATAAATCCTCACTTAACATCATAGATAGGTGCTTGGAAACTGCAACTGAAAGTGAAATGAGGTACTGTATAATAAAACAAATTTTACCATAGGCTAATTGATAAAACAAGAGTTAATTTCCTACTGCATACAATATGTCTTTTCACTTTAAATCCCAGTTTCCAATAATCTATTACAATACTATAAATTATTTATTATTCACCTGTAGAAACTTTTTGTTTTTTTCTGGTTGTTTTCAGTATTTTTATCTTTTTTTTACAATTTGACTATTTCCCTTCAGTGTTGGATAAAGCAAGTAACTTGCTCCTAACCAAAAGAAAATGGCAAAACTATAAGGATTTTGTTGATATAATTAAGACTTCTAATTAGTTGATTTTCAGCCAATAAAAGGGAAATTATCCTGGTTAATATGCAGGAATTCTCTGAAACAGGAAACTTGAAACTGTAAAGATGCTATGCTGTTGGCTTGGAAAAAGTGATATGGTAAATTACTATGGAGGGCTTTCCTCTGGGACCTGAAAGCTCAGTCTTATCACCAAAAGGAACTGAATTCTGCCAATTACCTGAGTAAAAATCAGTAGATGGCCCCAAGCTCCAGGTGAGAACACAATAGTCAACATCTTGGTTTAAGCCTTGTGAAGAAAAGAAATCACATAGGCTGTGTCTGGACCCTTGATCCAGGGAAACAATGAGATAATAAATGTATGTTTTGTAAAGCCACTAAATTTGTGGTCATTTTTTATGCAGTTTAGAAAACTAATACAGAAACTTCAGTGCCAAGCATAAATAGTTGGATGTAATTACACTTTCACTTATTGTATGTATATATCTTCATCTAGTCCAAGAGTTGTTTTCTTCCTAAAACACATCGTTAGATAAAATACATATGAACATAAAAAAGTTTTATTCTCACTAATTTTCCCTTATATCTGTAACTTTTCTCCCAGATTAAATTCTAAAAATCCAAAGAGTTTATCCTTATTTGTCTCCCAGTGTCACCTGTCACATGGCTAAGTTTATTCTGGTATTCAATCAATATTTGCTGATTATAAAAACAAAACCATAAACTCAGTGGATTGGACATTTCATAATTAAATAAATAAAACAATGGTGTAAATAAACCAAGAAAAATGGTTAATTGGCTAATATGCAATGTTAACTCATTTAAATAAGGTAAAATGATTTCTGCCTTTTACTGAAATGTTTCCTCTTACCCTCTTATTTACATATTTGCATAAGTCCTCTTCTCTAAAAGGTTTTAAGATAATTTTAATAATATATTTCTCTATATTTTCATATTTTTTCTCCCATTTTATTAATGTTTTACTTTAATAATTAGAATCATATTCTTCTATTTTATTATGTTCAGAAAGTTTTTAAATATAATATTAATCTGAGTATTTTGTGTGTAGCAATATTTTATTTGTATTGCTGTGATTAAGTTTTTGTTAATATAAGCTAAATATAAAAATGGCATCAGTATGAGCTTTTGGAAATCTTTAAAGTCTACTGCAATTCCATGTAGATGAAGTATATTTAAATTTAATTAGTGTTATACTTGTTTTTAGTATAATTCATATGCCTCTTTTTGGCTAAATATAAACATTATACTTAAAAAATTTAACATCTTAAGAATTTTAGATATCTATGCATAAGAAAACTAATATCTGTAATTTATTATATTGGTTAAAGTGCAAACCTGAAGTAAGCATTTTATATACACAAAATAAATTAATATTAATAACTCATGAAAATGAGATTTGAATTCTGAATATATTTATCCAGCCTGGAGAAAGATAATTATTTAAACTGTAAAGAAATTTGGAGTAATAAAAGGTAAACAGAAAACTATAAAACATAGATGTTTCATTTTACACAAGTATGTAAAGTTGGTCTTAGACATAAATTTAGTGTGTGAAAAATTTAATGTAAGGTTATGCTACTTTAGAAAGAATTTGATCATGTGCCCAGTACTGACATCCTATAGCTAATTTAAACTGAAGACATTTACATATTTCTGGCTTCAGACTGCTAAATTGAAACGTGTAGGCTCTAACTGCATTCCAAAAATTATTTGTAGGGAGTTTTAGAAAAAGATCTTTGAAATCTTGTTGGAATGCTGTTTATATATTAAGTATGTCAATATGTAACGTGACTAAATCAGTGAATGTACAAATCAGTTTCAAGGGAAGAACATCTGTGAAATCTGAACATCTGTGAAATTCTTTTACAATCATCTTAAATTTTATTTAGAATTGCATGGGGTGTCTTGAGAGTCCCCAGTTATTCTCTTGAACTTATTGCTATCTCAATCTGCATGTCATACCACTAATCTCTTTTGATTGTTAATCAGTTTCACTTTGAGATATGAGGATCAGACAAAATTCAATACGTTTGAAACCAAACTCACTCTTCCTGTGAAATGGACTGTCTTCCCTGAATATCTGATTTATGTACTTAGCCATTAACCAAGATCAAACATATTTTTTCTGAATTTCCCCACTGATACCTTCAATTGCTTGTCATATCTTGCTAATTCTTCCCTCAAGTTGTCTATTATATCTGCTAGCTCTATTTTCTCACAACATACATAGAAATACACACATTCTATTTCTGCTTTTCATTAAGGCCTGAGAAATCATTAATTTTAAATAGCTTGGAAGCTTTCTAATTCTTTCTAAGCTTTCCTCTTTAATTTATCCTGCATGTAAATATCAAATTAATCTTATAAGGTTTCTTCATGTAATTTTCTTACTCAAACAAAAGCAATAGTATTCATTTAACATACCATCCAACATTTTACAATGTTTTCAAGACTCTTTCTATATCACAGTTTTCTATCCTCTATATATGAATTTCATTTATTAGTCACCTCATGTTGTCCTTTTGCATTTCACATGGTAAATCCTAAGTTCCCCAGATTGGCTTTTTACTTTATGTATAACAAATGAAATTTGTTAACATTTGGCTTTGAAAACTAAAAAGCCCTACCAATTATTACTAAAGAAATCTTAAGAAAATACATTTCTCTCATGTAGCTCAGGAAAGCAATTTCTATTCTCTTATTATGAAAGCATTCTTGCCAAATGTCATTTTTAAAAAGCCACCTTAAAAGTCACATGGACCTTAAGCATTACTGGTTTGTGCAGTAATGCTTTTTCTGCTAAAAAGTCCTGATACTGAGAAAATATTTGAAAGGTGTTTTACCTCACCAGGAAGACAGGGGGGAAAAGGTAACCCAGGCAGAACTAACAACTTGTGGTAAAGGCACAACCTTGTGTAAAACTGTGGAATGTTCACGGATCACTGAACCATGTTGGTCTATGGGTTGAAGTGAAAAACCAGGGCACATGATGAGTTTTGAAAGGCAGAGGAGTATGAATTATGTAAGTCTTAGGGTTAAAAAGAACTAAAGGCCAGGTATTTATTTACTATTGTTGTAAACAGAAAAGTAAGTCATCACAATTTTATGTGACTTTCCATGGGATACATAAATGTAGCATTCATCATTAAATAAAAGATGGCCTCTGAATATCTTGTTCAAATATAATTTAAACTTAATATGTTCTAATGTTGTAATAGACATAGGGATATAAACTCCTCACATTTTGGTAAGAGAGACAGGCAAGAAAATGACTAATAACAATGTGGCATAGCATATATGTTTATTGTCCATAAAATTGTTATTTTGTGGTTTTTTCTTCTTTAGTTTCTGAATTTGTGTAAAGATTATTTTCTCTGGTGTTATGTTATAATTTTGTGCTGTGCGTGTGTGTGTGTGTGTGTGTGTGTGTGTTGTATGTTTTTCAGTATGAGGTTACCATGAGGCTTGCAAATAACATCTTTAACTCATTATTTTAAACTGATGACAACTCTGATCAAACAAGCAAAGAGAAACACAAAAATTGTACATTGTTATCATAAGCAAAAAAAAAGACAGCAAAAAGAGAACTAATAAAAATATACATCTTAAAATTTTCCCCCTCCTTTTTTTAACTTCTGGTTGTTTCTTTTTATATCTTATAGTACTGTCCATGTCTTGAAAATTTGTTGTAGTTATTATTTTTGATTGGTTCATTGTTTAGTCTTTCTACTTAAGATAACAGTAGTTCACACACCAAAGTTACTCAGTTACAATACTGTGTTTTTCTGTGCAATTCCTATTACCAGTGAATTTTATAACTTCATATGATTTCTTATTGCTTATTAACATCATTTTCTTTTTGATTGAAGTTCTTCCTTTAGCATTTCTTGTAGAACAGGACTGGTGTCAATTAAATCTCTCAACTTTAGTGTGTCTGTGAAAGTTTTTATTTATCCTTTGTGTTTGAGGGATATTTTTGCTAGATATACTATTCTAGGGTAAAAGGTTTTACTTATTTTTCTTCAGCACATTACACATGCCATGCCAGTCTCTGCTGGCCTGTAAGTTTTCCACTGAAAAGTCTGCTCCTAGACACGAAGGAGCTCCCTTGTATGTTAATTTGTTTCTTTGCTCCTGCTGCTTTTATAATCTGTTCTTTGTCCTTGACCTTTGGGAGTTTAATTATTCAATGTCTTATTTGAGTTAAATCTGCTTGGTGTTTTATAATCTTCTCACAGTTGAATGTTGGGATCTTTCTTTAGGTTTGAGAAGTTCTCTGTTATCGTGCCTTTGAATAAACTTTTACCCCTATCTCTTTCTCTACCTCTTCTTTAAGTCGAAAACTCTTAGATTTGCCCTTCTGTGGCTATTTTCTAGATCCTCCAGTTGTGCTTCAATGTGTTGTGTTCTTTTTTCTTCTCTGACTGTATGTTTTAAAATAACCTGTCTTCAAGCTCATTAATTTTCCTTCAGCTTGATCATTTCTGCTATTAAAAGACTCTGCTGCATTCTTCAATGTGTCATTTGCATTTTTCAACTCGAGAATTTCTGCTTGATTCTTTTTAATGATTTCATTCTCTTTCTTAAATTTATCTGATAGGATTCTGAATTCCTTCTCTGTGTTATCTTAAATTTCTTTACGTTTCCTCAAAACAGATATTTTGATTTCTCTGTCTGAAAAGTCACATATCTCTGTTTCTCCAGGACTGGTCTTTGGTGCCTTATTTAGTTCACTTGGTGGCCTCATGTTTTCCTAGATGGTCTTGATACTGGTGGATGTTCATCTGTGTCTTGGCATTGAAGAGTTAGGTATTTATTATAGTCATCATATTCTGGAATTGCTTGTACTTGTCTTTCTTGGGAAGGCTTTCCAGGTATTTGAAAGAACTTGAGTGTTGTGATCTAAGCTGTATCTGCATTATAGGCCACCTGAAGCCCAGTAACAC
Source organism: Homo sapiens (assembly GCF_000001405.40). NCBI lineage: Eukaryota > Metazoa > Chordata > Mammalia > Primates > Hominidae > Homo > Homo sapiens. Next base: position 188,293,316 of record NC_000001.11, on the reverse strand, counting down.
TATGATACTTGCAAACTAATAGAGGTACTGCCTTTATGGTCCTGGATAAGATCCAGAAGAATTCTGTGGATTACGAGGCAGAGATTCTTGTTCTCTTCCCTTACTTTCTCCTGAACAAATGGAGTCTCTCTCACCCTGTTGTAAAGTACCTGGGGCTAGGGGTGGGATGACACCAGCATCCCTGTGGCCACTACCACTAGGACTGTACTGATTCAGATCTGAAGTCAGCACATCACTGGGTCTTGCCCAAGGCCCACTGTAACCACTCCCTGACATCTGCTGATGTTGGCTCAAGGGCCTGGGGCTCTATAATCAGCAGTTGGTGAAACCAGCCAGACTTGTATTCTTCCTTTCAGGGTGTCAAGCTTCCCCAGACCTCAAGTGGGTCCAGGGGTGCCAACTCTGAGCCAGGGACTGGAATAGGAAACCTTAGAAGTCTACCTGGTATTCTATTTTACTGTGGCTGAGCTGGCACTCAAACTATGAGAGATATCTTTCCCACTATTCCCTCCCTTTTCTGCAGTCAGAGGAGCCTCACCCAGTGGCCATCACCACTGCCCCACAGGGAGCATTGTTAGGCTACTGCTGATGTTCCCTTTAGGTCCAAGGGCTTGTCAGTCAGCTTGTGATAAATGCTACCTGGCCTGCAACTCACCCTTCAGGGAAGTGGGCTCCCCTCTGTGGGCAGGCATCAGCTGAATTCAGGCTGGTTTTGATTTATTTGTGACAGAACATCCTTGAATTCAATCTAATGTCTCACAATTGTTGTGCTCTCCCTCTCCCAAGTGCACAGTTTTTCTCTCTCAATGCCACACAGCTGCTGTTGGAGATGGGAGAGGAGGGCATCCCTGATTCAAGGCTCTTTCCTACCATCTTTAGTTCCTCTTTTCATGATATGAAGTCAAAACCAGGTACTATCAGTGCTTATGTAATTTTTGGTTCTTATTAAGGTGCTTGCTTTGTCTAGATAATTGTTAAATTGGTATCCTTTCAGTGGGGCCACGTTCAGTGAAGCCTTCTGCTTAGCCATCTTGTCCCTCTCCTCTGCTCTACTTTCTAATTTCAATAATTTTAAGCAAATTTTCTTCAAAATTGCCTTCTCAACAGGTTGCCACATCCTTTTGTTTTATGCATATTTTGATAACATATTCAAAAGATTGTATTTTATTATTTAAATTGCCTCAATAATTTTAAATATGCAGGACCTTATCTCATGACAGGTAGAGACAGTAAAGAAACAAAGTCATACTGTAATGATCTTTCAAAATATTCATGTCAATTTTATTCTCACATTATATTTTATTATCTCTAATTTCCATCTTCCTTGGAACATCTTAGCTATACTTTATTGTAAAATTTATAGCGTAATCACTTGTCAAGTTAAACATTATAAGTACACTGATTTAGTCATATTGCTTTAACCTTTAGAAATTATAGCAATAACCTCATAAAAATAAATTCAGCAATTAGGCTCAAATTATGGCTATGTATTTTACTTAATACTTAGTAGTTTATTAATTAATATGAGAGGCATAAAATAAAATATGAATCCTTATTTTCCTAAAAATATTTATGAATAAAACTCAGTCTTATTGTATAAGTATATAGCCTGTAACTTACTGACTGACATTAACAGACCCAGACTGAATGTAGAGAATAGGTATATAGATCACCCAATAGCAACGCTTGTACATTATTAATTTGTACACAGTAGTGGTAGTTGATATGTACAATAGACAGACTGCTGCATTTTTGAAACAAAATAGAGAAAATATCTCTTAAATATTATAATGATGATTTTTTTCATAAATTAGATATATTTTTTTCTTTAAGGTACTTCTAAGTGATAAATAAAGATCACATGGAAGAATTATTATGAATCTCAGAGTACCAATTACTGGTTTTAAAATGTACAATAAATGTTGGAAAAAAGGCTGAAATAAAATACAAATTTATAAAGGATAAGTAATTAAAGAAAATTTTATCAATAGATTTTTCTTTATGATAAATCCATTATTTATTGGAACCATAAAATAATGTGAACAAGTCATTATATATGCTTATTTTTCTGTTATTCTACCATTTAAAAAATGTATTACCTCAAAAAATGGAAAAATATTTCCAAATGATAAAATCCATACTTCTTTGTGTCTGCTAATAGTAAAGTAAGAAAATGCTGTGATGTGGTTTGGCTGTGTCCCTCCCCACCCAAATCTTGAATTGTAGTTCCCATAATTCCCACATGTTCTGGGAGAACACAGGGGGCAGGAGGTAATTGAATCATGGAGGTGGTTACTCCTATGCTGTGAGTTCTCACATAATCTGATAGTTTTATAAGGGGCATTTCCCCCTTTGCTCGGCACTTCTCTCTTCTGCTGCATTGTGAAGAAGGATACATTTGCTTCCCCTTCCACCATGATTAGGTTTCCTGTGGCCTCCAAATCATGTGGAACTGTGAGTCAATTAAACCTCTTTTCTTTACAAATTACTCAGTCTTGAGTATATCCTCATAGCCATGTGAGAATGGACTAATACAGTAAATTGGTACCAAGGGAGTGGGGTGCTGCTATAAGGATACCCAAAAATGTGAAGCAACTTTGGAACTGGGTAACTGGCAGAGGTTGGAACAGATTGGTGGGCTCAGAAGAAGACAGAAAAATGTGGGAAAGTTTGGAACTTCCTAGAGACTCTTTGAATGGGTTTGACCAAAATGTTGATAGTGATATGGACAATGAACACCAGGCTGAAGTGGTCTCAGATGAAGATGAGGAACTTGTTGGAAACTGGAGGAAAGGTGACTCTTGTTATACTTCAGCAAAGAGGCTGGCAGTATTTTGCCCCTGTTTTAGAGAGTTGAAACTTTGAACTTGAGAGAGATGATTTAGGATATCTGGTGGAAGAAATTTCTAAATGGCAAAGAGTTCTAGAGGAAGCAGAGCATAAAAGTTTGGATAATTTGCAGCCTCATGATGCAATAGAAAAAAAATCATTTACTGGGGATAAATTCAAGCCTGCTGCAGAAATTTGTATAAGTAACAAGGAACTGAATATAATCACCAAGACAATGGGAAAAATGTCCCCAGGGCATGTCAGACATCTTGACAGCAGCCCCTCCTATCACAGGCCTGGAGGCCTAGGAGAGAATAATGGTTTCATGGGACAGGATCAGGGTCCCTCTGCTCTGTACAGTCTCGGGTCATGGTATCCTGTGTCCCAGTCACTCTAGCTGAGGGCTAAAAGGGGCCAAGGTACAGCTGGTGCCATTGTTTCAGGGGGTGCAAGCCCCAAGCATTGGTGGCTTACATGAGGTGTTGGGCCTGCAAGTGCACAAGAGTCAAGAATTGAAGTTTGGGAACCTCTGCTTAGATTTTAGAGGATGTATGAAAATGCCTGGATGTCCAGGTGAAAGTTTGCTGCAGGGACAGAGCCCTCATGGAGAATCTTTGCTAGGGCAGTACAGAAGGGGAATGTGGGGTTGAAGCTGCCACACAGAGTCCCGACTGGGGCACTGCCTAGTCGAGCTGTGAGAGTAGGGTCACCGTCCTCCAGACCCCAGAAGGGTAGATCCACCAGCAGCTTGCACCATGTGCCTGGAAAAGCCACAGGCACTCAATGTCAGCCTGTGAAAGCAGCTGGGAGGAGGGTTGTATACTGTAAAGCCACAGGGGCAGAACTGCCCAAAGCCATAGGAGCCCACCTCTTGCATCAGGATGACCTGGGTGTGAGACTTGGAGTCAAAGGAGATAATTTTGCAACCCTAAGGTTTAATGACTGACCTATTAGATTTCAGGCTTCAATGGGGCCTGTAAGCCCTTGGTTTTGGCCAATTTCTTCCATTTAGAACAGGTGTATTTACCCATTGCCTGTACTCTCATTGTACTGGGAAGTACGTAACTTGCTTTTGATTTTACAGGCTCATAGGCTGAAGGGACTTGCCTTATCTCAGATGAGACTTTGGAGTTGGACTTTTGGGTTAATGCTGGAATGAGCTAAGACTTTAGGGGACTGTTGGAGAGGCATGTTTGTGTTTTGAAATGTGAGGACATGAGATTTGAGAGGGACCAGGGGCAGAATGATATGGTTGGCTGTGTCCCCACCCAAATCTCATCTTGAATTGCAGTTACCATAATCCCCATGTGTCATGGAAGGAACTCAGTGGGAGGTAATTGAATCATGGGGGTGGTTACTCCCATGCTGTTCTTGTGACAGTGAGTGCATTCTTACAAAATCTGATGGTTTTATAAGGGGCTTTTCCCCCTTTGCTCTTCACTTCTCTCTCCTGCTGCAATGTGAAAAGGACATGTTTGCTTTCCCTTCTACCATGATTATAAGTTTCCTGAGGCCTCCCCATCCATGTGGAACTGAAAGCGCATTAAAACTCTTTCCTTTATAAATTACTCAGTCTCGGGCATGTCCTTATAGCAGCATGAGAATGGAACCATGCTGGAATCAATGATACAGTTTCAAAGTTTTATTTGAAAAAAGCAATGAACCTTATTAAAATAAATTATTTGGATTACATTTTTATTCCATGAAAGCCAGCATTATCACAAAATATCTCTTTTAAGAACCTCTAAATTCAACATTTTATGGATCTGATAATAACATATAAAGGTATTGACTTACTAAGACAAACATGTTAAGAAAAATTTAATGTCACTTTTAAACACAAATTGTTCTATGTAATTTTATGTTTATCATAGTGAATGTTATTTTTTACATATAGGTTAAGTAAGGCTATTTAAAATTATTCTAAATACATATTCAACAATTTTTTTTAAGTTAAGGAATGCCTTGATATTTCAATCAATTTCCAATGTAAGCCTATATATTTTACTTGTGCCAAAGAAGAACATACACTTTAGATACCACTATTATTCTTATTTTAAAGGTGAGACAATACTCAAATAATTAAATGAATTTTTTTCTATGAAAAAAACTAGCAATAATTAAAACTGAAGACAACGATCACATTTTTGTTATATTGTTGGCATTTTGATTCACTCCAAACTTGTATATTAGTTTGTTCTTTTACTTAAATATTTTTCATTAAGTTTAGAGAACTATTGCTATGACTCGTTCATTATTGGAAACTACAGAATATACGGTATTCGATGAAATGTTTAAATGCCCAGATATCCTCAGAATAAATATCTACAGAACCTGACCAGTGATATGCTCTGACTCAAGCCAGATACTCTCTCTGACATATTCTGAAGTTCGAAACAAATGTTACTCTACATCTAAGACAAAACCTTAAGAACTAAGAATTAAGCTGAGCAAACTAATTATAAAACTGAGTCAAAAATGTACAGTCAAGTTGGAAAACCAGGGAGCCTAAAGCAAGCCAGAGAAGAGAGTCAGGGTTATGCTGGGTGTAGCAGAGGCAAGTCTGTGGTTTACTTTCATCAGTCAGCACATCAGCCCAGCCTGAAGAAACAAGATCAGTTTGCTGAGACACTCATGCATTATTCCATGTATTCCAGACTGAGTTTTGTAATTTTGTTACAGGACAACAAACTTACCAAATGAAAAACTGGTTAAGCATATAGGCGGCTTTCTTTTCAGATGCCATCTAATATATAAGTTTTTATGCACAGCAAACCTAAAAAGCAGCAGTCCAGAACCCATTGGTATTAATGTGTCATATGAAAGATATTAATGAAAAAGTGCCTTGTAAATACAAAATGAAGACTAGAACTATTGTAATTTGTAGCATTTATGAAAGAGAACTCTAAGTGTGGTATTACTGATCTGAACATAGTCTTTCTGTCTCTACAAAACCAACTGGACCATACATGTTTCAGTCTCTTTCATTACCTCCATCTACCCCTTTTTAAACTTTATTGTTATCTAGATATGGAAGTTTGGAATACAAAACTATTGATACCATGAATACTATCAGAATTGTTAGGGTAGAAAGGATAATTGTTCAAGCAAACAAATAAATTCTACTTTGCCACTGTATATGTTGCTTAAGATACTGTAGCATTTAATTTCTACCCCAAAATTTAGTGGTATAAATAACACCCACTTGTTTAGGTCACAATTCTGTATACCTGTGATTTGGGTTTAGTTCAGCTAAGCAGTGCTTCTGCTGGGATTGACTTGTCTCATTCATGCATCAGCAGTAAGCTAGCAGTTGATGTCTTTACTCACATTCTCGTATTTGGCAATTGGTTGTCAGCTAATTCAATGATAACAATTGTGTCTCTCTTCATCCCAGGGGGTCTCATCATCAAATAGGTTAGCTTGGATTGGTTCACTTACTGGTTATAGAGTTCCAAAAGTAGCAAGCATGAAAGCCTCAACTCCCCAATGGTTTGTAAGCTCCTGCTTTTGTCACAATTGTAATGTCTCACTGGAGGAAGCAAGTTGTGCAACAAATTCTGATTCATGGGCTAAGACAAAAAATACCATTTGACCCAGAAATCCATTACTGGGTATGTACCCAAGGGAATATAAACCATTCTATTATAAAGACACATGCACACATATATTCACTGGAGCACTAGTCACAATAGCAAAGACATGGAATCAACCTAAATGCCCATCAATGATAGATAGATTGGATTTAAAAAATGTGGTACATATACACCATGGAGTGCTGTGCAGCCATAAAAAAAAAAAAAAAAAGCCGAGATCATGTCCTTTGCAGGGCCATGGATGGAGCTAGTGGCCATTATTCTTAGCAAACTAACTCAGGCACGAAAACCAAGTATCACATGTTCTCACTTATAAGTGGAAGCTCAATGATGACAACACATGAACATGTATAGGAGAACAAAAACACATTGGGGCCTATCGGAGGGTGGAGGGTGGAAGGAGGGAGAGGATCAAGGAAAAATAACTAATGGGTACTAGGCTTAATACCTGGGTGATGAAATAATCTGTACAACAAACCCTGATGACACAAGCTTACCTATATAACACACCTGCACATGTACCTCTAAACTTAAAATTAAAAATATAAATAAATAAAATAAAATAAAGACAAAAGAAAATAGACTCTGCCTCTGATAACAGAGGAGCAATAATTTGGCCACAAATAGGAGAGCTCTAACTCAAGATTAACAAGTAGGCAAATTTGTTATCTCATGTAACTTAGAAGCCCAGAGATAGAGTATCCTTGAAAATTATTGATTTAGGAGCTCAAAAATGACATAAACATTCTTTCAGGTCTTTTCTAACTTGAAGAAATGCTCATGGCATATAAAGACCTGTAAAATAATGACCAGAGCAGGTCCAGATGTCTCCTTTCACAAAGAAAGAATAAAGGCATCAGGAAATGGGAATGGGAAATAATTTCTGATGAATGGGAAAACTTTCCCAGAATCCCCCAGGGATCTCTTTTTATTTAACATTGGCTATATTTGTGTTACAAAACCGTTCCTGAAACAATCCTTTCATAGGAGATGAAATCATCATGACTATCTTAGACTGAACAGGTAGCAAGGGATGGATTAATTCAATAATGATTAATCGCATACCTACTATACTAGGAACCTGGGATATAACAACGAATTCAATAGTCTCATTTCTCATGGAGTTTACAGTCTAGTCAGATGGACATATAATAAACAAATAAAAACACATATAATGTACTACTGATAATAAAAGCCGCTAAGGAAGGAAAAAAAAGGTTAAAATGAATATGGAAAGCCAGAGAATGGATTGGGGCTTTATTTTTTTATAAGAGAGTTTAGTGATGTCTTATTGGCCAGGTAACCTTTGATCAAAGACTTGTAAAAAATGAGGTACTATGTCATATGGTTATCTGAGGGAAATAACTACCCATGCAGAGGGAAACCACTTGCAAAGACTGAACCTGAAAGAGGCTTATTCGAGGAAAAGAAAAAAAGGCCAATGATCTTGGATAGAATAACCTAGGGTTAGAGGGGTAAAAAACAAAAAGTTAAAGGAGATAAAATCACATAGATCCTCGTACGCTACAATAAGGTTTTCATCTGTTCCTCCAATTGAAAGAGAAAGGCATTTGAGGATTTTGAATTAAATTGTAACATATCTGAATATATTTTCGAATACTCTGTTATGTGGATAATAGACTATACGGGGCAGGGGCAGGATTTGAAAGAGCAGAACATTGCAACACTCTAGGTGAGCAACAGTGGTATCTTTGGCCAAGCTAGTTATAACAGAGAGGTGCTATGGTTCTTGATATATGTTAATGATAGAACAGAGATAATTCGATGATGAATTTGATGTACATTATAAAAGTAAACTCTGAGTTGTATATTTCTCATTTATAAAAGAACACATATTTCAGAGTGTTGTTGTAAAGACTATATGATATAATTTATGTAATATTATATTCAATAATTTATTATATCCAGCCTTTCATCTCACCCTAAAAGATTATAGTTCATTGTGCTAGTACATTGAATTTTTAGCTAATAGGTATTTCATATACCATGAAACTTCTAAATTAGGAGGTAGGGATGGATTTGAGTGAATCTTGGGAAATAAAGTTTAAAACTGAGTTTAAAGGTCAGGAAGGTATGAGCAGAAAACAGGAAGGCAAATGAAGTGTAATGAGATAGAAGTATTTGATTCTAGGTCACATTGTTTTTACTGTTCTTTATTACTGTTAATGTTAACTGGTTACCTATAGAGGTTAAATAACAAAAATGCTCCCTTCTTCATCAGGTCTTGTCATTTTGGATGAATTGTAACTTTTCCCAAGGGCTCCAAATAAAATACCTGGAAATATTGTAGTGTAATCTCAAATTCAGCAGACTAGTTCACATGACACTTTTCCTGGCCCATATCCTTCCTAGCAAGCAGACACTAGCATTATCTTTATCAGTACATTTTGCTGCCTTTCATAAGCTCAGCTTTCTGTAAGCCTACTTATTTTATCTAACAACAATGTGATTTTAATAAAACCATTTGTTATCTGAAATGTTAAATATTATTATTTGTCTTTTTAAATACATTTTTGCAGTTATACTTACTGTGTCACAAAAATCATTCCTTGCAATTTCTACCTCTGCATTATTAGTATAAAATATGGGAAAACTCTGATATAAATGTATTTTCAAATCTATGGATTTAGTTTTAGGATATAGCAATATTTGGTTTTACTATAACTTTCACTATAATATGGGATACTTTTTGTCCTCAATAAGACAATTCCTGATAACATGGTCACATTATTAGAGGTTTAAATGACCTTTCAGAGAAGCTAATTTTCTATGAGACATAATTTTATTCATAAAATTTGTATTTGTGAACTACAGTAATATATATATATTTCTTCATTATGCACAATGTTATGTCACCTTTACTGCCAACATAGATAAAACTGACGATAATTTACTTTTGTTTGTTTTAATAATATTCCAGCAGAGATCTTCTTATACAGTCTCTATCTCTCTCTTTCTCTTTCATTCTCTCTCTTTCTCTGTGTGGGTGTGGGTGTGTGTGTGTGTGTGTGTGCCTGTGTGTGTCTGTTTAAATTAAGTCTAACCTAACAAACCGGGACGTAAGTTCATTGTTTCAATTTGGGTTAAATATCATAGCAAATTTTTAGCACTCAAATTTTATATTCAAAGATAGATTTTGGCTGCTGGCTCTGTAGTACTTTGAGATAAAATGTGTTTATTTAGAAATTATCCTGGCTGTTTTAATAAATCAGTGGTGTTAAATGTCTTGAAAACAACATAAGTAGGCAGCCTGTAAGTTCTACTTTTCCACAGTGTCAGCCAAGCTCTGCAACTACATAAATTTCAGTGCCACAGTATTCATAGCTTATAGAAAACAGGAAAGATATGGTGTTAGTTTCTCTATAGAATCATATGTAGTCTTGGCAAAGTTGGAATAAAAGGATAACCACTTTTTGAGCATATGACGGTGACTTCAAAATTCAAATGTGTACATGTATGATATAAGTTGAACAATAAAATTATCTCTCAAAAAGTGGTAGTTTCCCATGGTTCAATCTAAAATGTGTGAAAATCTGAATATATGGAAAATCCAGGATAATATTCCATCACTACTATGTTATTGTATATATGAAAAGTTAATAAAATTTTGAGAATATAGAAATAAAAATAAAGTGAAGTAGTTATAAAAATCATCTAAAATCACTAAGGTGAGTCTAAATTACTTAATATGGATCATGCAACTTTTTCAAGTACAAGCTATTCTTATAATTTCTTGTTGATGCTATTGACTTACATGCTGTAATATACAATATTGGGTTTATGCAATTTAAAGTCCTGAAGTTTGTCATTAACATCTCTCTTTCCCTTTGAATGTAACTCTCCCTCCTCCCAGAGTTAATTCTTCCAAGATACATAAGAAAACATATTCCCCTTTTGTACTTGAATCTATAATATTGTGAAATATATATTTGGTTTTCCCTATTTCCTGACATACAACTCCTACAATCCTTGGAATATCCAAAGTGATGTCTTTTTGTATTTAATGATTTGACTAATGGCTGGCAGCCCCAAGGTAGCTTCAGGATGGAGACTGGTCACAGGAGTTTTATGTCTTATGTTTAAGTCTACAATCTATTTTGAGTTAACCTGTATATGAGGTAACATAAGAATCCAATTTCATGATTTTGCATGCAGATATCCAGTTTTCCCAGCATTATTTATTGAAGAGACTGTCTTTTCTTCTCAGTTTAATATATATATATGCGATTATCTCTGGAATCTGTATTCTATCCATTGGTCTATATGTCTATTTTTATGCCAGTATCATACATTTTTATTACTTTTATATTTTAAAATCAGGACGTGTGATGCCTCAAATTTTGTTCTTTTTATTTCATATTTGACACATAATAATTGTACTTATTTTGGGGAGTACAGCGTGATGTCTCAGTGCATGTATACAATGTATAATAATCAAATTAAGGTAATTAGTGTATCTATAACCTGAAACATTTATCATTTCTTTTGGTGAGAAAAGTCAATATTCTCTCCTGTATCGATTTTGAAATGTACAATGTATTATTGTTCATTATAATCACCCTACTGTGCAATGGAACACTAGAACTTAAGCTCTTTGTCTAATTGTAACTTTTTACTCATTGGCCAATCTTTCCCCATTCACTCCACTCCACTATCCTTCCAAGCCTCTGGTAAAGACTGCTTTACTCTATGAAAACAACATTTTTAGATTCCACATATGAGTAAGATCGCTTGGTATTTGTCTTGCTGTGCCTGGATTATTTCACTTAGCATAACGTCTTCCAGGTTTATCCAAGACATAATTAGAAGTTGGGAACTTTCAGCCCATTCTCCCAACTTCCAGGAAGGGGATTAGTGCTGAAGGTCAAGTTGATGGTAAAGGCCAATGATTTAGTCAATCATGCCTATGGAATGAAGCTTCCATAAAAATCGAAAAGGACTGAGTTTAGATGGAAAGATAAACATACAGAGATTCCTAGAGTGTGTCTCCACAGAGAGGGCATGAAAGCTTCATGCTCCTTCCCACATAAACTCACCCTATGCATCTCTTTACCTATATTCTTTGTAATGTTTCCATATAGTAAACCAGCAAATGAAAGCTAAGTGTTTCGCTGATTTCTGTGAGCCACTCTTGCAAATTCATCAGGAGGGGGTAGTGGGAACCCCAATTAATAGTTGATCAGTCAGAAGTGTAGGTGACAGCCTTAGGATTGTTGTCTGAAGTAAGAGCAGTCTTGTGGGACTAAGCCCTCAACCTAGAGGATCTGATTCTCTTTACAGGTAGATAGCGTCAAAACTGAATTGAATTAGAGGTCACTAAGCTGGTGTCCACTGCAGAATTGATTGACTGCTTAGTGTGGCGGAAATAGCCCCATATATCTAGGATCACAGAAGCATTCTGTGTTGTGAATGGAAAAGGAGAGAGAAGCAGTTTGGTTTTTCCTTTAGAGAAACCCATTAAGGACCCTTTCTGCCCATATTAGACGACAAAAAGAAAATCTAGAATTTGTTGATTATTTCAAACTGGAGGGCAGAACATTTTAGTCAGAGTCCTGCCCCAGAAATCTGAATCCAATGCAAATAGACCATTAAGATCTAAAATGGCAGAAGTAGGGAGCAGTAGCAGGAATAGTTCAGTTCCTTGATCACTGCTACCAGGTCAGGCTCAGAATTATGTTTTAAACAACTCTCAGTATATTTGTATTAACTCTTTGAATTTAAGCTTTGTTTCAGAGGGAACAAAGACCTTATTCAAGAATGCCAAATAAAAAAGCAACCAGGATAACTACAAATCATTTATCGCTTATGAAACACACATTTTTATTCGCGCTGCTATTCAAATAATTTCATTAACTGAATAGTTAAGGGACCATGCACTTAATTAACATGGCTCCTTAAGTAACTTGAGAGCCAATAAGTGACTTTACCAGCCAATGTAGAGAAGGCAGCCACTGCTTTTTTTTCATATTTTGATAGTCAGTGCAATGTCTTTGTTTGCTCTTTACTCCTGGCCTGTGCATAAAAATGATATTTTGCTCATGAAAATGCTTCATCCCGAAGAGGCTAATGAGGTTAAGGTGTGATATGGTTTGACTGTGTCCTAACCCAAATCTCATCTTTAATTGTAGCTCCCATCATTCTCACATGTTGTGGGAGGGACCTGGTGAGAGGTATTTGAATCATGTGTGCGGGTCTTTCCTGTGCTGTTCTTGTGATACTGAATAAGTCTCATGAGATCTGATGGTTTTATAAGGGAGAGTTCCCCTACACAAGCACTTTTTCCTGCTGCCATATAAGACTTTCCTTTGCTCTTCCTTCATCTTCTGCCATAATTGTGAGGCCTCCCCAGCCATGTGGAACTGTGAGTCAATTACACCTTTCTCCTTTATAAATGACCCAGTTTTGGGTACGTCTTTATTAGCAGAGTGAAAACAGACTAATACGGTATGACTTATGACATAGGTGAGTTGGGCCACAGTCAGCTTGGTGCCCTCCAGGGAAGTACAGAGAGACTGACATCATGGTTCTTAATGATGGTGAGGCAGGCTGTACTTTTATGCCAACTGGGTGTTTTAAACAATGACCTACCTTTTATTAATCTAGGGTTACATCACTCTTACTACTGCCTTTAACATTCTGATAAACAAGTGTGAGCACAACAGATGTTACTCTTTATATATTAAGCACAAGCAGGTGCTTTTCTCTTAGGAGCAATACAGTCTATCTTTATCAAAGCCGCAAAGGATATCAACAGACACTTCTCAAAAGAAGACATTTATGCAGCCAAGAAACGTAAGAAAAAAAGCTCATTATCACTGGTCATTAAAGAAATGCAAATCAAAACCACAATAAGATACCATCTCACACAATTCAGAAAGGCAATTATTAAAAGTCAGGAAAAAACAGATGCTGGCGAGGCTGTGGAGAAACAGGAACATTTTTACACTGTTGGTGGGACTGTAAATTAGTTCAACCATTGTGGAAGACAGTGTGGCAATTCCTCAAGGATCTAGAACCAGAAAAACAATTTGGCCCAGAAATCCCATTACTACATATATACCCAAAGGATTATAAATCATTCTGCTATAAAGGCACATGCAAATGTATGTTTATTTCAGTATTATTTACAATAGCAAAGACTTGGAAGCAATCCAAATTCCCATCAATGGGATAGACTGGATAAAGAAAATGTGGCACATATACACCATGGAATACTACGCAGCCATACATAAAAAAAGGAGTTCACGTCCTTTGCAGGGATATGGATGAAGCTGGAAGCCATCATCCTCAGCAAACTAACACGGGAACAGAAAACCGAACACTGCATATTCTCACTCATAAGCGGAAGGTGAACAGTGAGAATACATGGACACAGGGAGGGGAATATCACATGCCGTGGCCTGTCAGGGGTTGTGGGGCAAGGGGAAGGAGAGCATTAGGACAAATACCTAAGGCATGTGGGGCTTAAAACCTAGATGATGTTGGTAGGTCAGCAAACCACGATGACACATGTATACCTATGTAACAAACCTGTGCGTTCTGCACATGTATCCCGGAACTTAGAGTAAAATAAAAAACAATAAAAAATAAAGAAAAATAAATAAAAAATAAAACCTTATCAATGAATTGGTAGCCTAATAAACAACTAAATATGTATATAAGTTTAGGGGATAAAATATGTTTGCATTTTTTTTCCAGGAAATGCTTCACAACCAACAATTCAGGTGAAACATCATTTAAATGATATATAAATTATAAATATCACATGTGGTTTTTACTATACTAATGTCCAGAGTCTCATACATTTTCTAATGCTGTTTAATGTTCTGCACAACCACTCAGAAAACTGAGCCAGTTAGTATTAGAATCACATCTTCTGTTTCTCCTGGAGTACAGTAAAGTATAAAAAATATTTCTGAAGAATGGCTTAAATTATATGATAAAAAGTTTTTCTGAATAAAATATATATATACAGTAATTAAAGATGAAAATCACTGTGGGTCTTGATAAAATAAATAAGGTAGCATGACAATTGTGTAGTTAATGATACATGCTGAAAATGCCGTGTGCTTTACAATAAAAGACAAAGGCTTTAGTAACTCAATTACTTGCACAAACAAGAACTCGGGCTTGAAGAAATGACAGAGAAGAGATAATGGAAGAGACATCAAAAAGGAAAAAGCAAGACCACGATCTAGCAGTGAGAAAAAGTCAGTCCGTGGTGATCAATTTGTGAGGAAAAATTTTGCATTTTTATTCTGTGGAGCTGACATGTTATCTGCAAATAATCTGTATATAATCAGTTGAATTTTGTGGCTTTCCTCTCTCAAAATTGTTACATACAGAAGCCAAAATAACACTCTTATTTCTTCTTGGGACCATGTGAACGGTTGCCTAAATGTCTGGATCAAAGATTAGTGTTGCTTGTTCACAAAGCAGACATAGTGTTGATTAATCCTTGACAAGACCAACAACTCTGACTTTTGGAGAAAAATGAACAACTTAAGTTATTTTAGCATATTTGAGTAGATGTTCACGAAATGCCTGATCACCTAAGATTATACATTTTTAAGATCTACTTTTAGAAAGTTTAATTAATGAATTTATTTCTTTCTTTTTGTAACTCATGCCCTCCATTATGGACAGTTAGTGTAAAGATTTTACTTATGGAAAATTCTAATCTATCATATTGTCCTAGAGGTTAAGAAACCATTGATAATTGCCACTGCATTAACTTTGGACAATTATAGTCCAAAGACCTGATTTCATGCTTTAAATTGGCTCCTTGGATACTTGAGTTCAGAGTTTAAGACTATTGTTTAAGCTTGGTCTATGTTTTTCCATTTGAATGTAGAGCAAAAGACAAATACAATAAAGACACAGTATTTATTATAATGGAGGAGTAGACTGAAAGTCTGAAAGGACTAATTCATAGAGACATAAATCTAGGAGGCATAAATTCTGTTTTTTTTCTTTAACAGTTCTTTGAGAGTGTAAAAAGTTTCCACTAGGACTTTTTCACACATACACTTTACTTTCAGATAGGTATTAGTAATGCGAAAGTATAATAAGAGAGCATGAAGTCTCAAGGAGAGAGAACACTGAACTGAAAGAATCTGACAAAATTATTTTTGGTTAACGACCATCTTCTACTTATGAAATGTACATTTTTGCTACTCAATAGCACCCATTTAAGAGTAATTTTGTTACTATTGTTTTTCACTGTTCCTTATAATTGGGCTGTATGGAAACTTCATAGTCATGGAACTAGTGCTCTTTTCTGATTGGTGTTATAAAGATTTTATTTTGCATTTGTAAGTCAAAAGATTTAACTATATTACTATAGAAGTGTAGAGTATTTACTAAAAATAAGTGTGTTATTTTTTCTGAAGTTAATGGAAAATGTTTGTTTAGATAGAAAAATGCTTTCAAATGACACCCAAAAAGGTAACACTTCAAGGAATCCATACATTAACTGGAATCATTAAGAAAATATAAGTTTTAAAAAGTTTTTGGAAAGATTGAAAATATAAAAACTGAGGAATATTTACTTGTGATAGTTGAGTTAAAAGGTCTTCAGTGTGAACTATTTGTTTTTAATATTGAGTGTCAGGAAGTAATCATGATATATTCTCATAATCAAATTAATTATCTTTACTTTTCAAAGTGATAATTAAACACTGGCTTAGGGAGTAGTACAGTTTGGTACTATTTTCAAGCTACACTTTTAATATTTCTTTTTTAACTTTAAACAAAAAATATATTTTATTTTGTGTGTGTGTTGAAAGCAAACATGGAGGCCAGGCACAGTGGTTCCAGTCTGTAATCCAAGCATCCTCGGTGGTCATGGCAAGAGGATTGCTTGAGCCCAGGAGTTCGCAACAAGCCTGGGCAGCATGGTGACACCCCATCTCTATGAAATAAATAAAGAAATTAGCTGGGTGTGATGGCAGGTTCCTATAGTTCCAGCTACAATTGAGTGAAAAAAGGTCAAGGGAGCAGTGAGCCATGATCATGCCACTGCATTCCAGTCTGGGCAACAAAGTGAGACCCTGTTACAAAATAAAATTTAAAAAAAGAAGAGAAAGCAGATATGGTTAATGTGAGTGAGAAACCAGGTTCAATCTCCATGGCTCACTTAGCAAATAATTCAAAATATTGTAATATGATGATGCTTCTGGTAATAGAAAATAAATTGAGGAACATCTGCGGCAATTTGCATATCGATAAGATTGATTCAGACTTAAGTGGTCCGAAGACTGACAAAAGTTTAATTACAAATGCAATAGTAGTTTTATTTTTTGGACACACTTTACATGCAAAACATGTCACAAGTATATCTTCTTGTATATTAGCATAATATACTTTCTTTTCCATCTCATTTAGCAAATAACAGCATGTCCTAAAGTCCTATGAACAGGTGGGCCAAAATCAATTATGTTTCATATACTTTATATGTTATTTTTAACTTCTTTATGGTAATGAATTTTTCAAAGAGTCGATAGTGGAGCATGCAGATCTGTTGAGAGGGCAACAGACTATATATTACTTGAAATAAGAATAATTTTTAAAAATTTTGACATTTCATATGAATGTATTACCTTCCTCTATCTTGTTGGTTAGTTTTTGTTTATTTGAATTACACAATTAAAAATCTCGCCTATCGCCTTGATTGCAGGTATCTCATGGTTTTCTGCCTTCTGGAATAGTCTTCCATTTATGTCAAAACCTATCTAGGAAAAATTAGGTATGAATACTTAGCCATGTGTACATGTGACTTTAATACTATGGATTGTGAGCACTTTGTTGACTCAGACCATAAAATTACATATAGAAGATGCTCAATAAACATTTATTGAATAAATACTATTTTCATTGTGTTTAACAGTAAATGAGTAGATCATACGTTTTATAAAAAATAAAATTATACACACATTGAAATTATTATTTTTAACATCTTGAAGGAATCATTAGTTTGAAATAGTTTGATAATTGGCAAGATTGTAATTTTAGGCGAGTGAAAAAATTTTTAAAAATTTTGGTGGGAAAATCTCCCTGCTAACCTTGTTGTTTTTGAATTTTGCATTTAACATTAATCTGAAATATCAAGTCAATTCTCATATATATTTTAGGGTTTGAGTAGAGAACTACCAATTGAAACTAGTTTTAGTTTATTGTCGTGACTGTCATGATTGAATCAAGAAATGGCGATATACAAGATTTCTAACTACTTTTCAAAATGTATATACAATAGACGTTCTATGTTGTTTCATTTCACTGAAAAGTTTTGTAACAGATGCTGTGTATTACTGTGTAAGAAAGTATAGATTAAGAGTAAAGATATATGGTTTCTAACACTGACTTTGTCACTTAACCACCAATTTTGAATTTTTTCATATAGTAATGGAGCTCAATACTATTTTACCTATTTGTAGTATTTGGAACAGCATCTGAAGACTAATTTTGGTGAGAAAATTTTAAATTTAGTTACCAAAAGCTAGTTGGTAAGATGAATTTCACATTTAAAAATTATTGGATAATAATTCTAAAACAGAAAAAATGATACCATACTGCAGAACACAATAAACATTGGGAGGAAAATACCATATGAACCCGGTTTATATATGATAAAGAAAGTATGTCATTTAGAAAATGGAACATTAGGGTTTTTAATCAGGAGGCAGAGGAGAATGTTCCACACAAAGAGAAAACAAAATCTTTATATGTATGATAAGTGACATAGGATCCAGGAAAAAAAGGAAAATCATACACAAAGATTTTGTTTGGTTAGGTTTTGCTTTCTTACTGCTTCCGGCTGGGAAGCTATAAATAATGACTCTGAGATCAAAGTGAAATAGGAAAACTGGCTAAAAATGTATTATCTTAGGTGAAAGATAAAAGACTTTTATTTGAGCCTCTATCACATTATTATCAATATACATAAATTATATTGTATCTATTATTTCAGTATAAACAACAAAGTATTGCATTATTTTGCTTTTCCACTTGCAATATGCAGGCAAGGCATCACTCTGTTAAACTGTCCTTTCATTAATTTTTATAAATAATAATTTCATAATTTATAACACAATGTTATGAAATTCATACAATGATTCAGGCCAATGCCTTAATTCTCAGAATTTTATATATAATAATTTATTTAGTCTTTATGAAAACAATTATAATAGTTCTATTTTCATACCTCCTAAGAAGTTTATGCTTTAGACTGGAATGTCAAATATGATTTTATTTTTCTCCTTTATCTCTTCTAATTTTGGTGCCTGTCTCTGATATGTAGTTAATTTAAGACACGTAGTTTTTATAACACATATGGCATTAATGCAGACAACCATAGTCTCTGTTGTGCAACCTAAAAAATAACTAATTTTTCCTATGCTGAAAGAAAGCACGGCCATTTTGTACTTATTGAAAATGAATAAATTGATCTCAAGATAGCAAATTTGCAAGAAAATATCATGAGATATTTCAGCTCAATGTGGTTGTTAAATTACACTCTAATTATAGATTTTAAAAACCACCTTATATGAAATTTTATTACTAGGAGTATTTTAAATATATTTTTTCTTTGTCATAATAGATATTTATAAAAATATACTTTAGAAAAAGTATCCAAAATTCAGACAAATTATTCACAGTAGTGTTTAAGTAGAAATAATCTATATTTTATATGTACACTAAATATTAAAATAATCATGCCCATTTAGTTGGTCATTATGTAGCATTTCTTTCTTGAGTATTGTTTTTACTACTTATGGTATAATATTTAATCATAATTAATTACTACTTAAATCATGTAATTAATATTCTAAATTGACTAATTTATAAAATAATTAATATTACAAGTAAATTTTAAATTAAATTAATTATTAAATTTAATGTAATTTTAATTATTAATAATTGAAATTATTAATTAATATCAAATATGTTGGTATTCAATATATAAAATATATTAATATTAATATTAAATTCATATTAAACTATAAATATTAAAAGTAGAAAAGAATATATTTAGTAAAATATATAGGCAGTACAAACAGAAAGGTCAGAAACAAATTGTCAAAGTAGATTTCTAATTAGTTTATTATTGTAGTTATAAGGTTTATATATTTTTATTGGTACAATGTAAGCATAGAATTTTTTACTTATTGCTATTATATGCAGAGAGAAAGACAAGTGGGTGTGTGGAGAGGGAGAGACAAAACTATCAAAGAAAACTGAATTTAATATAAAATTATAAGTTGATTTTATTTACTTTTACCATTATTTATCTTATTTTATTAGTTTAAGGAAACTTCAGATACATATATCTATTTAGTGTTTTTCATTCATGACACACTTTCTTGTTGGCTTTTTAGTAGTCCAGTTTTGTCATCTAATTAATTTCTTTTATTTAATATTGTAATAAAAATTAATGGACCCTCTACTAAAAACAAAAGCTTCAATATGACAATAGATTTCATCTACCAGTATGGGACACTTCTCGACAAACTCGTTCTTTTCTTTCTCCACCTGAATTAACTAATTGTCTCTTTCCCGCATTGTATATATGTATTATATATATAATATATATAATAAATGTATATGAAAATTTCATATATATATATGTATAATTTTCTTATTCCTAGTAGTTGCTCTAGGGTTTATCTTATGCATTTCAATTTATCAGAAGCTATCTCAGATTTAAATTAATTTAATTCCAGTGAGATATCAAAATATTACTCAAATATTTCTCTTTCCTTTCATTTTGTGTGCCATTATTATTATGCATCTTAAGTATTTGTAAGATCCAAACTCAATAAATTATTATGATTATTACTTTATATAATTTATATGTCTTTTAAAAAAATGATAGTGGCTTTTAAAAGGTTCTCTGTCTCTTTACCTGATTATGTTGAAGCCAGGGCTTAAGTTTTTACTTTGTTTTGTTTTTGCTTCATAAAATGTCTTCCTAAATGTCTAATTTCCTGATTCACTCTAGCAAATAGTAAAGAAGCAAAGTAACTGACTATAAGTTGCTGCTGTGATGAAGCTTCTGGCCTTATCTTCATTGCTTACCATTAAATCTCCATTCTTTTTGAGAGTGCCCTTAAGCTTGAACTTCTCTACACTTTGTTCAAAATAAAGTCAGTTCCCTTGAGGAGGGGTTTATCACTCTATTTTAATATGGTATGTGCCTTTCCCTGGTCAAGCTCTATTTACCACTGATCAGCCTCGAGTGGTGAAGACAGCAACCTGCTTTTCTGAGAGTGCAGGGTGTTGGTAGTCTCTGGTATTCTTGATGATCTGGAACGAGGGTGATCAGGACCTCCATGTTTTTAGCTGGCTGCACCTTGGGGAGAGCCTCTGACCTATGAAAGGTGGCTGGGAGAATGAAGGGAATTCCCAATCTCTTGGCTGACGATAGTCTTCTGAAGTTCAGCCTTTCCCATCCAGAGCTGGTGGCGGGATAAAAAATGCTGGTAATGTTCCCCTCAAAAGAAGATACTGTAGACCTTTACTATGAGGTGGCGGGAAGGAAAAAATATTCCAATCTGCTTGGCCACACTCAACCACAGTGGAGCTTCCATACCCCGGGCTGGGAGGTAGGGGCTTTGAGAAGGGAGAGAGCAGATGCAGGCACATGTCCCACTGACCTTTGATGTTCTTGCCAATATATAGCAGATTTTCTTGAATAGCTGTTTATTCCTTTGCTGTATGCCTTTAGGAATTTTTCTGGAGATGTTTTGTTTTTAAAACAATTTTCATCATTTATGGTTGTTTGCTGAGAAGTTTGTCTCCTCATACCACATAACAAGTCACTCACCTTTCTCTAATTATTTTTAATTACTAAGTCTATTTAAGATCTTATACAATAAAAATATTTGCTTAATGCTTTCAATTTTTAATTTCTATAAAATATATCCTCATACATCTGCAATAAGCTGATAGTTCATATATTTGTCATAAACTCAATGTACCAAAAAAGCTTTCTAACATTAAAACATTTAAATAGTTGCTGCTGAAAATCAAATTATAATTATTGATCTCAGTTATAAGAAAAATGCTTATTCTGTGATAATTCCATATTTTTCTATTATGTTAAAGATTATGTTTCTATTACATTAAAGATTAATATTTACACTTTTTAATTTATGTTAAAGATTAATATTTATGCTGACAAAATATTGCAAAGAAAATATTAAATATTAAGTACTACTATTTTAATAAAAATTATTTAAAAATTTTCTCATGACTGCTAAAATATCATTCACTTCTTTGTATTGAACATAACTCAGACCTGCCTAGGGTCATGGACTCTCAAACATATACTAGCAAATATATCTCATATTACTCAAAGCTATGACTAGCACCAAATCCAATTTAGTTAGAGTCATTAGTATCTTTGGAGTTACAAGTATCTCAAAATCAATATATATATTGTTTAAAAAATATAAAAGTTATTGGAAAATGGAAGCAAATTTTTTTTCTTTAATCCTTAGTTCTGAGGGCATGCGCTAATAGTTTTACCCTCCCCTTCGTTCCCTGAAAAATATTGGTCCCAATAAAATGACCTTTCAAATTTTCCCTACAGCAGGGTGTCGACCACAAGTCACAAACACCTAGGCCATGGACCAGTTCGTGACGTGTTAGGAACCAGGCCACACAGCAGGAGGTAATTAGCTGGTAAGCACGAGAAGCTTCATCAGTATTTACAGCCACTTCCCATTGCTCACATTACTGCATTAATGACTGAGCTCCTCCTCCTGTCAGATCAGCAGTGGAATTGAATTCTCATAGGAGCGTGAACCCTATTGTGAACTGCACATGCAAGGGATTTCTGTTGTGTGCTCCTTATGAGAATCTAATGCCTGATGATCTGGGCAAAGCTGAGGCAGTGATGCTAGTGTTGGGTAGCAGCTGTAAATACAGATTAACATTAGCACAGAGACAGATTAACATTGACTGCACAGAGACCATAATAAATCAATTGCTTGCATATTCATATCAAAACCCTATTAGTGAGTGGTAAGTGAAAATTAAGCTGCATCTTGTGGCAGGCTTTAAGTCAGAATCTGGCACATTTTAGTCCATGCGTGGCCTGCCCATAGTTTTATTTACCACTTCCATCTATGCCTCTTTCCCACACTGTGCACTTGTCTCAGTCACAGTTTTGGTAAACCCACAAGCTAACCCTAGCCACAGTGAGTAATAAACAAATACCACACTGGATAGTTTCTTCAAAAAGGGGGAAAGACCCAATTTTGAGATAGTAGAAGACTCTAAGACTGCCAACAAAAACAAAACTGCATTTAAAAGAAAGTACCAAGAGTCCCACTTAAATTGCAGGTCCATTGCAACAGGTGATTCATTCTCCAAGATGGCTCTGTATAATATATGGTGACCAGCTAGCCAACAAAGCCATGAAACCTTCAAAATTGCCTTGCCGCATGGAGACCAAGCACCCTGGATTGAAAAACAAGCCTTTAGAGACTTTCAAAAGAAAAAAAGTATGAAGACAAAGAACAGAAGCAATTATTGAAAGTCACCACTTCATCAAATGTGTCTGCACTGAGAGCATCATTCTTAGTGACTAAGGCCAGTGTTGGTAGGATCTGGTCTTCTTGGTAATCTGGGACATGTGTGATCAGGACCTCTGTGTTTTTAGCTAGCTGCACCTTAAGTAGAGCCAATGACCTATAAAAGGTGACTGAGTGAAGAAAGGGAATTTCCAACCTCTTAGTTGACGATAGTCTTCTGGAATTCAGCTTCTGCTGCCCAGAGCTGGTGGGGGGATAAAAAAAAGTCTGGCAGTTTTCTCCTCAAAAGAAGATACCTTAGGCCTTTACTATGAGTTAGGGAGAAGGAAAAAAAGAGTCCAATCTTTTTGGCCACACTCAATCACAGTGGAGTTTTCATTATCCTGAGCTGGGTGGTGGGGGTGCTGAGAAGGGAGAGAGCAGAAGCTAAAGCTAAGAAGCCCTTTACTATTGGTGAAGAGTTGTTCCTGCCTGCTGATAAGCACATTTGTTGTTAACTTTTAGGAGGGGCTGCAGTTCAAAATGTGGCATGTGCTAGTCTTCATTAGCACCATAACTAGATGAATTGATGAAATATCAGAGGATATTGAGTCACAATTTTTAGAGAGGATTAATGAGTCACTGTGGTACACAATCCAGGTTGAGGAGCCTACCAATGTTGACAACAAGGAAACGATGCTTGTTTTTGTGTAATATATTTTTCAGAAGGATGTGCATAAGGATATATTATGTGCACTTCTATTGCCAACCAACGCCACAAATGCAGAACTATTCAAGTCTTTGAATGATTACATATCAGGAAAACTGACTTGGACAATTTGTGTCAGTATATGCATGGATGGAGCAGCTGCCATGACTGGATGGCTTTCTAGTTTCACTACTTGGGTCAAAGAGGTCACTTCTGAATGCACTGGATGTTCCATAGAAAAATGCTAACTAGCTGAAAAAAAAAGTCACCTGAACTTAACAGCATTTGGCAGCATATGATTAAAATTATCAACCATATTAAAGTACATGCCCTTAACTCAAGTCTGTTCATGCAGCTCTCTGAAGAGATGCATGCAGTGTACGCACATCTCTTATACACAGATGTGAGATGGTGAGATGGCTTTCTAAAGGTCAATCATTGGCCAGAGTTTTTAAGTTATGAGAGCCACTCCAGAGATTTCTTTTAGAAAAACAGTCACCACTGGCAGCACATTTCAGTGATACAAAATGGGTCGCAAAACTTGCTCACTTGTGTGACATATTCAAACTGCTCAATGAACACAATCTGTCACTTCAGGGGAGAATGACAACTCTGCTCAAGGTGGTAGATAAAGTGGCTGCATTCACAGCCAAAATGAAATTATAGTGGTGATGAGTGAACATTTTTTTAATGTGTTTCAAACATTAGCAGAGATTTTGAAAGAGACTGAGCCAGGGCCTTCTTTCTCCCAGCTGGTGCATGATCAACTATCTCAGCTTTCAAAAGAGTTTGAGCATTACTTCTTAACCACAAAACACCCACAAACTGGGAAGGAATGGATCTGCGACCCATTTGTGAATAAGCCAGGTGAATCCACTTTGTCAGTGCTGGAAGAGGATCAGCTGCTTGAGATTGCAAATGAGGTGGACTTCAAAGTATATTTGAATCTCCATATGTTCTGGATTAAAGTTGAGGCAGACTATCCTGAGATTGCCACAAAAGTACTGAAAAGTCTGCTTCCATTTCCAATATCCTATTTTTGTGAAGCAGGGTTTTCTGCAGTGACAGCAACCAAAACAAGATTACAGAGTAGACTGGACATAAGCAACACACTTTGGGTGTCACTGTCTCCCACCACCCCCAGATGGGACTGTCTAGTTGCAGGAAAACAAGCTCAGGGCCCCCATTGATTCTACATTATGGTGAGTTGTATAATTATTTTATTATATATTACAATTAGAAATAAAGTCCACAATAAATGTAATGCACTGGTATCATCCCCAAACCATACCCCACCCCCATACCATACCCCACCCCCATCCCCCTGGTCCATGGAAACATTGTCTTCCATGACACTGTTTCCTGGTGCCAAAAAGGTTGGAGACGACTGGTTTAGATAACACCTCTGGGTCTGCACCTTTTTGGTCTGGTCCCTTACACTGTTAGCAATCTCTTTCTTGTGTATGGACTAAGAAAACTCTTCACACTTTTTAATGGTTGCACATGTTAACATAAAAGTACTACCTGATATTTAGAGTTCTAAATGCCTCTGGCCTTGAACTGAGATTGAAGAAAAAGCAATTATTGGGTGTATGCTACCATATCAGGACCTAGACTCCAGAAGAATATATGAAGGAAGAAATTAGCTTCAAATGCGAGCTGCATTATCATCATCACAAAATGATAACTATAACATTAATTTTATTTATATTGAACTCATGTGAATTGATCTATATTCATACATTCATATTAATCAATGTGTTATATCCAATTCTTATGGAAATTTCTATTTAAGCTTAACAATACTCATTAAGACTGCTACATTTTTATAGAGAAATATTATTTTACTATTACTTATTTAATTATTGGTAAATATCCATTTGCACTCTGTTATGTACTAACTGTGTCTCCTCAAAATTAATCTGTTGAAATCCTTGCTTTCAATGCAATGATACTAGGAGGTGAGGTCTTTGAGAGAAATTTAGGTCATGGAGGTGGAGACATCATGAATGGGATTAATACCCTTATAAAAGGGACATAGAGAAGTCACTTTCCCTCTTTCTACCATGTAAAGATACAAGAGTATCCTACTCCAAAGAAGTCTGTCACAAGAACCCTATCACTTTCATATCTTGATCTAGGACTTTAATCTTCCAGAATTCTGAAGCAACAACTTTCTGTTGTTCATAAGCCACCCAGTGTATGGTACTTTGTTATATCAGCTTGAACTAAGATGCTTTTAAAATATAAATAGAAATGTCTTACATTTAAATTTTTGGTAATTTATATGAATTTGTATATAAAAGGCAACCAAGACTTATTTTTCAAACACCTTTATAAGTATCTTAACTCATTTTTGGAGTAACTTTCAGTAACCAAAATCTTTATTACTAAGTATATAATTTAAAATGCATAAATTCAACATGTCTATATTATGCTAAAGTCCAAATTAAAAAGCACCACTTCTATTTAAAACATATCAAAAAATTATGATGGCCAGTTATTAAAATAAAATATTTTCAGGTCTTCAGGTAGACCTAGTTCTAACTTGCTTAAATATAAATGAATATGGATGTTAATTTATCCATAATTTATAATAATAAGAGTAGGGCTTTTATCACTATTTTAATATAAAAACACCTCAAGGGTCTACATATCAGTGTTAGAAAAGGCTATCAACTCTCTGTTTCCTTTTTCTAGTCGTGAAATTTGTCATTTTATAGCTATTGTGAGAAATCTGAAAGTGGAAATAATTATACTAAATTAAAGTGAGTTTACTGGTAAAACTTAAGTGGCTGAAGTGTGTGGATAGTTAATACACATTTGGGTTAGTCAAACTTCTTCAATTTTTAATGCTACTCCTTTTACTGTGCCACCATAATGGCCTGCAATTTTAGTGATGGTTAGAGCAATGATCCTTTCAGTATGTTTTCTGGGTAGGACCACCAGCATCAGAATCAAATGCGAAACAATGAGACATGCAGATCGTTCAGGGAGATAGGTCATCATGGGTCATCATGGCAGACTGGAGGCAGGACTAGATTGCAGCTCCTACTCAGACAGACAGAGCAGCGTGCAGAGGTTTGCGCTGTGAATTTTAGCTCCAGAACAGTTGCCAGAAAAAACCAGGAATCCCAAGAGGACACACAGACCCTCTGAAGGAAGCAGACTCCTCCTGCAGGACCCAGGAGATACCCCCAAATACTCAGCAGCAGCAAGATCTGCCCAAGGAGAGTATGAGCTCAGACAGGAATAGCCCTGCCCCCACCTGTTGGGCCTTCCCTATCCACCCTGGTAGCTGAAGACAAAGGGCATAAACTCTTGGGAGTTCTAGGGTCCCACCTACCACCAGTTCCTCTCCATACTACCATGGCCAATGCTCTCCAGAAAGTCCCACATCCCAGCAGGAGGCCAACCAGTACAAAAATAGAATATTAAGCCACCAAAGCTAAGACACCTCACAGAGTCCATTTCACCCCCTGACACCTCCACTGGAACAGGTGCTGATATCCATGGCTGAGAGAACCATAGGCACTTCACTTCACATCACAAGACTCTGTGAAGACAACCTCCAGTACCAGCAATGGATCCAAACCAAGAAGAAATACCTGATTTACCTGAAAAGGAATTCAGGAGGTTAGTTATTGAGCTAATTAGGGATGTACCAGAGAAAGGCAAAGTCCAACGCAAGGCAGTCCAAAAACTGATAGAAGAAGTGAAGGGAGACATATTCCGGGAAATCAATAACATAAATAAGATAATCAAAACTTCAGGAAACACCGGACACACATGGAAATGCAAAATGCTCCGGAAAGTCTCAGCAATAGAATTGAACAAATAGAAGAAAGAAATTCAGAGCTAAAGATAAGGTCTTTGAATTAACCCAATCCAACAAAGAGCACAACATTTAAATAAGAAAATATGAACAAAGCCTCCAAGAAGCCTGGGATTATGTTAAATGACCAAAACTAAGAATAATTGATACTCCTGAGGAAGAAGAGAAATCTAAAATTTGGAAAACATATTTGGAAGAATAAATGAGGAAAACTTCCCCAGCCTTGCTAGAGACCTGAACATCCAAATACAAGAAGCACAAAGAACACCTGGGAAATTCATCACAAAAAGATCATCACCTAGGCATATTGTCATCAGGTTACATAAAGTTAAGATGAAGGAAAGAATCTTATGAGCTGTGAGATAAAAGCACCAAGTAACCTATAATGGAAAACCTATCAGGTTAACAGCAGATTTCTCAGTAGAAACCCTGCAAGGTAGAAGGGATTGGGGCTTTATCTTCAGCCTCCTCAAACAAAACAATTATCACCCAAGAATTTTGTATCCAGCAAAACTAAGCATCATATATGAAGGAAAGATATACTCTTTTTTCAGACAAACAAATGTTGAGAAAATTTGCCACTACCAAGCCACCACTATAAGAACTGCTAAAAGGAGCTCTAAATCTTGAAATAAATCCTGGAAACTCATCAAAACAGAACCTCTTTAAAGCATAAATCACACAGGATGTATAAAGAGTGCAATTTAAAAAGCAAAAACAAAACAACAACAACAACAAAAAAACAAGGCAAACAGGCAAAAAATAGCACGATGAATGGAATGGTACCTCATATCTCAATACTAACACTGAATACAAATGACCTAAATATCCCACTTAAAAGACACAGAACTGCAGAATGGATAAGAACTCACCAACCATTTGCTGCCTTCAGGAGACTCACATAACACATAAGGACCCACTTAAACTTAAAGGGGTGGAAAAAGGCATTTCATGCAAATGGACACCAAAAGCGGGCAGGTGCAGCTATTCTTATATCAGACAAAACAAACATTAAAGCAACAGCAGTTAAAAGAGACAAAGAAGGACATTATATAACGGTAAAAGGCCTTGTCCAACAGGAAAATATCACAATACTAAAAATATATGTACCTAACACTGGAGCCCCCAAATTTATAAAACAATTTTAATAGACTTGAGAAATGAGTTAGACAACAACACAATAATAGTGGGGGACTTCAGTACTCCACTGACAGCACTAGACAGCTCATCAATACAGAAAGTCAACAAAGAAACAATGGATTTAAACTATACCTTAAAACAAATGGACTTAACAGACATATACAGAACATTTTATCCAACTGCAGAATACACATTCTATTCAACAGCACATGGAACTTTCTCCAAAATAAACCATATGAAAGGCCATAAAACAAGCCTCAAAAAATTTAAGAAAATTTAAATTATATCGAGCACTCTGTCAGACCACACTAGAATAAAACTGGAAATCAACTCCAAAAGGAACATTCAAAACCATGCAAATACCTGGAAATTAAATAACCTGCTCTGAATGAGCAATGGGTCAAAAACAAAATCAAGATAGAAATTAAAAAATTCTTTGAACTGAATGACAATACTGACAAAACCTACAAAACCTCTGGGATATAGCAAAGGTGGTTCGAGGAGGAAAGTTCATAGCCCTGAATGCACACATCAAAAAGACTGAAAGAACAAAAACTGACATTCTAAGGCCACACCTCAAGGAACTGGAGAAACAAGAACAAACCAAACCCAATCCCAACAGGAGAAAGGATATAACCAAGACCAGAACAGAACTATATGAAGTTGAAACAAACAAAAACAAAACAAAAGATGAATGAAACAAAAAGCTGCTTCTTTGAAAAGATAAATAAAATAGATAGAGCATTAGCAAGATTAACCAAGAAAAAAAGAGAAAATCTAAATAACCCCATAAATAAAGAAACAGGTGATATTGAGAGGTGAAGCCAGCTGCACTTCTGGGTCAAGTGGGGACTTGGAGAACTTTTCTGTCTAGCTAGAGGATTGTAAATGCACCAGTCCAGTCAGTGCTCTGTCTAGCTAAAGGATTGCAAATGCACCAATCAGCACTCTGTAAAAGCACACCAATCAGCACTCTGTGTCTAGCTAAACATTTGTAAACGCACCAATCAGCACTCTGTAAAAATGGACCAATCAGCACTCTGTAAAATGGACCAATCAGCGCTCTGTAAAATGAACCAATCAGCAGGTAGAGGGCAGGGCCAAATAAGGGAATAAAAGTTGGCCACCCAAGCCAGCAGCAGCAACCCACTCGGGTCCCCTTCCACGCTGTGGAAGCTTTGTTCTTTCGCTCTTCATAATAAATCTTGCTGCTGCTCACTCTTTGGGTCTGCACTACCTTTATGAGCTGTAACACTCACCACAAGAGTCTGCGGCTTCATTCCTGAAGTCAGTGAGACCACGAACCCACCGGGAGGAAGAAACAACTCCAGATGTACCACCTTTAAGAGCTGTAACACTCACTGCAAAGGCCTGCAGCGTCACTCCTGAAGTCAGAGAGACCATGAACCCACCAGAAGGAAGAAACTTCGGACACATCTGAACATCTGAAGGAAAAAACTCCACACACTCCATCTTTAAGAACTGTAACACCCACCGCCAGGGTCCACAGCTTCATTCTTGAAGTCAGCGAGACCAAGAACCCACTGGAAGGAACCAATTCTGGCCTTAGAATTTGGGGGCTAAACACTGGGCACATGTCTGCCAGCTAAAAGTGACTAGTGCGGCCACTGGACTATAAAGACATGGGTGTCAGGCTTTCTGGGAAAGGGCTCTCTAACAACCCGTGACTCTTTGGTGTTGGGAGCATTGGTTTGCCTGGAACCAGCTTCCTCTTTTCCTGTACTTCTGGGCTGAGCTGAGGGTCAACAGAGAGGAAAGCCATTCAGCTCCAGGGTCCCAACAGCAAGTTGGTTGACCCTGCACCCATGAGCAGAACTCTCAAAGTCATGTTGCCCAAGTGAGACTTCACCCATCTATCCTATCTTTCCTGACCCTTGCCTCCTGGGTACTAATGCCTGTCAGACAAACTTCCTCTTGCCTCTCTTCTCCAAGGCTAGTCCTGCTTCTAAAAACCACTCCCTGTCTCTGTTGCTTTTCTAGTTTCTCCTATAAGAATGATTTCTAGTATAAACTCCAGAACTCTATTCCCTTCTTTAGGCACCCAGGCTCACCAATCAGAAAGACATAATTTTTGCCCAAAGCTCCATTGGGGCGGGGAACTATCTGGCATTTTAGGATCCATCCTTAGACTAGCAGGCCTAACAAAAGTTATTCCTGAAGCTAGGATATAGGGAGCTTCAGAAATAATATCCTTCCTATTCAAGTGAGGACAAAAGGTGTCACTCTTCCAAACCTGGAGATCCCTTTCCTCCCTCAGGGTATGGCCCTCCACTTCATTTTTGGGGCATAACTCTTTACAGGACAGTGGTAAGGTCCCAATACTAACAGGAGAACGCTTAGGACTCTAACAGGTTTTTGAGAATGCATCAGTAAGGGCCACTAAATCCGATTTTTCTCAGTCCTCCTTGTGGTCTAGGAGGACAAGCAAAGGTGCAGGTTTTCAAGAATGTGTCAGTAATGGCCACTAAATCTGACATTCCTCAGTCCTCCTTGTGGTCTAGGAGGAAAACTAGTGTTTCTGCTGCTGCGTTGGTGAGCACAACTATTCTGATCAGCAGGGTCCGGGGTCCGTTGTGGGTTCTTGGGCAAGAGGGAAAAACAAACAAACCAAAACTGCGGGTGGTTTTGTCTTTCAGACAGGAAACACTCAGGCATCAACAGGCTCACCCTTGAAATGCATCTGAAGCCACTGGGACCAATTTGACCCTCAAACCCTGAAAAAGAGGCAACTCATTTTTTTTTCTGCACTATGGCCTGGCCCCAATATTCTCTCTCTGATGGGGAAAAATGGTTACCTGAGGGAAGTATAAATTACAATACTAACCTACAGCTTGACCTTTTCTGTAAGAGGGAAGGCAAAAAGAGTGAAATACCTTATGTCCAAGCTTTCTTTTCATTTAAAGAGTATCCACAACTATGCAAAGCTTGTAATTTACATCCCACAGGAGGACCTCTCAGCTTACCTCCATATCCTAGCCTCCCTATAGCTCCCCTTCCTATTAATGATAAGCCTCCTTTAATCTCCCCTGCCTAGAAGGAAACAAGCAAAGAAATCTCCAAAGGACCATAAAAATCCCCAGGCTATCCGTTTTGTCCCCTTCAAGCTGTAGTGGGAGGGGAATTTGCCCCAACCTGGGTACATGTCCCCTTCTCCCTCTCTGATTTAAAGCAGATCAAGGCAGACCTGGGGAAGTTTTCAGATGATCCCAATAGGTACATAGCTGTCCTACAGGGTCTGGGGCAAACCTTCTGTCTCACTTGGAGAGATGTCATGCTATTGTTATATCAAACCCTGGCCTTTAAAGAAAAGAATGTGGCTTTAGCTGCAGCATGAGAGTTTGGAGATACCTGGTATCTTAGTCAAGTAAATGATAGAATGACAGCCGAAGAAAGGGACAAATCCCTACTGGTCAGCACGCCATCCCCAATATGGAACCCCACTGGGACCTCGACTCAGATCATGGGGACTGGAGTTGGTGCAAACATTTGTTGACCTGTGTTCTAGAAGGAGTAAGGAGAATTAGGAAAAAGCCCATGAATTATTCAATGATGTCTACAATAACTCAGGGAAAGAAAGAAAATCCTTCTGCCTTCCTTGATTGGCTATGGGAGGCCTTAAGAAAATATACTCCCCTGTCACCTGACTCACTAGAGGGTCAATTTATCCTGAAAGATAAGTTTATTACACAATCAGCTGCAGATATCAGGAGAAAGCTCCAAAAGCGAGCCCTGGGCCCTGAACAAAATCTGGAGGCATTATTAAACTGGCAACCTTGGTGTTCTATAATAGGGACCAAGAGCAACAGGCCCAAAAAGAAAAGCAAGATCAGAGAAAGTCCACAGCCTTAGTCATGACCCTCAGACAAACAAACTTTGGTGGTTCAAAGAGGACAGACAATAGAGCAGGCCAATCACCTGTTGGGGCTTGTTGCCAGTGTGGTTTGCAAGGACACCTTAAAAAAGATTGTCCAGTGAGAAACAAGCCACCCCCTCGTCCAAGTCCACTATGCTGAGGCAATCACTGGAAGGTGCACTGCCCCAGAGGACAAAGTTTCTCTGTGCCAGAAGCCCCCAAGCAGATGATCCAACAACAGGACTGAGGGTGCCTGGGGCAAGCAGCAGCTCATGTCATCAACCTCACTGAGCCCCAGGTATGTTTAACCATTGAGGGCCAGGAAGTTGACTTCCTCCTGGACACTAGTGCAGCTTTCTCAGTGTTAATCTCCTGTCCTGGACAGCTGTCCTCAAGGTCCGTTACCATCTGAGGAATCCTGGGATGGCCTGTAACCAGGTATTTCTCCCACATCCTCAGTTGTAGTTGGGAGAGTTTTCTCTTTTCACATGCCTTTCTTGTTGTGCCTGAAAGTCCCACACCCTTATTAGGGAGGGATATATTATCCAAAGCTGAAGTTATTATCTACATGAATATGGGGAACAAGTTACCCATTGGTTGTCCCCTGCTTGAGGAGGGAATCAACCCTGAAGTCTGGGCATTGTAAGGAACAAACTCAATCTCCAGCCTTAAGCCTTCCCCCAGGACAAAACTTCCCTTTATACATCACAGAGAGAGCAGGGATACTCCTGGAGTCCTTACTCAGACTCATTGGACAACCCCACAACCAGTGGCATACCTAAGTAAGGAAATTGATGTAGTAGCAAAAGGCTGGCCTCACTGTTTACAGGTAGTTGTGGCGGTGTCCATCTTACTTTCAGAGGCTATCAAAATAATACAAGGAAAGGATCTCACTGTCTGAACTACTCATGATGTAAATGACATACTAGGTGCCAAAGGAAGTTTGGCTATCAGACAACTGTCTGCTTAGATACCAGGCACTACTCCTTGAGGGACCAGTGCTTCAAATACGCACGTGTGTGACCCTCAACCCTGCCACTTTTCTTCCAGAGGATGGGGAACCAATTCAGCATAACTGCCAACAAATTATAGTCCAGACTTATGCCACCCAAGAGGATCTCTTAGAAGTCCCCTTAGTTAATCCTGACCTTAACCTATATACCAATGAAAGTTCATTTGTGGAGAATGGGATATGAAAGGCAGGTTATGCCATAGTAACAGTACTTGAAAGTAAGCCTCTTCCCCCAGGGACCAGTGCCCAGTTAGCAGAACTAGTGGCACTTACCCAAGACTTAGAACTGGGAAAGGGAAAAAGAATAAATATGTATACAGATAGCAAGTATGCTTTTCTAATCCCACATGCACATGCTGCAATTTGGAAAGAAAGGGAGTTCCTAACCTCTGGGGGAACCCCCATTAAATACCACAAGGAAATCATGGAGTTATTGCATGCAGTGCAAAATCCCAAGGAGGTGGCAGTCTTACACTGCCGAAGCCATCACAAAGGGGAAGGAGGGGGATAACAGAAGCATAAGCGGCTGGCAGAGGCAGGGAAAGACCAGCAGAAAGGAAGGAGAGAAAGAGACAGAAAGAGAAAGAGAGAGAGAGAGAGAGAGGAAGAGAGAGAGAGAGGAAGAGAAGGAGACAGAAAGAGGAAGAGACAAAGTGACAGAAAGTCAAAGAAGGAAAGAGAGGAAGAGACAAAGAGGGAGTCAGAGACAAAGAGAGAGACAGACAAAGAAGAAGTCCGAGAGAAAGAGACAGAAAGTCAGAAAGAGAGAGAGAAGAAGAGAAAGAGACAAAGAGGGAGTCAGAGAGAGAAAGAGAGAGAAGTAGTAAAGAAAAAGCAGTGTACACTATTCCTTTAAAAGTCACGGTAAATTTCTAAATGTCTACCCAGCCAAGGCATATTCTTCTTATGTGGAACATCAACCTATATCTGCCTCCCCACTAACTAGACAGGCACCTGCACCTTATTCTTTCTAAATCCCAACATTAACATTGCCCTAGGAAATCAGGCCCTGTCAGTGCCCCTCAAAGCTCAAGCCCATCAGCGCAGGGCCATACAACTAATACCCCTACTTATATGGTTAGAAATGGCCACTGCTACAGGAACTGGAAAAGCAGGTTTATCTACTTCATTATCCTACTACCACACACTCTCAAAGGATTTCTCAGATAGTTTGCAAGAAATAACGAAATCTATCCTTACTCTACAATCCCAAATAGACTCTTTGGCAACAGTGACTTTCCAAAACCACTGAGGCCTAGACCTCCTCATTGCTGAGAAAGGAGGATTCTGCACCTTTTTAGGGGAAGAGTGTTGTTTTTACACTAACCAATCAGGGAGAGTATGAGATGCCACCTGGCATTTATAGGTAAAGGCTTCTGAAATCAGACAGTGCCTTTCAAACTCTTATACCAACTTCTGGAGTTGGGCAACATGGCTTCTCCCCTTTCTAGGTCCCGTGGCAGCCCTCTTGCTATTACTCACCTTTGGGCCCTGTATTTTTAACCTCCTTGTCAAATTTGTTTCCTCTAGGAT
Source organism: Homo sapiens (assembly GCF_000001405.40). NCBI lineage: Eukaryota > Metazoa > Chordata > Mammalia > Primates > Hominidae > Homo > Homo sapiens. The sequence goes on along the minus strand of NC_000001.11, from coordinate 188,258,250 downwards.
TGAGGCCATCAAGCTACAGATGGTCTTACAAATGGAACCCCAAATGAGCTCAACTAACAACTTCTACCAAGGACCCCTGGACCAACCCACTGGCCCTTTCACTGGCCTAAAGAGTTGCCCTCTGGAAGACACTACAACTACAGGGCCCCTTCTTTGTCCCATCCAGCAGGAAGTAGCTAGAGTGGTCATCGCCCAATCCCCAACAGCAATTGAGGTGTCCTGTTTAGAGGGGGGATTGAGAGGTGAAGCCAGCTGGGCTTCTGGATCAAGTGGGGACTTTGAGAACTTTTCTGTCTAGCTAGAGGATTGTAAATGCACCAATCAGTGCTCTGTGTCTAGCTAAAGGCTTGTAAATGCACCAATCAGCACTCTGTAAAAACATACCAATCAGTGCTCTGTGTCTAGCTAAAGGTTTGTAAATGCACCAATCAGCACTCTGTAAAAATGCACTAATCGGTGCTCTGCGTCTAACTAAAGGATTGTAAATGCACCAATCAGCACTCTGTAAAATGGAAAAATCAACGCTCTGTGTCTAGCTAAAGGTTTGTAAACGCACCAATCAGCACTCTGTAAAAACGGACCAATCAGCACTCTGTGAAATGGACCAATCAGCACTCTGTAAAATGAACCAATCAGCAGGACGAGGGTGGGGCCAAATAAGGGAATAAAAGCTGGCCACCTGCGCCAGCAGCAGCAACCTGCTCGGGTCCCCTTCCACGCTGTGGAAGCTTTGTTCTTTCGCTCTTCATAATAAATCTTGCTACTGCTCACTCTTTGGGTCTGCACTACCTGTATGAGCTGTAACACTCACTGCGAGGACCTGCGGCTTCATTCTTGAAGTCAGCAAGACCATGAACCCACCGGGAGGAATGAACAACTCTGGACATGCCACCTTTAAGAGCTGTAACACTCACTGCAAAGGTCTGTGGCTTCACTCCCGAAGTCAGTGAGACCACAAACCCACTGGAAGGAAGAAACTTCAGACACATCTGAACATCTGAAGGAATAAATTCACTATCTTTAAGAACTGTAACACTCACCGCTAGAGTCCATGGCCTCATTCTTGAAGTCAGTTAGACCAAGAACCCACCAGAAGGAACAAATTCCAAACACAATATTACAACTGATGCACCACTGAAATACAAAAGATAACTCAAGCCTACTATGAAAACCTTTATGTACATAAACTAGAAAGCCTCGAAGAAATGGATAAATTCCTGAAAAAAATACAATCCTTCTAGATACTCTGAACAGATCAATAACAAGCAGTGAGATTGAAATGATAATTTTAAAATTACCAACAAAAAAACGTCCAGGACCAGATGGCTTCACAGCAGAATTCTGCAGGACATTCAACAAAGAATTGGTAGCAATTCTTTGACACTATTCTACAAGATAGAGAAATAGACAACCCTCCCTAATTCATTCTATGAAGCCAGTATCACCCTACCACCAAAATCAGGAAAGGACATAACCAGAAAAGAAAACTATGGACCAATATTCCTGATGAACATAGATGCTAAAATCCTTAACTACATACTAGCTAACCAAATCCAACAACATATCAGAAAGATAATCCACCATGATCAAGTGGGTTTTATGCCTGGGATGCAGGGATGGTTTAACATATGCAAGTCAGTAAAATTGATAAACCACATAAACAAAATTAAAAACAAAAATCACATGATCATCTCAACAGATGCAGAAAAAGCATTTGACAACATCCAACATCCCTTTATGATTAAAACTCTCAGCAAAAAGGGCACATAAGGGACATACCTCAAGGTAAAAAAGGCATCTACGACAAACCCACAGCCAACATAATATTGAATGGGTAAAAGTTGAAAGCATTCCCTCTGAGAAATGGAACAAGATAAGGATGCTCACTCTCACCACTCCTCTTCAACACAGTACTAGAAGTCCTAGCCAGAGCAATCAGACAAGAGAAAGAAATAAAGGGCATCCAAATTGGTAAACAGCAAGTCAAACCCTCACCATTTGTTGACAATATGGTCTTTTACCTTGAAAATCCTAGACTCCTCCAGAAAGCTCCTAGAACTGATTAAAAAAAAATTCAGCAAATTTTCCATATACAAGATTAATGTACACAAAGCAGTAGCTTTTCTATACACCAACAGCGACCAACAGAGAATCAAATCAAGAACTCAAGCCCTTTTACAATAGCTGCAAAATAATAAAATACCTAGGAATATACCTAACCAAGTAGGTGAGAGCCATCTACAAGGAAAATTACAAAACACTGCTGAAAGAAATAATAGGTGACCTAAACAAATGAAAACACATTCCGTGCTCTTGATAGGTAGAATCAATATTGTGAAAATGGCCATACTGCCAAAAGCACTCTACATTCAACACAATCCCCATCAAAATACCATCATCATTCTTCACAAAATTAGAAAAGAACAATTCTAATATTCATATGGAACCAAAGAAGACCCCACATAACCATAGCAAGACTATGCAAAAAGAGTAAATCTGTAGGCATCACACTTCCTAATTTCAAACTATACTACAAGGCCATAGTCACCAAAACAGCATGCTACTGCTATAAAAATAGGCACACAGACCAATGGAACAGAATAGAGAACCTGGAAATTAACCCAACTACTTACAGCCACCTGATCTTCGACAAAGCAAACACAAACATAAAGTGGAGGAAACGACACTCTTTTCAACAAATGTTGCTGAGATAACTGGCTATTCACATGTATGAGAATAAAATTGGATCCTCATCTTTCACCCTACACAAAAATCAACTGAAGATGAATTAAGGACTTAAATCTAAGACTGAAACTATAAAAATTCTAGAAGATAACATTGGCAAAACCCTTCTAGACATTGGTTTAGGCAAGGATTTCATGACCAAGAAACTGAAAGCAAATGGAATATAAACAAAAATTAATAGTTGAGACTTAATTAAACTAAAGAGCTTTTGCATAGCAAAAGGAACACTCAGCAGAGTAAACAGACAACCCACAGAGTGGGAGAAAATTTTCACAATCTATACATCTGACGAAGGGCTAATATCCAGAATCTACAATGAACTCGAACAAATCCATAAGAAAAAAACAAACAATCCCATCAAAAAGTGGGCTAAGAATATGAATAGACAATTCTCAAAAAGAAGATATACAAATGGCCAATGGACATATAGAAAAATGCTCAGCATCACTAATGAACAGGGAAACGTAAATCAAAAGTACAATGCGATACCACTTTACTTCTACAAGAATGCCCATAATCAAAAAATAAAAAAAAATAGTAGATGTCGGTAGGAATGCAATGAACACTTCTACACTGCTGGTGGGAATGTAAACTAGTACAACCACTATGGAAAACAGTGTGATGATTATATACTTACATAGATAAATGTTATTGCAAAGAAATCCCAGAAGTCATCTCACAACTACAGAGTCAACAGAATTTTGACAACTAGCAAAGACAATTCAAGGAGAACGTATAGTCAGCAAACAGTGCTGGAATACTTGGGCATCCATAAGCAAAAAATGAACCTAGACAGTCCACATTCATTTCACAAATATTAACTCACAATAGATCAAACACCTAAAAGTAAAATGCATAATTATAAAACTTCTGGAAAAAAATCACAGGGTTAAATATACATTTACTTGGATTTGGTAGTGAAATTTTACATACAAAGCACAAAACAAAAATGACCCATGAACAAAAAACATGACAAAATGGATTTTAATACAATTAAAATCTTCTACTGTATGAAAGAAATGTTGAAAAATTAATGTACAAGCCACAGACAAGGAGAACATATTTGCAAAATATGTATCTTTTACAGGGCTTGCTTACAAAATGTACAAATAACTATTGAAACTCAACAATAGGAAAGAAATGACCTAATTTTAAAAATGGGCAAACTATCTGAACAGACACCTTATCGAAGAAGATATACTCATAATAAATATTCATATAAAAAGATATTAAGCATCATTTGACATTAGGAAATTACAAATTAAAACAATAATGTGATACCACTACCCACCTATTAGAATGGCTGAAATTCAGAAACAATGAAGACCAATTGTTGACTACATCGCGATGCAAGAAAAACTCCCCTATTTACTAGTGGAAATGCCAAACGATACAATCATGTTGGAAGAGATTTTGACGTTTTCTTACAAAGCTAAATGTAATCTTGCCATATAATTATATATTATATATAATATATATAATAGTGCTCCTAGATGTTTACCCAGATAAATTTCAAGTTATGTCCACATAGATTTCTGCATGTGAGTGTTAATAGATACTTCAATCATAATCTCCAAAAACTTAAAGGAACCAAGATGTCCTTCAGTAGGGAAATAGATAAACCACAGTACATCATACAATGAGATATTATTCAGTTGTAAAATAAATGAGCTGTAAAGTTGCAAAAAAGACTCGAATGAATCTTGAATATATATTGCTATGTTAAGTCAGTATGAAAAGGCTACATGCCATAAGATTACACTTAAATGGAATTCTTGAAAAAACGAAACTACAGATACATTACAAACATCAGTACTTACAAGCAGTACAGTGATGGGGAGAACGAGTTAAATATGTGACACCCAGGGAATAGTTTAGGACCATGAAACTATCCTAATGATACTGTAGTGGTGGATATGTGACACTGTCCATGAGTCAAAACACAGAACTTCATGGAGCAAAAGAGTGACACTTAATGTATAAATATTAAATAAGAGTTCAGGTGGTCCCAGGTTGAAAGGTAGAATGTGACAAAAGAACTTGACTGTATTACAAATATAGGAAACAATTTTATTGAAGGGGATGAAGAAAAAGTTACTGACCTAAGTAAACTTGGAAATGAGTGAAGACTAAAAATATTTTTAAATATACATAAGTATTATACTCTACTTAATAAAGATATTTCCATGAGGTACATATTAACAATTTGTGTACTGCTTTACATGTATACTGAAAATTAACAATTAAGTAAATTAATGGCAAAAAATTGAAACCGGGTTTCTCATTGGTGGAGTAAATGTCTACAGACAAGCAAGAGTAGGTGGCTAGAATGATCCATGTGGTAATAAATTAGAGCTTGGCATATTAGTATGAACCCCTGTCTGCCTCATCATATACACAGATAGAGTCTACAGAAATATGTAGAAAAGTGTATATACACTGGTGAGTATACACACACATATTTATATTTAACTGAGTGGATCTAGAACCAATGACAACCCAATAGCAATGTTTACACCTGGCACTCTGTTTTTGGTTTCTAATGTTATTCTCCAGTAAGAAAAAAAGCCCAGGTTCTTTGGATAAATATCTGATTCTAGGCCTGAGGCAAGAATACTGCAAAATGAGCCTAGAACACCTTGTAGTGCCACAAATTTAAAAAGTGCTAACACACCTGCACACCCACAAATGCAGACAAAGATTTGAATATGTAAAAAGGACAGAAGGGCCAACTATAAAAGCTCCCAATGGCCAAAGCTGAAATAATTTGAACAAAATAAAATGGTGTTAATTATAACCCAAAGTATGAAATAAATATCTCTGAATCTGTGCTGACAGAAATAAATGATTAAATAAACAGATAGGTAGATATAGATAAGAGAGATAAAACAAATTTCTTATGCAGAAAAATTCCAAGCAATTTATGTTGATATTCCTCTCTCAAGGATTAGGAGCACACCTCGCACTCCTTAAGTGCAAATTTCACATAGTGAATTTTTAAAAATAAATTTCATATATAGCAGGGAGAAAAGAGTAGTTTTACAGTTAAGAAACTTTACAAACACTACTTCAGCCAAGTGATCAAGGTTAACTTCAGCAATAATAAGTCATGTTGGCATTATGAACTATGACTATGATGGGATACGATGGCACCTTGCCTCCAAGGTCTTCCTCCCCAAAATGCAGAACCCAATCTAAAGAGAAGAAAATATTAATGTAAATCCAAATTGACTTGATTTATCAGACCAATTATCCTAAAATCTCTCATAAAAAGGAAAATCTAATAATCTGTCAGTCAACAGAAGCCTAAGGGGATGTGATTATTAAGTGTAATGTGATATCCTGAATAGGATTCTATAGTAGAATAACTACATTGGTAAGAAATGAAGGAAATCGGCCAGACACGGTGGCTCACACCTGTAATCCCAGCACTTTGGGAGGCTAAGGCGGCTGGATCACCTGAGGTCAGTGGTTCAAAACCAGCCTAGCCAACATGGTGAAACCCCGTCTCTACTAGAACAATCCAAAAATTAGCCAGGCGTAGTGGTGCACACCGGTAATCCCAGTTACTCGGGAGGCTGAGGCAAGAGAATCGCTTGAACCCTGGAGGCGGAGCTTGCAGTGAGCTGAGATCCCGCCACTGCACTTCACCCTGGGTGACAGAGCAAGACTCCATCTCAAAAAAAAAAAAAAAAAAAAAGAAGAAGGAAATCTGGGTAAAGTATGAACTTCAGTTAAAAATCTGTGGCATTTATTCTTAAACTGTACAAAATGTACTGGGCAAATATAAGATGTTAATAGTAGGGGAACCTGCATGTGGGATATATGGGATGTCTTACAATTTTCTCATAAATCTAAAACTGTTAAAAAATGAAGTATGTATTTTAAATGAAATCTTCAAATAACATCTTCTCTGGCAATATGCTCATACTTCTTTAATTTTAAACATGAATTTCCTTGACCTTTCAGCTTTTAGATATTCAACAGTTATTATACTCATGTTGAAACATTTCATTCTCTCAAAGCACTTTTTTTTACACTGAAAATGTATTCTTACACTAGCTTAATCTTTTAATGGGGGTTATTTTAAATAGGATTGATTCAATAATCTTAGTGAACCTTCACTTACCAAGCAGTTTAAACATATTTTGCACATAATGAACACGTAAGTCAATGAGTATTTTACAACTAGAGGTCTGTTGACTAATGCCCAATTTTTAAAATCTTCTAGAACCTAATAAAATGTCACAAATGACAAGGACTGTTGAATCAGCATTTCTAATATTATTCAATTCAATATCTATTATGAAGTTCCTTTAATAGTTACACTGCAGCACATTTCAAAGTGCAATAAAATAGAGTTAAAGAGCATTTTATGTGAGCTAGACTGAAAGCAATTGCAGAAAATATTTCAATCTGAGTTTCTACTGTTTTAAGTTATGCTTATTGGGGTTTCTGTTTATGTTTTTGTTTATTTTTAATATATGCTGTTAGAGCACTCAGGAAAGCAATTTACATGGAAGATAAACAACTTGTTGACTGCAAGGTGTGCTGCATGAGCAAAATGGCAAGTACTCTCTGAATTGCAATTCTAGTTTTGCAGTTTATTTAATTGGAAATTGTATAATATAATAAGAACACTGATTTGTTTCTTTCCATTATTGTTTTCATATGCTACCATACCTATGCATGATGTGGATAATGCAAGCCTTTTGAACTTTGATGCTTCTGACAATTCAGAGTTTTTGTGTCTTTTTTTTTGCTATTTTCTAGTTGCTATTAATATATTTGAACTATGTATAATAAAGAACATTTAAAAACAATCAGCACTCTTCAACTTTATTTTTTAATATTACTCAGTTAAATGTTCAATAGTTTATGCTATGATTTGATTTACTGTTTGACACAGGGTTAATTAGAAGTGTATTTTGAAACTTCCAAAAATACATTCTTTCTAGTTTTGGTTTTATTCATTATTATCAGAGAACATACAATATATGGTTTTTATCTCATGAAATACATTGACACTTACTATAGTGCTCAGAATATCAATTTCTATAAATACTCCACAAACATAATATAAATAAGGCCTTCTCGTTGGTCAAAAAATTGAGAATTAAATATTATGTTGTAATATTCATAATAATCAAATTTTTATTATTTTTATATTTTCAAAATGTTGTAATTTTCATGTAATTGTTCCACTAATACCGAATAAGTAAATTTTAGGCTAGTGTGTTGCATGTTAATTGTGTGAAATGCAAGTAAAACAGTACATGAAAGAAGTCTGTAGCCTTTAAAAGCATACAATAAAAGACAACAAGTGAAACTGGTGCCCTGAGCCTACAACTCAAGGACTGGTAAAGCAATGTGCTTGAGATGGATGTAGTTGTCCCGGACTTGCCGTGCATTGGGCTCCCAGAGAGGGATTCTGTTCCCATGATGTTACACATATTTATAGAGACAGGAAGCAGAGAAACAGCTAGTTATGTATGGAGGAAAAAAAAACAAAAAGATGGGAACTTCCTCATTGAGGAAATTGCTTCCAAAAAGGGGAAACCCTTCACAGATCTGACACTAGCATTAGCCTGCTATTTAGTTGAGCTAAATCAGACCTGGTGAGTCTACTTTTTAATAAGCAACCTAAAAGGAGAAACAAATGAATCTTCTGGATTTGTGTGTGTGTGTTTCAATAGGATGTTAAATGGGGAGCCACTAAATACGTATTTATTATTGAGCTTAGGCAGATAAACTTTGTTAATTTTAGAAATTTCTATTCTTACTTTGGTAAAACTTTTTTTCATGCAACTGGATATAAAAATAATGATTATTATTGGTGCTATGAATTTGCAAATCTTCCACATCCAAATTTTCTCTTGTTACTCTTTCTATCTCACTTAATTAAAAATCAATTTGTATGTAAAATTCTTTTACTTGGCATTTTATATACAAAGAGGAATTTATATATAAAGAACTTTGTATAAAAGTTCTTTGTATAAAGAACAAAGAATGTTTTCTTTCAGCAACCATTTTGTGTTGATAGTGAGAATTCTGAAATTTAGCCTTTGACTTCTTTTCTCAAGTCTGGAATCTTTAAAAATTTTCTCTTTAACTATGACCTTCTGGGTTTCATCAAGATATATATAAATCTTGTATATATATATATATACAAGATACATATAGATAGATAGATATAGTGTATATATAGATATCTATGGTATATATAGAGATATCTATAATATATGTGTATATATATATATATTCTAGACATGGTGTGTTAGTTTCTGTAAGACATTATCACAAACTTTTTGGCCTAACAATAAAAACAATAATTACCTAAAAATTTTATAGATTTAGAAGTTGGACTCAAGTCCCACTGGGGTTAAATAAGGACTGCACTTCTTTTTGGAGGCTCCAGGGAGGAATTTCTTTTCTTGTTTTCCAACTTCTAGAAGCAACTCACATGTCATTATTCTGTCTATTAAAAATGTAAAATTTTAAACAAATAGTCTTTCTTGGCACCCATAGGCTCTTTTAAGTCCAAAACTTCACTTGCATAAATCCTTTATATTAATGAATATATCCTCCATTTTTTGATAATTTCTTTTCACTTTTTCTTTCTCCCTCAGAAATTTCTAGATCATGAAATAAGGATTTCTGTATATCTTTACTTCTTTGTTTCATATGGTTCATTTATGTTTTTATTTTATTTGGAGGCAGATAAGTATGATTGCATTATCAAAATAATCAAAGTTTGCATTTAACCATACATTACATTATTTAACATATCCATTGAAATGTTATTTTGTAGTATGCATACTTAAATTTATTGATGGTTTTCTGACTACTTTTGACAGATGCTTGTTATGATTTCCTAAATACAGTATGTTCTTGAAACTACTTAGAAATCAAATTAGACATTTAAAATCTCCTTTCTTCCCATAAATACAACTAATGTATATTTACATGTGAAAAATATATTTTTTTAAATTATAGCCAGCTGTGGTTTACTTTCCTTGTCTTTGTGTAGTTTTCTTTCCCCATTAGGTACCTCACTTGAATCATAGGTTGGTAGGCATGTTTTGAAGCAAGCATTTCTGAACGCTTTACTCAGCAAATTGAAATCTTGCTAAGAAAAAAAAAATCCAAGAAAAGATAGATTTTCTCTGGAAGTGGTATACTTTAGTATATTTTACCATTGTAAAATATTATTTTCCTATATATCAACCTGCTTTCCATTAAGGTCACGTACCATTTTAGAGAGTAGTTCTAAAATTGTAGCTGGACACACAAAAAAATCACCATTCAAAGATTCTAGGCTTTTCTGTTCTTCTTGCATTTATGACACAGAAGCTAGGAGAAAAGCATGGAACAGCTTGTCCCCTAGAGCTTTTGGGGTAAGCATGGCCCTGATGACACTTTGATTATAGACTTCTAGCTTCCAGGATTGTGAGAATATATTCCTATTGTTGTGAACTTTTATTGTTTTAAACAATACGTTTCTATAGTTTGTTTATGATAATTTGTCATAGCAATTCTAGAAAACGACCAGAATGTTCTCTAATTAAAATACCAAATATATTTCATTCAAAAATAAATAAAAATAAATATAAAATAAAATAGGAGAGTGAATAAACAAACTGTATATAATATGGCATACTATTTGTATATAACATAAGCACATTCACTGGAATAGTTTAAATCCTCTCTAGATTACTTACAGTACCTCATACAATGTAAAGCCTATGTAAATAGTTGTTATACTGTATTGTTTAGGGAAAAATGGCAAAGAAAAACAGTCTGTACATGCTCAGTACAGAGGCAACAATTCTATATTTTGGGGTTTGGGGGGATAGTTTTGGTCTACAGTTGGTTGAATTCATGGATGTAGAACTAATGGTACAAAGGGCCAACTGTACAGCAATAAAAAAGAGCAGAGACAAAGAGTAAATTTACAGTGGATATATCTGATAATACTACCTCGTGGTCAAAATCAACAGGAAGGTCATGTTGTTAGCATGCACCCTTCATATAATGTCATGAAATGGCACTTTATTTCTGTGGTCTTCTTTTCAAAACCACATAACCTCAGCATAATCATGAGAAAAATATCAGGCAAATACCATTGAGTACATTCTAAAGAATACCTCAAAATTTTACCTTCTAATTCTCAAAAATGCCATGGTTATTAAAAACAAGGAAAGTCAGAGAAACTGTCACAGTCAAAAAGAGCTTAAAAAGACATTATGACTCCATGGAGTATGTAAACTGGAAGGCTTCCTGAAACAGAAAAAGGACATTGGGTAAAACCTAAATAAATCTTAATAGAATATACACTTTTATTCATAACATGTGTCAATTTTAGATAATTATATGTAAGAAATGTACCATACTAATGTACAATTTTAATAGGGGTAACTGGGCATAGGGCATAAGGAAACTCTGTATCATCATCTCAATTTTTCCACAAATCTAAGAGTGTCCTGAAAATAAAGCTTTTTTAAAAACACCAATTTGATTTACTTTTTAACACCTGTATCATGCTAGTCTTCATTGATCTAATCAGTTATTCAGAAGTAAGTCAGACATGTAGCTTTTGAAAAATTTTACACTGAATGATGTTCATAACAGCAGTCCCAGGCTCTGGTCCACAGAAATATCTGAAACACAGTCATCCAGAGGACTGTAAAACAGGAACACTATTTCATTCAGAATTTAAATTTCTTGAGAGGAAGAATCAATATATTCTACTGAAGATGATAGCCTCTGGTAAAGAGCAAATAAACTTTGATGAGGCAACAAAGCAAAACAAAGCAAGATTAACAAAGCTGTAAAAATCCAGTATATAAATTATAGTCTCACTATCCAAGAGTGCCAGTCTATAACCTAGAAAATTAATTTCATAACTGGGTATTTTTAAAGTGTTCTGTATTTTAACAATAGTGTTTAAATGTAGTGAAATGGTTATCTGAAGTTCTGAATACATACAATACACTATAATAAAGTCAATTAAGTTAAGCCACTCAATTCCTGAAGGGGCTGCAAATATGTAATATTAATTTCTAGAAACGTGAATTGGAAATGTGATATCACTATGTCTCATTCTAGGTTCAGTCATTATCACTGGAATGAAGTCTTGTTATTTTATTTTTAGTTTTTCATTAGAAGCTTTATAAGAATGAAACATTAGCATTTTCATGCTTTTGTTAATAAAATGGTTGAACTTACTCTTGGACATGTGAATAATCATATTTCAAGTGCTTTCTCCCTATTGTAATTAAAGATTGGCTACTTGACAAAAATTGTTATCAAATAATAGACAGTATTGGTTCAAGTACTGCATTATTATTTGGAAAGCATTTTGTTCCCAATTTTTGATATCCTTTAGTATTTCTCCAAAATTAGCAATAACCTTGCTTAAGCCCAAAGGACATTACTCAAACCTTATTTCACTTGTCCTCTCAGTCACTTTTGACACTGATGATACTTCCCTTCCAGACAAAACACTGCCTTATCTTTGGAGATATTAGATTTCCTTATATACAGTTGTTGATACTCATAGATACATTTTTTTCATTAATACTTATAAATTTGCTTTGTATTTCTTTTCCTCTTATCATCTCCTAAATTTTGGTTTTTCCTTAGATTTCTGTACTGGGATTACTTTTTTTTTTTTATTACTACAGTACATTCCTTGACAAACACATTAGCTCCAAGGGCTTGTATTTTATTTAATCTCTAAAGAGCATTAATCCAGAACAGAACAATGTTATAATGTATGCACTGACTTCAGACAAATATGAATTCAAGTATTTTCCTTTTGACTTACTTTCTGAGTGACTTTGGTATCTTGCTAAACCTTAGTTTTGTTTCTTTTATAAAATAATAATGCTGATGATAATAGTAATAATACAAATATTCACTCTATAATTCATTCCAGATTCTGTATAAAACACTTTATATGAAGCATCTATTCCTATTCTTACTTGAACACCATAAGGTATGTGGTAACATAATATTATAAAGATAATAATTTGAATATCTTGCCAAAGTAACTTACCTGTAATTAGAACTCAGTTCTGAATGAACCATAGTATAAGCTCATAATGTCTGCTTTAAACTGTTTCTTCATAGCATAACCCCCATAAAAGAGCAATACTTCACCTTAGTGTGTGTGTGTGTGTGTGTGTATGTGATGTCTTAGACACTTGTACATCAACGACATATTAAATCTCTTCAATAAAGTATATCCTAGCTACTTCAAATTTAACTTAAAGGCAAACTATTTAATATACTATTTTTCTGACTATCCCAACATATTGCTTCTCCTGCATCTCTTCATTACTAAGTTTCCCAAAGTAGAAAAGGAGAGTCATCATTTCCTGCTCATTCCCTCCTTCATTCCCTACTAATTTATTGTCAAGTACTTAAACATCACTTATTGAAATTATTGCATCTATTTGCTTCCTCCTTTTTTCACTTATTTCTGTGGTTGACTCTGGCATACTCTCATACTCTCACAGCTGGTTAACTGAGATCTGTTTTACCAAACATACTCAGTGCTCATACTCTTACCCTTCCCCTAAATCTTTTCAAAGAGTAGCAGAGAAATATTGCTTTTTAATGAAGTATAATTATGTCACATTTTCTTTTTTACCCCCAGGGTGCAGAAAAATGTTTCCTCTGTAAGCTCCATGACTGTGAAGCTAAAATTGGATCGTCTTAATGTAGTTTACAAGATTCTATATAGCTGTGCTGGCTTATATCTAAGGTCCTTTTTCACATTACTAATTAATTGTATTTAAAGAGTAGTGAGGGAGGCTGAGGCAGGAGAATGGTGTGAACCCAGGAGGCGGAGCTTGCAGTGAGCTGAGATCGCGCCACTGCACTCCAGCCTGGGCAAGAGAGCGAGACTCCGTCCCCCCGCCAAAAAAAAAAAAAAAAAAAAAAAAAGAATAGTGATTTTTCCCATTTCAGGACTTCAAGTTTTCTTCTTATTTTATCTAGACAACTGCTGCCTATATGCTTTCTTTTCTAGCTCCTGCTTGTACAGGGAGCACAACATAATGAAGAAGGGCACAGCTTCTACAACTGAAATAACAGGGTTCTACCATTTTCTAATCTTCGGAATGTTATTCAACCACTCTGTGTTGCAGTAGTTTCCACATCTGTAAGATGAGGATGATAATATTCTGTGTCTCACTGGTTCTTAATGAGGACTAAATGCTATAAGGCTTTTACTGAAATAAAATTAGCATTTATATTGTTTCAAGAATATATTCTAAATAAGAAAGACTAAATCATTACATGTCTCTGCAATCTAAAATCCTAACATATATTTTGGTAAATATTTAATAAGGACATTAAATGTATACTACATTGCAATAAGATGTTGATAATCCATAATGATGAATTTAATGTTAAGAAAATGAACTGGAAGATAAATTTATTCAATGCTATTTCAGTGAAATATGATGGACAGAATTCTGGCTGATAGTCAAATACACAATTTTACTTTTCTCCTAGCATAATTTCTGTACCTGATCTGTGCTTGGTAAATTTTGTTTTTATTTCTATTTTTCTTTTTTTTCAATTTTTAATTTTTAATTTTTTTAAGACATGGTGTCACTGTCACCCAGGCTGGAATGCAGTGGCACAATCACAGTTCATTCAGCCTCAACCTCCCAGGCTCAAGTGATTCTCCCACCTTATCCTCCCTCAGAACCTGGGACTACAAACACATGCCACCATGCTCAGCTAAGTTTAAAAGTACATATTTTTGTAGAGATGGAATCTTACTATGTTGCCCATGCGGGTTGCAAACTCCTGGGCTCAAGGGATCCACTTAACTCGGTCTCCCAGAATGCTGGGATTACAGGCATGACCCACATTACCCCGCCCAAATTTTGTTTTTAAATGAATGAGTAAATGGGTTTGTCTGGACAATCCTACCTAGTTAATCAGAGTATGTAACACACTAATAACTTTCAAGTAAATAAGTTGTTTTTAAAAGTCATGTGTCATCTTTGGTTTCATAATATACATTTTTTTCTGAATTTATATGCAATATATAAAACAAATATAATGTCTGCTAATTGTACAGAAAATATTTTAGATGGAAATCTGATAAAGATTTTGCTTAATAAGAGAATCAAGTATGGCATATATTTTATTTATTAGTTACAAAAGTATTAAGTTATAACCATAAATGTTCAAGAGTATACTTAATTTTACAACAAATGCCACCTATCTGAAGAAAAATACTTGCACTTAATTTTATTTTGGTCTTGTTTTTTTCCCACTGATGTGTGCATTCTGGATATGAGAGCAATTAATTTCTTTATAGACCAGTGCAAATTAAAGAATGAAGCTTTTCAAAAAAAAGGTTAGCATCTAATATGAACTGTTCCCAAATTTTGGCCTTGTATAGTTAGGGTTTCCATTATTTTAAATCAGCAGGGAAAGTGCTAATTACTCATTTAGAGATGCTAAGGTGGCCCTGGGAGGTCTATGAAAAGATATGAGACCCCAACTAGAAAACATAACTTCTACCAGACTTACTTGTTAGCAGTTCTTTCCTTTGAAAACCTCAGAAAGATTTCTGCAGTCAGTCAAGAAGTAGTCTATTATCTTTAAGTGGAAAAATAGCATTATTAGAATTCTAATTTTAAAACTTCCTTCATTAGGGCTAGGCATTAACCCCCAAAATCTGTTTGTCTCACAGCACCGGCTAGCAAATTCACCCAGGGAAAGGTGTCACTTGCAACTCCACAATTTGGGCCAAGACCATCTAATTGTGAGCACCAGCAGGGAAAGAGCAGGAAGAAGCTCTGAGTAGGTGAGCAACTTGCATCTTAAGGAAGAGAAAATCAAGCTAGATGTCAAGGGTGCTATTGTTAAGACCAATACTAATGAAAAAGGACAGATAAACAGAAAGAGACTAGCGTTGCCCAGTTTTTACCAAAGAAGCTCATTCTGAACTAACGTTATCAGTAATATAAACCAAATGGGATTCCTGAGAGGGTTCTAAATTCTTTACTCAATGATGTCATTTGGAGAGCTTTGACTGAAACCCTAACTTTTTCAGGGAATCTAATTCATGCTCTTCATCTGTCAATTCAAGACAGGACAATGCATCACCTTTAATGGTCTCTGAACCTACACAGAACCTGATTCCCCAGTCTCTATCTTGTGTTCATAAAAGAGCTGCCTTTGTCTTGGTCATGCTCAGAGAAGAGAAACCAGCAATTATACGCTCCAGGTGTTTGCATCTCTTCCCAGTGTATGAGCTCACACTTTGAACAGAAAAAGTGATGGAGCAGATCATAAAATATTTCCCTGAACTTAAGCTAGCATATGCTATGCGAAGCATAAATTGGAAAGAGGTAACAAGAATATGAGAAGACTGTCATTGGTACCAAGGTACAAGCAGAGAGAAACTACTTATCTAATATAAAATTATCTTTGGATTTGACAAAAAGGTATGGAGCTAATAGGGGAAGGTAGAAAAAAATGGCTCACACAGCTCTTACTTTTTTAATTAGGATTTTTAATTGTCGCACAGAACTGAAGTATATCATCTCAAATATTTTAAAGTGTACAGTTCAATTGGGTAAATATATTCACGTTGTTGTGCAACCAATCTCAAGAACCCTCTTCTTCTCACAAAACTGAAATGTGGAATTACGTTACATAACTCCCCATTCTCCTCTTCTCCTAGTCCCTGGCAGTCAAAGTTCTACTTTCTTTCTCCATAAATGTGACTATTCTAAGTACTTATGGCTGTAGAATAATTAGTTTATAGTATTATTTTTTGGTACTAGTTAATTTCACTTAGCATAATGTCCACGAAGTTTATTCCTACTGTAGCATGTGTCAAAATTTTCTTCCTTAAGAAGGCTGAATGATATTCCATTGTATGTATGTATGTACCACATATATACTACATCCATTTTGTTTATTCATTTTTCCATTAATGGACACTAGGTGTCTTCATTCATTTGTGTTGCTATTAAGAAATACCTGAGGTTGGGTAATTTATAAAGAAAAGAAGTTTATTTGGCTCATGGTTCAGCAGGCTGCACAAGAGACATAGTATCAGCATCTACTTCTGGTGAGGGTCTCAGGAAGCTTCCACTCATGGCAGAAGGTGAAGAGGAGTGATTATCACATATCAAGAGAGGAAGGAAGAGAGAGGGGCTGGGGTGCTGGGCTTTTTTTTTAACAAGCAGTTCTTTAGGGAGCTCACAGTGTGAGAATTTACTCATTACTAGGAGAACAGCTCTAAGCTATTAATAAGGGATCGGCCCCACAACTCAAACTCCTCCCATGAGGCCCTGTCTCCAACACTGCGGATCAAATTTCAACAGAAAACAAACTATATCCAAACCATAGTACTTGAATTGTTTTAGCATTTTAGCTATTGTGAATAATTTAGCCATGAACATGGGTGTACAAATATCTCTTCAAGACTCTGCATTTAATTTCTTCGGGTATATACCAAGAAGAGAAACTGCTAGATCATGTGGTAATTCTATATTTAACTTTCTGAGGAACCACAGTAACTGTTTTTCATAGCAGCTGCACAATTTTACATTCTCACCAATAGTGCACAAGAGTTCAAATTTCTTCATATCTTTATCAACAATTGATATTTTCTGAGTTTTTTTTTATAGTAGCCACCATATAGGTGTGAAGTGTTATCTCATTGTGGTTTTGTATCTAATTTCCTTAATGGTCAGCGATGCTGAGCATTTTTCATGTGCTTATTGGCCATTTGTATGTTTGCTTTCAAGAAATATCTCTTAACCTTTGTCCATTTTCATATTTGAACCAGGTTTTGTTGTTGTTATTGATGAGTCATATGAGTTAGTTACACATTTTGGATATTAAACCCTTAAATTTGAAAATATGTTTTACCATTTCATGGGTTGCCTTTTCACCTGTTGAGTGTGTCATTTGACTCATGAAAGTTTTTTTCATTTTGGCGTAGTTCGACTTAGCTCTTATTTCTTATGTTGTCTGTAATTTGGGGATGATATTCAATACATTATTGCATCGAGTGTCATAAAGTTTGTTTCCCTGTGATTTTTGTAATAATATAATAGTTGTAGCTTTTACATTTAGGTATTTGGTTCATTTTGAGTTACATTTTGTATGTGGTATAAGGTCAGGATCTAACTTCATTCTTTTGCATGTGGGTATCCAGTTTTTCCAACATCGTATGTTAAAAGACTGTCCATTCTCTATTGAATATTCTTGGCACTCTTGTCAGAAATCATTTGACCCTATATGCAATGGTTTATTTCTGGGCTTTTTACTTTTTTCATTTGTTCTATATGTATGTGTTTATGTCCATAACACACAATTTAATTACTAAAGCTTTGTAATAAGTTTTGAAATCAGGAATTGTGAGGACTCAATGTTATTTCTTTTTAAGAATATTTTGGCTTCTCAGAATGCCTGGAGATTTTATATACAATTTAGGGGCTGGGCATGGCGGCTCATGCTTGTAATGCTAGCACTTTGGGAGGCCAAAGCAGGATGATCCAGTGGGTCCAGGGGTTCCAGACCAGTCTGGGCAATATAAGGAGATCCTGGCTCTAACAAAAAAGAAAGAAAGAAAAAAAGAAGATATTTTATGTACAATTTAAGATGGATTTTTTCTATTTCCAAAAAACATGCCATTGGGATTTTGATAGAGATTGCATTAAATATTAGATTGTTTTGAGTAATATTGGCATCTTAACAACAGTCAATCTTCCAATCCGTGACCATGGATGTCTTTCCATTTATTTGTGTCTTCTTTAATTTCTTTTAACAATGTTTTGCAGTTTTCACTTTACAACTCTTTCATCTCTTTGGGTAAGACTATTTCGAAGTACTTTATTAATTTTGATGCTATTGCAAATGAAATTGTCTTCTTAATTTCCTTTTTTGAATTGCTCATTTGCCCATATGACTTTCAAAGATTAGCCATGGATACACAGGAATTTGTGTTTGGAAGGTGGAGTTCACTAAAATTAAATATATTTCAGACTCATCAAAGTGACATTTTGAAAATGAATTATGAAATCAGAGGGACTTACAGCTGAAGAAATTTAAAGTTTATTCAGTCCAGCCTCTTCATTTTACTGAGAAGGAAGTAGGCCCAGAAAAGTTAATAATTTTTAACCTTTAACCTTGTCATAGAATGGGTCATATCTCTGGACCATCTATACAAAATGTTTAAAATGCTTGTACTTTTTTCCTGAAATATTGCTACATTTATATAATTTTATATTTAATAAGAATGTCTTCTCCCTTATTCTTTTTTCCTCTTTCTTTCATTTCTTCTATTATAAACTCCATTCACATTATAGGCTCTTTCACTAACTTTTTAAAAATAGAAATGTAGTAAGCGCTGACCATACTAGCTGTTGAAAATCAGTTGAGAATGAGACAAAAATCCCTGCCCTTGATGAGTATATACATATTTTTTGAATTCAAATATATATATTTCAAATATATATATTCAATTATATATATTTTATATATATTATATATAAATATATATATTATATATAATATATAAAATATATATATAATATATATAATATTATATATAAAATATATATTTATATATATTTTATATATTATATATTATATATATTATATATATAATATATATTATATATATATTATATATAATATATATATTATATATATAAAAATATATATATTTATATATTTTTATATATTATATATATATATAAAATATATATATATATATATTTTTTTTTTCAAGAGAAAGTCTCACTCTGTCGCCCAGGCTGGAGTGCAGTGGCACGATCTTGGCTGACTACAACCTCCACCTCCAGGGTTCAAGCTATTCTCCTGCCTCAGCCTCCCAAGTAGCTGGGACTATAGGCACGTGCCACCACACTTGCCTAATTTTTTAATTTTTAGTAGAGATGGGGTTTCACCATGTTGGTCAGGCTGGTCTCAAACTCCTGACCTCAGGTGATTTGCCTGACTCGGCCTCCCAAAGTGCTGGTATTACAGGCGTAAACCAATGCACTCAGCCTGATGAGTATATTTTATGCCATTTTATGAAAGTTACAGATACCAAGATGCAGTCACTCTTGTCAGACACAGACAAATTGGATCTGGGAGATCACAAAGAAGGGGAGCTCATGATTATATGTCTGAGATAAGAACTGTCTCAAAAACTTTGTAAATAAAACCCCCAATAAATTCTTTCATACATCTCATCCTTTGTACAAGTTGCTCATTTTGCATGAATACACATATTTCTATGACAAGATGTATTGCTAGACATTCTCTAAGCCTGCATCACCTCAGAAAAGAGGCTCTCAAAAACAAACCTGCCCAGCAACAGTGTCTCTGCCAATAAATTGATTCTTGCTTTGAGCCTCCAGAACCAATCAACTTTGTTTCCATGCAGTTTACCTGGACTTCTCTCTTTGGCCAAGAAAAGCTTCCTACTGTGCTTTCCTTTCTTCATACACCTGTAGCTTGTCTTTGCTGTGCATCCCAGACTATATAATCCTTTTTCCTCACGCACAAATAAAAATATGTTTGGAGAAATATTTCTCTATTGTCATTTAGCATGACACATTGAAGCTGCCAGATAAGTGAGTCAGTTATTACGGTACAAAGTGATGACTTATGTTCCTGAAAGTACATGAAAGATGTATTATTCTTATTTCCTTCCCACTATTAAATGTGCTTTCATTGAAGAGTCAGTGTGTCAGGATTTTCCCTTCTTTGATCATGTCACCATGTACATTTTTTGCCTCTGCAAATAAACCAGGAAAATGCTTATTCCTGCCTGAGGGAGAATCTCTTACTCTGCTGAATGAAAAGTTTCATTTTTCTTTTTCACCTCTTTGCTCTAAAAAGTTGACCTTCTTATCTCTTACATCTAGCATCTTTTGCAACTCAGCCAGTTCTAGGTCGCTAAGGGCATCATTCTTTTCTCAAATTCATGTCTCTTTCTTTTAATTTTTTTTCTCTAACTCTGTACCAAAAAATTTAAACAATTTAAAAGCAAACTTGATGTTACTAATAAAAGTTACTCATGTATTTAGAAGTTCATTTGTCCTTCTTCAATAGTATTTTTATTAATTGAATGTCTAGTTCTTCGGTAATTTGAAATGATTAAAAGACATTTTCTAAGTGCTGTTTTTAATATATTTTTCCATTTTAAAATTCCTGTTTCTCTTCCTTTCTTTTCTTCATGCTTTCTTCCTTTCTTTACCCCTTCATGCCTTTTCCACTTCCCTTTTTCTTTATCTTTCTTTCTTCCTTTCTTCTTTCCTTCTTTCTCTCATTTCTTTTTTCTTTTCTCATTCTTCTTTCTTTTTTATATTTTGTCAGTCTTAATATTTAAATAAGAAACTCTTGGGGAAGACTATGAAAGGTTCAATTTCAGATTCTGTACATATTAGCTGTTACTTACCTTTCCTACACACTAATTCCTTATCTGTAAAATAGATACATTCAAAGTGAATTTAATGAGAATAAGTATTATGGAAATTAATGATTTAATTGATTTTAAATAACAGTACACTAGGAAGATCACTGTATCCACGATATTTGGATATAAATTTTAGAATTAAATGTGAATACTAAAATAACTTAGAATATGTGCACCAATTCCTTGACCAATGCATGCAATGGGGTCTCATCAAAATCAGATATAATTCATACTTTAGAAAACCATTAGCGTTCCTAGCCAGAGACTATAACATTAACCGCATCAGTGATATAAAGAGAGAAAATAAATACTAGAACAAGAGAAAAGCTTATCATTTTTAGTTTGACTAAAATGACTAATTTTTCTCTAGAAGTTTACATTCCTATAATCTTCAACTTAAATTGGTAAATATTTTCTATTGAGAAGCTGAAAAATATTTACCCTATACAAACTTCTTCAAGATGGTATTTAAAATACTTATATTTTCTGGAAATATTTGGAAATGAGTAAAGATATCACAATTTTCCACCACCAAATTCCTGGGTCTTTCTTGGAGTACCCTTTTCCTCTCAGATTCCATAACATATTTCAACCTGAAATCAAATAGTTTTCTTTTTATTCTTTTGTGGTTCAGTTTCTGGAACATGTCTAATCAACTAAGCATCTAGAGCAAAATATCACTAGTTTGAGGGAGCAACATATACTAAGTTTTAATTATGGCTTTCTATGCAAACCTTTTGGTGTAAAAATGTCCACAAATCAAATTTACATCTCCTCTCTGTAATTTTTATTTATTCTTTTAATTTATTATTATTATCATAATTATTGTTATTATTTTGTAGAGACCGGGTCTCACTATGTTGCTCAGGCTGGTCTTAAGCTCCTGGGCTCAAGCAGTCCTCCTGACTCGGCCTCCCAAAGTGCTGGGATAACAGGAGTGAGTCACTGTACCTGACCTATATAATTTTTATATCACCAACAAATCTAATCTCCTCCTTAGCTCTGTACTGCCATTGAAACTGTATCAGCAATGATTATTAATTCTTGCTATTTAATTTGTTAGATTGATGAGTACTGGCAATCAGGGATAGTTATACCCAATATATGTCTTCCCACTGTAGTTTGCAGATACTTCTTCACAGAGAAAATCTTTAAATATATAAGCTGAGTTTGCTGCTATTAACTATTTCCAGGCTTTTACCCTCTGTGTCTGGTGATGACCCATATATTGTCTGACATCCATGTCTTCTTACATGTTTCTACAAAAAATACCATCATTTCCTATATTTTAATTACAAGGACTCAACAACATATATTTTTTTTTTACTTTAATGTAGTTGACATATTCCTTTTTGACAACTCTTTTCTCATAATAGACAGTGGAAATGAGAAGGCAGTAGTATAATGTCTTCAAAGTAAAAAAAGAAAGAAAAATCTGTAAACCAAGGATATTATATCTGGCAAAACTTTTTAAAAAATTACGACTAAAAAAGGCAGTTACAAAAAAGCACAATCGAAAAACAAAACAAAATAAAACAAAAGTAGCTATCAAATCTTTCTCAAAAGACATATGAAAGAAAGTTCTTCAGACTGAAAGCACATATCCACAGTCAGTTATTCAATGCAGATGAAAAGAGAAAAAGAACAAATAAAGGTAAATATGTAACTATAAAATAATGTATAAATGCATACTTATCCTCTTAACTGATTTAAAAAAGCAATTGTATAAAACTGTACATGTATGACTATATTGTTGCCATTTAACATATAGAAATGCAATATTTGTATACTGCCAATAACTGCACAAAGAAGATATGTGGGAACAAAGCTGTATTAGACTAAGAAAATAACATTAGATGGTAAGTTCAATTCATAGATACAAATAAAGTAAACCAGAAATGGCCATTTAAAACTTTAATATAACAAGATCTATAAATATACACCTGTTCTATTTTTTTTAGCTATATTCAAAGACATAAAATGTCATGAAAAAATAATTCTAGAAATGTATGGGTAAATTTGCAACATTTGTTGGTGTAATATGTATACCAATAATAGCAAAATAAAGTGGTAATGGAAATAGTGCTTCATAGGGGAAACATTTCTACAACCTTGTGGAGTTAAGATAGCTTTAATCTGAAATAGAATGTCATATATTAAGATGTATACTAAGCTGTAGAGCAACCACTAAAAGAAACTCAACAAAATATAAGAAAAATCATTAAAGTAATTAAAAGATCACATTAAATACATATTCGTTTTATGAAAAGAAAGTATTAAATGAGGAATAGAGGAACAAAAAAAGTATGATCATGCAGAAAACAACAAGTGAAATTGTGGCTGCAAACCTAATTATACCAATAAGAGCATTAAAGGAGTAGATTAAAACAATGCATTCAAAAGACACAGGTTACAAGACTAGATTTAGAAACACATCTACTCTATACTATCTAAAGTAGATACACTTTAGATTAAAAAACATGAATATATGGGAAGTAAAATGAAAAAAATATATATCATGCAAATAAGCATAATAAGAAACTTGGAATGGCTAAACTAACATAAGACTACATAGAATTTAAGTTAAAAAAAAAACCTGTTTCTAGGCATAAACAAGGACATGTTATAATGATAATGACATGTCATTATCCTGGAATGGCTAAACTAACATAAGACTACATAGAATTTAAGTTTAAAAAAAAAACTGTTTCTAGACACAAACAAGGACATGTTATAATGATAATGACACATGTCTTAAGGAGCCAGTCTTTACTGTGTTGTGAAGGCATTTTATAACCAAGCTTCAGTCTTACTGTTTTTCTGGCTAAAGGAGTAGGAGAATAAAGACGGCCAAGAAGCAAGGACAGGCACTGGTGGAGTTTTCTTTTGCTTCAGGCAGAAGGCTAAACTCTACCATAGGCAGTGTGGCTTTTCATAAATTCAGTCCTGCTTATTAACATTCAATGCTCAAGTTTCAGAATACTTTTGAGGTTTATTTTCTTTCCTAACTTTCTTCTCTACATACAGTTCTCCTAGGATTCTTTCTGGGTAGCAATGGTAGGAGTGTCAGAGTGGCTATTTAGGTTTTAAGATATAGAACTATGCCATTTCTTAGTCTGTTTACATTTATCTTAATCCCTTAACCTATTATCTAATGACTGACAATTTTGAACAACTTTTTGTCCATTCATTCATTTTTTTAATTTATTGACATTTGCATGCCTGTAGGAAGAGTAGGTTTTATTACTGCAAAAATGTTAGATATAGTAGACTTAAGAAAGCAGAGCAAGCAGACTGTCGTCTTATTGTAAGCCTTGTTAAATTGCCTGTGGTCTCATTTTGGTTTGCCAAATTAGGTAAAGCCAAAGAATCATTAGAGTTTAATGTGTATTTTAACTATAAACCCTGTGAGTTTCTCAATCATCAAAACAGGCGCTTGAAATTTAGGGGGTACAATTATAGACAAACACTTAAAAATCATCTTGGATATCGAATTGAGGATCCTGTGCACTTTATTTTTTCCCTGAAAAAATATGTAAGTGAATCTGAAACAAACTGACAGGCTTACAATAGAATGAACATTTTTCCAAAAGCAATGGTGTATTTATTACTAAGGACAAAAGTATTTTGTTTACACCTTAACTATAATTTGTACTTACTAATACTTTATTTGAGGATAATGAATTTTATAAATAACATTTGAAGCTATATTTATTTAAATCAAAATGTTCTGATATATAATCTATAGTTTTAGAATTTATTAAAAATAGTTGAAAGTTGCAGCAATTCTCTAAGCTAGTGTTTGTCAACCAGGGGCAATTTTGCCTCTAAAGGAATATTTGGCATAATCTGAAGACATATTTTGTTGTCAAAACTCAAAGGAGCATGACATACTGCTAGTATTTAGCTGATAGAATTCAGAAATACTGTTAAACATTCTACAATGTACTGGATGGTTTCCTGCGACCAAAAAATTATTTGGTTTACTATGTCAATTGTTAGAAGCTTAAAGGACTCTATTGTAAATTGTATAAAATACTTGAAAACAACTTCAGTTTAATAAGTGGCCAAAACTGAATATGACCTTATCCCTGGTTTTAATACTGTACTTTCTGCTCAATTTTTCTGTTAGCATGAAATTAGTCTAAAAAATAAAGTAAACTCATTTTATTTTAAAAGCTAAGATGGGCTGGGCACAGTGGCTAACACCTGCCACCCCAGCACTTTGGGAGGACTAGTTGGATGGATCACCTGAGGTCAGGAGTTCGAGACCAGCCTGGCCAACATGGAGAAATTCCGTTTCTAGTAAAAACACAAAAATTAGCTGGGTGTGGTGGCACGCACCTGTAGTCGCAACTACTTGGGAGACTTAGGTGCGAAAGTCACTTGAACCCGAGAGGTGGAGGTTGCAGTGAGCCGAGATCGCACCACTGCACTCCAGCCTGGGAGACAGGGTGAGACTCCATCTCAAAAAAAAAAAAAAAAAAAAAAGAAAGTAAGATGAATATCTAAAAACAAATTTTTATCTGAAACTAATATTACATTAGAAAACAATTATTTTACGTTTTATGACTAAAGTAATTCTAAAGGATCTATGTTAAAATATTTTTTAAATTTTATCAGAATAATGCATGCAGAAAATAACATCTAGAAGAGAAAAAAATGATGTGTGTAAAGGGCTTATAATGCTATAGTAAAAAATGTATCCACACAAAGATTATATATGGATGACTTACATCAAACTGAAGGGGATAGGCAACAAGAACAAGTAGAGATTTACAAAAATCAAGAATTATGTGTTATAAAGATAAAGATGTATGGTTCTGGTGTCAAGTTCATAAGCCTGAACTTCCACAGAATATTTCTTTAAATGCGCTTTGTTCCTAGCCCACTCTCAGTGTTGCTACTTAGAACTGAAATCTTAAAAACAATGAAGATATAATGTGCTATTTCAATTAACTATTACTTTAATTTGTTTATTTTATTTATTTCCAAGCACCGACGTATAATCAATTGTTTCTTCACTTGACACTTTAAATGTATTTCTACTATGATATTTGTTATACAACTTTATGAAATTATTTGGATAAGTGACCTTCTTACCATAGACTTAAACTCCTTAGAAAAATGGATTACATCTTGTTCCTTTTTGTTTCCCTGAAAACTAGTATGTTTCTAGTGTGTGTGTATACACACACACACACACACACACACACACACACACCCCTATATATATACATGTTATCTGCAGATGCTGGAAGGAAGAAAGGAAGGAAGACTAAAGGAAAGAAGGAAGGAAGACAAAAGGAAGGAAGGCAGGGAGGAAGGAAAAAACAAAGGAAGCTTTAAATAAAACTTAATTAACTTTATTTAAAGAACTGTAAATAAAGCTTAAATAATGTTATATAAATAACTTTTAATAAATTTTAAATAAAGTTTTAAATGAAAAAAGAACATTGAAATTTTGCTCAACTTCCCTGTAAGTCAGTGTAAGGAAAAAAAGGAAAAAAAATCCTTTAAAAATGGCTCCAAAGGACAAAAGTGGAAACCTGGTGTTATTCAGAATATATGAAGCTACTACTCCTCCAGGCTGAACCCATGAAATTATAATTACTGCTGCTTGAGGGACTGCTATTGTTAGTACCATTGCTTGGGTCTTAACAAAAATGATACTGGGACCACTACTGTCATCCACAGCCAGAAGTGCTTTTTTTCATCTTCTGCTTTCAAATCTTACACAGAGATGCGTATTAATATCCTAGTCAGAATAAAGATATCACTGAATATGAGATGCCATGAAGGATGTGGGTTTGTGCATGTATATTTAGTAAATTGACAGTTTCACAAGATGAAATAGTGATTTATTTCATATAAATATGCATATGAATATTGTTACATTAAGTCCCAATGTAACAGTATTAAGTGGGACATTTGAGAGGTAATTAGGCCATGAAGTCTCTGCCCTCATGAGTTGATTAACACTGTTATTGTGGAAGATGGATTGTTATCATGGATAAGGGGTTTTTATATTATGTTAAAATAACTTTTTATTCTTATATTAATAAAAAGACGAGTTTAACCCACTTCTTTCTTTCCCACACTTTCTCTTTGCCTTTCCACCACGAGAGATTGCAATAAAAGGCCTTCAGTAGATGCTGGTCCCTTGATCTTGGACTTCCAAGCTTCCAGAACCATCAGCCAATAAATTTCTCTTCATTATAAATTACCCAGTCTCAGGTATGTTATAGAGGTTGAAAACAAACTGCACTTTGGGACGCTGAGGTGGGCGGGTCATGAGGTCAGGAGATTGAGATCATCCTGGCCAACACGGCGAAACCTGTCTCTACTAAAAATACAAAAATTAGCTGGGTGTGGCAGTGGGCGCCTGTAGTCCCAGCTACTCAGGAGGCTGAGGGAGAAGAATCACTTAAACCCGAGAGATGGAGGTTGCAGTGAGCCGAGATCGTGCCACTGCACTCCAGCCTGGTGACATATTGAGACTCTGTCAAAAAAAAAAAAAAAAAAAAAGAGTAGAAAACAAACACTAAGAAAACTTGTATATTTTTTAAAAATTTCTTTAAAATTTGTTTTCCCTCTTCTCTAGAAATTTTAAATAGAAATTTAATAACTGTGTTTTCAGGAAACACTTCCGTGTGGTTCCCTGAAGTACGTAACAATGAGCAATAAACATATGTCAAAAAATTAAGATTTTTTAATTGAATTACAATAAAAATACTACATGGTAGAAGATATCAGAGTAAAATGTCAAATTTATTTCTTTTTTTATGAATTCCTTGAAAGTCAACATTGCTTAATATGTGAACATGAATGGTAGAGATGTGAACGTTCATAAAATTTGTCCTAAAGTCATTTTTGCCTTAAAAAGTATTAAAGATTTTTAAAATGATACTTTTCTCTTACAATAGTAGAATAAGCTCAAGTCAAAGAACAGCATTTATTCATTTTTTAATAAGAATCCAAAGCTCACAAGAACAGAAATGCTTAAGGATATTAACAAAGATGGTGTTTTAGGATAAAATCCCTGAAGATAGTTCCACTGTGTGAAAAGGAGTCACAATTATTATATTCCCTTCATATTTATCTTTAAAATGCCTCCAGATATTGTTATCTTAAAAATAAAAGTAACTAGGAACTAGAAAATGTGTTTTTAAATATCATAATATATTGAAAGACTACAGGCACACAGCAAGATTTAGGAAAATTTCGTTTCTTACTTTCCGTTAGTTTGAACAATCTTGAGAAAATAAATTGTAAGTTTAGATATTGCAAATGTTTTTCCTTAAAGAATCTGATTTAAAAAGATAAGAATGACTATTCTAATTTTACTTCACCACAAAGTAAACAAAGATTAGAACAAAATATTCATAACTACATGTTTGTGTGTATTTATGTGTTCTAAGGCTTTATATAAGGAATCTCACAAACCATACCATTATATTAAATAATCATCAACTTGTAAGTTAAATATGTGTGCAATGGTTATATAATTATATAGGTGAATATCTATATTCCTTGATAAATACAATGAAAATAGTGTTATTTCTGAGATTTCATATATATAGTTGTCAACAAATATATATTATATATAATATCCCTTTATGAAAACAATTATATATATATATATTTACCTACCACTTATATTCAACAAGTAATAATTTTATAGACTGATGTTTTAAAGAGAAAATATACTTTATGTGAGACTTTAAAAAAAAAAGAAGTTTTTTCCTGTGTAAGTCAATTTATAAGTTGCAGTGAGGCTTATTAACAGGAAGTTATTTAGAATTATATGTAACAAAGTCTAAATGTCAATACAGTATCTGCATCTCTGTGCCTGAGTATTTTTCCAGCTCAAAGGAATGATGCTCTGTTTTTGTGAGTGTAGCAAGCCTAAAATGCTAGGAATTAACAACCCTTGGGAAGCAACCCCCAACCATGACTGACAAGAATTAGTATGTAAATATCCCACCTCCATTTATCCTCCAGTATAAGAATTCTGAGCCATGTGTTTTAAACTTCTTCCCAGAATCTCCCTACAAAAATAAACTTATTACTTATAGTCATAGCTGGCTTAATAATGAACACTTTATTGCCTTAATTGGCTATTTTTTTGGTCAATTCCCCACTCCACAATTTATGTTTCTTTCACCTACAAAATAAATTGCTTACACTGGGAGTATTGTCCATGGTTCTGAAGTGGTCCCCACAGTGAGGTTTCTTTGCATTTAGAAAGAAGAAGAGTGAAAAGGACTGCATCTTATGGTTTGAGGGCCATCTCAGCTGGAGCACAACAGAAAACCAGATAAACTTCTAGGGCTTTTGATTCTAGCTCCTGGCTTTTTGATGGCACCTATGGAGCTGCCTTGGGTCAGTGAGAGCTTGCTGCCCTGAAAGGAAGGACCCAGGAATGGCTGGCTTCACCACGTGTTGATTGTAGCACCTCAGGGCCTCAAGTGAACATGGGTGGTAGCCAGGGATTGGTTACAGTAGGCCTTGGTTGAGACCCAGTGCTGTGCTGGCTTAAGGTCTGACCCAGCAAAGTCCTAGTAGTGGTGGCCATAGGGGTGCTTGTGTCACTCCACTCGCAACTCCAGGCAGCTCACAAGAGAGTGAAAGACTCTATTTGGGAGAAAGTAAAGGAAGAAAACAAGTGTCTATGTCTAGTAATCCAGAGAATTCCTTCAGATGTTGTTGAAGACCATCAAGTCTGCCAGAAACACAGTGTTACTGGGCTTCAGGTGCCCCTTAATGAACACACTGCTTATATCACATCACATTCCTTTTGAATACCTGGAAACACCTTCCCAAGAAGGACAGGTACAAACAAGCCCAGTTTGTGAAGACTACAATCAATACCTAACTCTTCAATGCCCAGACACTGATGAACACCAACAAGTATCAAGACTATCCAGGAAAACAGGACCTCATCAAATGAACAAAATAAGGCACAAGGACCAATTCTAGAAAAACAGAGATATGTGATCTTTCGGACAGGGAATTCAAAATAGCTGTTCTAGGGAAACTCAAAGAAATTCAAGATAACACAGAGAAGGAATTCAGAATTCTATCAGACAAATTTGAAAAATACTTTTCAAATTTTGAAAAATAATTTTTAAAAAGAATAAAATAATTAAGAAGAATCAGCCAGAAATTCTGGAGGTGAAAAATGCAATTACATCTTAAGAAGGCATCGTAATCCTTTAATAGTAGAACTGAACAAGCAGAAGAATAAATTAGTGAACTTGAAGATAGGTGATTTGAAAATACACAGTAGGAGGAGACAAAAGAAAGAATAACAAAAAGATGAAGCATGTTTACAGGATTTCAAAAATAGCCTCAAAAGGGCAAATCTAAAAATTATTGAGCTTCAAAGGGAGGTATAGAAATAGATACAGGTAGAAAGTTTATCCAAAGGGATAATAACAGAAACTTCCAAAACCTTGAGGAAGACATCAATATCGAAGTGCAAGGAAGTTATAGAACACCAAGCAGATTTCACCCAGAGAAGACTACCTCAAAGTATCTAATAATCAAACTCCCAAAGATCAAGGATAAACAAAGGATCCTAAAAGTAGTAAGACAAAAGAAACAAAGAACATAAAATGGAGCTCCAATACATCTGGTGACAAACTTTTAAATGGAAGCCTTATAAGCCAGGAGAGAGGGGCATGCTATATTTAAAATGCTGAAGGAAAATACCTTTTACCCTGGGATAGTATATCTGGCAAAAATATCTTTCAAACTTGAAGGAGAATTACTTTCCCAGGCACACTAAAGCTGAGGGATTTCATCAAAACTAGACCTCTCCTACAAGAAATGCTAAAGGGAGTACTTCAAGCAGAAAGAAAACGATATTAATGAGCAGTAAGAAATCATCTGAAGTTATAAAACTCACTGATTATATTAAGCACACAGAAAAACAGACAATATTATAACACTGTAACTGTTGTGTGTAAACTACTCTTATCTAATGTAGAAAAACTAAACAATGAATCAGCCAAATATAGTAACAACAAAAACTTTTCAAAATATAGACAATACACTAATATATAAATAGGGAAAACAAAAACTTATAATGCAGGGGAATTAAGTTAGGGTGCAGAATTTTTACTAGTTTTCTTTCTGTTTTTTTATGTGTTTATGCAAACAGTGATAAGATGCTATCAGTGTAAAATAATGGGTTAAAAGATAGTATTTGCAAGCCTCATGGTAACCTCAAATTTTAAAACGTACAATAAGTATACAAAAAATAAAAAGCAAGAAATGAAATCATACCTCCAGAGAAAATAACCTTTATTAAAAAGAAGACAGGAAGGAAGAAAAGAAGGAGAAGGAGACCAAAAAAGAAAAATAAATAAAACAGAAAACGAATAGCAAAATGGCAGGAGTAACACCTTACTTATCAATAATAACATTGAATGTAAACTCTCCAATCAAAAGATATAGAGTGGCTGAATAGACTTAAAAAAAGCAAGATTTAATTATCTGCTGCCAGCAAGAAATATACTTCACCTCTAAAGACACACATAGATGAAAAGTAAAAGGATAAGAAAAGATATTCCATGGCAATGGAAATAAAAAAGGGGAGGAGTAGCTATACAAAATAGATTTCAAGACAAAAACTACAAGAAGAGACAAAACGGTCCCTGTAAAATGATAAAGAGGTCAACTCAGCAAGAGGATATAACACTTGCAAGTAAATGTGCATGAAACACAGGAACACCCAGATATATAAAGTAAATATTATTAGAGCTACAGAGAGAGAAATAATCCAATAAAATAATAGCTGGAAACTTCAATACCCCACTTTCAGCACTGGACAGATACTTCAGACAAAAAAAATCAATAAACATCAGAGTTAATCTGCACTTTGGGCCATATGAGCCTAATAAATATTTACAGAACATTTTCTCAAAAGGATGCAGAATTTACACATTCCCCAGCACACAGATCATTCTCAAAGACAGACCATATATTAGGTCACAAAACAAGTTTTAAAACATTCCAAAAATTGAAATAATATCAAGCATCTTCTCTGAATACAGTGGAATAAAACTAGAAACGAATTACAAGAGGAATTTTGGCAACTATACAAATACATGGAAATTAAACTGTATGCTCATGAATGACCAGCGCATCAATGAAAAAAATTAAGAAGGAAATTGAAACATTTCTTGAAACCAATTATAATGGAAACACAACATACCCAAACCTATGAGATACAGCCAAGTCAGTATTAAAAGGGAAATTTACAGTTGTAAGTGCCTACATCAAGTAAGAGGAAAAACTTCAAATAAACAATCTAATGATGCAGCTGAAAGAGCTAGAAAAGGAAGAGCAAACCAAACTCAAAATCAGTAGAAGGAAAGAAATAATAAAGATCAGAACAGAAATAAATGAAATTGAAATGCAAAAAATACTAAAGTTCAATGAAATAAAAAGTTGGTTTTTTGAAAAGTTAAACAAAATTGACAAACCATTAGCCAGACTAAGAAAAAAAGAGATAAGATCCAAATAAATAAAATCAGAATTGATAAAGGAAACTGCAGAAATTCAAAGGATCATTAGAGACGACTATAAAAAACTATATGCCAATAATCTGAAAAATCTGAAAAAATAGACAAATTCCTAGACTCACAAAATCTGTCAAGATTGTACAAGAAATCCAAAACCTGAACAGATGAATAATAAGTACTGAGGTTTAAACCATAATAAAAAATCTTCAGGTAAAGAAAACCTGGAACCCAATGGCTTCCCTGCTGAATTCTACTGAAGAACTAATACCAAACCTACTCAAAATATTCCAAAAAAAAAAAAAAGTAGAGGGTGATAGAATACCTTCAAACTCATTCTACAAGGCCAGTGTTATCCATTACCCTGATACCAAAACCAGGCAAAGACACATTAAAAAAAAAAAAAAAAACCCACTATAGGCCAATATCATTAACGAATACTGATGCAAAAATTCTCAAGAAAATCCTAAAAAATCGAATTCAATAACACAATAAATAGGTCATTCATCATGACTAAGTGGGATTTGTGCCAGGAATGCAAGGATGGTTCAGCATACACAAAATTCTATGCTCATTTCAGTTGATGCTGAAAAAGCATTTGATAAAATCCAACATCTCTTCATGATAAAAATCCTCAAAAAATTGGATATACAGGAAACATACCTCAACATAATAAAAGCCATACACAACAGATCCAAAGGTAGTATCATACTGAATGAGAAAAAAAAAACTCTAAAAGCCTTTATTCTAATTTTGGGAACACAACAAGGATGCCACTGTTGCCACTGTTATTCAACATAGTACTGGAAGTTCCAGCTAGATAAATCAGACGGATAAAAAAAAAAAGGACATCCAAATTGGAAAAATAGTGTTTTTCCAATGGATTGGAAAAATCTAATCCATCCAAATTGGAAAAATCAATTAAAATGGATTAGATACTTAATTCTAATATCTCACTATGAAACTACTAAAAAAATATATTAGGGAAAATCTCCAGGACACTTGATTGCACAAAGACTTATTGAGCAATATCTCACAAGCACAGGCAACCAAAACAAAAATGGACAAATGTGATCTCATCAAGTTAAAAATCTTCTGCACAGCAAAGAAAACAATCAACAAAGTGAAGTGACAACCCAAAAAAATGGAAGAAAATATTTGCAAAGTACTCATCTGACAAGGAATTATAACTAGACTATATTAGGAGCTCAAACACCTCTATAGGAAAAAATCTAATAATCCAATTAAATATGGGCAAAAGATATGAATAGACATTTCTCAAAAGAAGACATACAAATGGCAAACAAGTATATGAAAGGGTACTCAACATTATTGATCATAGATTAATGCAAATCAAAACTGCGATAAGAAATCATCTCACCCAGTTAAAATGGCTTTTATCCAAAAGACAGGCAATAACACAAATGCTAATGAGAATGTAGAGGAAAGGAAATCCCAGTATACTATTGGTGGAAATGTAAATTAGTGTAAACACTATGGAGAACAGGTTGCAGCTTCTGGAAAAAAAAAAAAAAAACTAAAAATAAAACTACCATATGGCCTAGCAATTCCACACCAAAGTATATACCCCAAAGGTCAGAAATCAGTATATAAAAGAGGTATCTGTACTCCCATGTTTATTGCAGCACTGTTCACAATAGCCAAGATTTGCAAGCAACCTAGTGTCCACCAATACACAAATGGATAAAGAAAATGTGGTATGTATACACAATGAAGTACTATTTGGCTTAAAAAAGAAAGAGATCTTGTCATTTGCAACAGTGTGCATGGAACTGGAGGTCATAACTTTGAATGAAATAAGCCAGGCACAGAAAGACAAGCATCACATGTTCTCACTTACCTGTGGGAGCTAAATATTAAAACAATTGAAGTCATGGTGATAGAGACTAGGATGGTTACCAGAGGCTGAGAAGAGTATTGTGGAGAGGATGGAGGGGAAATAGGGATGGTTGAAGGATACGAAAAAAATAGAAGAATAAATTAGACCTAGTATTTGCTTGCATAACAGGATGATTATAGTAAAGAATTTAATTGCACATTTTAAAATAAGCAAAAATATATAACTGGATTATTTGTAACACAAAATAATGCTTGAGGTGATGGATACCGTACATAACCTGATATGTTTATTACATATTTTATGTCTGTATCAAAATATCTAATGTACCCATAAACATATACAACTACTATATACTCACAAAACATAAATAATTAAAAAAAACAATAGGCAAGGGAAGGAGTTACTCTACTGGCTAGATAAATGATATAGATCATTATGATGACATAAGGTTGTTATCACATAGGGAAGTAGGGAAGAAAAGATTTGGAAATGAAGATATTCACAAGGGAAGTGAGTAGTTCTTTTTTTTTTTCAGCAGATAATCATAAATAGAAAATTTCAGCCAAGTAACCAGGGACTCAAATGACGGTCTGGGTTCCCAGTAATGTGCTGGGAACATTTTTTTTATAAAAAATACAAATCAGAGCTTGAATTATTGTTGTGTGGATTGTCTGGAGCAGAGGTCGGCAATCTATAGCCTACAGGCCAAATTTGGCTCATGGCCCTTTTCTTCTTAAGACTACAAGCTAAAAATGACATTTACATTTTGCAGGGCTATTTAACACAAACAAACAAACAAAATAAATAAATGGAAGAATAAGCAACAGAACCATAGGTGACTCACAAAGTGAAAAGGGTAAATGGAAACTCCGTGTTTCTTTACAGAAAATGTTTGCTGATCCTGGGTCTAGATGATCAAAAGTGATGGACAAATATTAAGAGTGCAGCTTAGATGTCAACATGTATCAGTCTATAACTGTTACATGATAATTAGTACAAATAAGGGAGGAAATATATTTCCAATATTCAAAAACTGCTATCTGGTTTAGCAAAATAGTTGTTCATGTCACAGGCAAATGGCTGTTTTTGCATTTTTACTTTTGTCTTATTTGTTAACATGCCATAAAGAAACATAACAACTAACATTCAGGTTGAAAATATAATTGGGGATCCAGCAGTCAACAAGTTATCAGCACATCACTAGTGGTACCCTTCTGGCAAGCAGTTTAGACCAGGAAATATGCTGTTAGAAGGCAAAGGGACTCTAAAATATGTGGTAGAAGTGGATATAATGAATATCATGTTTGATCTCAGGACTCATTGCCTTATTGGGGACTTAACGGCTTGGTCATTAATCCTCCTGTTACAAGTATCCTTCTCAGAAATTGTGACTGATCATGACCTCGAAGCAGTAACAGGATGGAAGGAATTTAAGATAGAGCACAAAGAGATTTGAATGATGAAATGTGTAGACTATACCACAGGCTGATAGTGCCACACTCAAACCCTTCATAAATTGCAACGTACTTCAGCGGATTTCCAATTGTCAATATCTTCTTTGTGCCTAAGAATGTTTGTCCACCATTAATGAGAATCAGCACATGACAGGTCTTACATTTCTGGAGATGAATACTGCTAGGATCATTCCACAACCAATGACTGAAAGGAATTAATATATAAAAGCTCAGCACCCCCATCCATCCAGTGAGACAATTCTGAGACATGTAATTTACAGCATTTTCTAGAATTTCCCTCTGGGTTTAAGCTCCAGTTACCCACAGTGGATGTTGACTAAATAAGACATCCTTCAATGACTGCTTCCTTTCGTTGTTTTAAATCCCCAGTCCCTGGGCATTGTTTCTTGCACCTACCTCTTTTCTCAGAATCTCTTTTCCCAGTAACCTAAACTGAAACAGCTTTTAGCAACTCAGAAACTCTCCTAAGTACTAATGAGATCGTCAGTATTTTTCAAAGTGCTGTAAGCCATAGAGGGGGAAAAAAAGTGTTCTGGTCCTTCACTGGTGTTTCTCTGATTTAAAAAGCAAAGTGAAATGAAGTGAATACATTTTCTGTTAAATTATATATTATGAATTGCTATAATTTTTTTATTTAATTATTTGACAGAGCATTAGAGAAATCTCTGGTGAATAGAAGAAAATGAAAAACACTCCAGCTAAAACTGGGTGAAATCCTCTGGTTAATACATCTATCTATATCTATCTACCATTCTAAGCTGTAAAGTAATAAATAAGCTTTTTCCTAACTATTTTGTTGTAAGTATTAAATATATAACTAAAGTAACAGGAAATAGGAGGATAAATGTTTCCAAATGGCAGAGAAGCATAAAAAATTCTCTAGAATATTATTTCCTAAAAGGTGTTCCATGGAAACACTAGTCTTTCTATAGGTCTTTAAAAATAGTAAATTTAAATAGTGTATTTAGAGATCACAAGAAATGCTGTCTTTTCCCTCCACCTTATTCACCCCATACCCTTCCCTTGTGTATTCACAATGGAAACGTAACAATTCTATTTTAATAAGCTTCTTTTTTCTTAAATGTTGTTTTGTTTAGTATTCTTCTGACTTATTTTATAAATGATTTGTAAATGAGTATATATGTTATGTGCAAAAACACATAAGACATAAACTGTGGAAAGCACTGTTCTTGGTACTCAAATATTAGGATTCAAGAAAATCTCACTAATGAGATGTCTTACCTCAAATGCCATTCTTCTGTATATTTTATTTATTTACCTAATTTATCAAGGATGATAAATTATATAGTAAGTCCACACACTTGCCTATAATAAACATAAGATCCTATATTGATTATTTATTAGTGTCTAATACATTTAAGATATTTATTAAGATATTAAATACAAAAATATAACTAATACATTTTGAATACATTGAATAATCAATCAACAGGTATTATCTAAGCCACCTCAAAAACTTATTTATATGAAGCAACATAAAAGACAAGTTTATTTAATAAAATAGATGTTATAAGAGAAAGATGTGTAGAAGGTGGCTTATTTTCTTACCATAAATAATTTGAAATTTTAGAACAAAGCAAGATTTAAGTAGAATTCTTACAGTAAAAATGTTGCCACACATAATTAAACGCCAAACATCATTCTCTAAAATAAAAGTGTAATACAATTTCATAACAAACAATATAAGCATAAACTTGATAATTCCTCTGAATTATTGTTAATAATAACTATATTACTTTAATTATGTCATATTAATAGTAGTTTATTTTTTGATGCCTGTGCCATTCTTTATTTATTCATATTGGCCTGCCCCATAGCACAATTCAAACTGCAATTTGCCTGGATATAAAGCAAACTTTCTTCAAAGGCCCAGCAGTCTTCTTGTTAATGTAGCTTGGAATTTCAAGGGCATACCTGACATAACAATGTGTTGGCATAAATATTTCTGACATTTATTCATTGTACTTCCTTTAAAAGCAAGTTAATATTTCAAAAATAAATTAATAGTAACATAATTTCTCAGCTCAATTATAAAATATGCTAATGCGTCAGACATTCTTAATGCATCAGGATTGACTGGGGACTACTGTAGCCTAAGTAAAAAGAATTTTAAAAAGCAGTATTCCATGGTGAATAATTTTACCATATGGTCATTTGGCTTTGATTTAATTCAGCCATAGGTGTTAGGAATTTTATGATGTACCTAGACTAGATCTACTACTTCTAAAAAGGACATTTTACAGAAAAGGAGATATAAATAGTATGAAAACTTCATTTATTATATTTCTTCTCAAATTTTATTCTGCTCTTTTCAAACTCTCCAAGGAAGCATATTTCCTTTGGTATATTAGAAGTGACTTATTCATTTAAGCCCAAATCTGAGAGTACTGACACCATTAATGTGTAGGAATTATATTTTGGATGAACTTTGATAAATCAGGAATTATCAGGGAAATTTCTCACAATTAAACTTTAATTATGCCTAGATACCAGAGAGAGACAGAGAGAGAGTTTCTGAAGTATAAAACTCCTGCACTGATTAACTAAAGCCTACAATCTCTTCAAGTGCATTTTGAAAAAAAAATCCAACAGTGGGTATTTAAAATATGTGTATGTGTATTAAAAACATATGTACATATTTCTAACATGAGTATGTGTGTCTACACTAACACATACCATTTCTTCAGGCATCAGCAGTTTGGTTTTTCAACAAGGTAAGAGTTATGCCCATGATTGAGCATTCACTTGATCTGGTTGCCCATGTTAAATCAATATGTTTATGAATAGGCAGTGTGAAGAAAATCTGAGACTTACTGTGTGTACCCCTGAGAAATGAAAGCAGATGAGGATCTCAGTGATGACAAGTGAAGTTTCATGAGTATGATTTGACAAAATTTAGGCTTAGATTTTTTATGGATTTTATTCATTTTTTGTGTTTAAAAGGTAGCAATGTATGTCCTTACATAGGATATATCACTTCTTTGGGCATTTGTGTCTTTATAAAATGAGAATAACAATTTCTCCCGTATGTTCTTTGTGATTTTGTTTCAAGAGTGATGGTAATTGAAAATACTTCTACAAATATAAAGGTGGGAATTCCTTCTATGTTTGTACCTGACTGTATTTGTCACCAAAATCTGTTAGGACTGCATGTGATTGTATGTAATAATAAACTGAAGCAAAGAAAATAAATAAAAGAGATATAAAATGGGATTACCAATTACAGAAGATGTGAAATGCATTTTTAAACTGACACAAGTGAAAAACAATGGCACAAGTGAAGATTCAGTGTAGGCCTCAATGTTCTGTGGTCGAAAAAAACTAGAGCAAAATGCTGCCTATGGGTTATAACCTGTACAGCCTTCCAAACAGCTTCAAAGAATCACAAGGGATGTGAATATGCTACTGATATATTTGAAAGATAAAACTATCAAAAATCACATTCTAAGAATTACCATGTTATTTATATATTTAATTGAAGCAATATGATGCTTTATCATCCTTTAAACTATCATTGCTAGTGGAATCCATTTAGCCAATCAACAAAGATCAATGGTCATTTTAGGTAAAATTGTTTGTTTGTTCTTTCTAAAAACTATTGCGAAACTACAATTTACAAGCTGCCTTGTCCTGTTAATTCACTTCATGTTATTTCTTCAGGCTTGTGTTCATTTTCACTGCCTTCATTTTCACTGTCAGATAGGTGTTTCTTCTCTAATTGCCACCAATGTCACTCTATTCACAAGGTGACACTTGCAATAGCAGCTTTGTCACCTAAATCAGTGTGAGCATTGTCTCTGTTGACCAGTACATGAGCATCTGCCATCTACTTCTCTGACTGCTTGGTCCCAATTAAGAAGTTTTTGCTCAAATGAAATTTAGTGCACTGCATTCAGGTTTCAATAAGGGGAGGGGTAGGTTAGAATTGCTTGATTAGAAAAAGAAATGTACTTTTGTTACTCTTTTCATATTCCATTCTTATTAATTCCATTTCTTGTCAATACAGCATCTATTTTTTCACTATGTATTGTTTGGATTAAGTTTACTCTTTATTCTGATATTCATGAATCATACATATATAGGAACCAGTTAGTTTTGAAGTGTAGAGAGGGAAGAAACAGACAGTGATATATTAAGCATTATCCCTCAGAGAAACAGGACAGTCACTATTTTTGTGAGAATCCCCTGCAATTCCAAGTGCAATGTTCTTTTTCCCTTTATCATTGCTTGATGTAAATCACATCTTTGTTTCATTCTGATTTTTCTGCATTCTAACTTCATGATCCTCAGCAGGTCATTCAGCCTCTTTAACATTTCTCATCATTAAGCTAGCCATATAGCTTTCAAGAGTTCGCATTATACGATTTATTTTTACTTATTGATTACGTCATTTATTCATTGATTCCTATAATGTTTCTTCCTTATTACAGTGTAAACTCCAAGACCAAATGGACAGATTTGCTTCCTTAACTTTATATTTCTAGTACCTAGAACTATGCCCAGAACATAGTAGATACTTAGTAAATGTTTGAAAGATTGTCTGAAAGATTCTGCATTATCTGTGCCAAGAAAGAGAACAGTCATGCTAAGAAATAGGGAATTTGATAGTCTGCTAAATAGAAATTTTCTAGTTGATATTATAAATTCCTGTTCTAATGATTAAATACTGCTGCTACCAGGAACCAGAATATATGTGACTGATTTGAAAACAGGAGGATCGACTTAAGCCAAACAATAGTCTGACTTGTAAAACACTAAATTAAAATCATCCATCAACTCAGGAGATTAACTTTATATTCTTTTAAAAAATGTTTAACTTACCCGGGTGTAGATGGTACAAATCACCTAATATTTTTAGATCAACTCCAGTTAGGTGTCTCCAATCCCAGTTAAAAACTTTTGGAATTCTAGATTACTAGTTATTTTTTCTTCTTTTGATGCTTTATTGACACTGTTGCTTCACTCTCTTTTGTTTGCATTGTTTACAATGAGAAAATTGATGTCATCTTTATCCTTTTTCCTCTGTATGTAGCATGCATTTTTCCCAGTTTTTTAAGTTTTTCTATTTATTACTGCTTTTGAGCACTGTCATTATGATGTAATTTTCTTCGATTTTCTTGCACTTGAAGTGCACTGAGTACTTGAATATTTAGGTTTATAGTTTTTATCAAATTTGGAAAAAATGGCAATTATTTTATTCAAATATTATTTCTGAATGTCTTATTCTCTTCTCCAGGGATGCCTGTCACACATATATTAGGTATTTAAAACTGCCTCATAGCTCAGGGTTATTATGTTCAAAGATTTTTTTTTTTGTATTTTTGTGTGTTTAATTTTAGATATTTTCCATTGCTTTGGGTTCCAGTTCATTAATATATTATTTTTTTCTGGAATGACTAATCTGCTGTTGATTCCATGCACTGTATTTTTCATCTCAGTGCAGTTTTAATCTCTAGAAGTTATATTTGGTTTTTCTTTTTGAATTTTTCATCTATCTATATAACATGTTCAGTCTTTATTTTTATGATATGGAATAGAGTTACAATAACTCTAATCTTGTGGGTTAATGCAGTGATTAGGTCTCCTGCCAGGGAAGCCAAGATGGTGAGAGAACTGGCTGTCACTTTTACCTCACTTTTTCCAGTGTAGAAACAATAAGTTGGTGGAAAATTGTTGTCCACCTGGTGCCTGGTAGAATGCGGGGAGGAGGGTCGCAGATGTAGAAGTCTGAGTATTTTACTGTCTGCTAATTTTTTTTTTCACTTATCTGTGGCCCCAGAAACTATTTCATCTTCATATTTGAGATCGAGGATATTTCTGTTGATATTGTTGGTACTGTAGGCTTGTTTCTG
Organism: Homo sapiens; assembly: GCF_000001405.40. Classification (NCBI taxonomy): domain Eukaryota; kingdom Metazoa; phylum Chordata; class Mammalia; order Primates; family Hominidae; genus Homo; species Homo sapiens. The sequence goes on along the minus strand of NC_000001.11, from coordinate 188,216,284 downwards.
ATTTTCTGTTGAAGGAGAGTGAAGCCAGCTTGCTACTACAAAACGGTTTTGCAGCTGGAAGACCAACACTGGAGCTCCCAAGTATAGAAAGCAAACATTCATCAATCTAAAGAGAGAGATAGACTGCAATACAATAATAGTGGCGACGTTAACGCCTCACTCTCAGTAATGGTCAGATCATCCAGAAAGTCAACAGGAATATGTAATAGTTAAACTACACACTAGATCTAATAGGTCCAGCGGATATTTTATAGAATGTTTTGCCCATCTTCTACAGAATAAACATTCTTTTCATCAGCACATGGAACATTCTGCAGAGTAGAACATATCTTAAGCCACAAAGCTAATCTGAACAAATTGTTTAAATTAGAAATCATATCATGTGTCTTTTCAGACCACAGTAGAATAAATCAAGAAATCAATAACAAGAATAAGCTTGGAAAATTCAAAAACACAGGAAAATTAAACAATATGCTCATGAATAATCAATGGGTCAATAAAAAAGTAGGAAACAATTTTTAAAATTTCCTCAAGCAAATAAAAATGGAAAAATGTAAATACAATGTACCAAAATCTATGGGATAGAGCAAAAGCAGCACTATGAGGGAAGTTAATAGCAATAAATACTTATATAAGTAGAAAGACTTCAAATAAACAACCTAACAATGCACCTAAAGTAACTTGAAAAACAAGAACAAACCAAACCTAAAGTTAGTAAAAGGAAAAAATCATAAAGATCAGAGAAGAAATAAATGAAATTGAGACTAAAAAAATACAGAAGACCAACAAAACATGAACTCAGTCTTTGAAAAGATAAACGAAAATGATAAAACTTTGGCTAGGTTAACTAAGGGAGAGAGAAACAGAGAGAGACAGAGAGATAGAAAGAAAGACCCAAATGACCCAAATAAATAACATCTTAAATTAAAAAGACATAACAACTGACATCTCAGAAATACAAAGAATCGTTAGAACCTATTATACACAAAGAAACTGGAAAACCTAGAAGAAATCAATATATTTCTAAACTCTTACAATCTTATACAATTGAACCATTAGGAAACAGAAAATCTCAGTAAACCAGTAATGGGTAATGAGATAAAACCCATAATAACATCTCTCATCAAAGAAAAGCCTAGGTTCTGATGACTTCAAATGCAAAATTCTACCAAGTATTTAAATAAGAAGTAGTACCAATTCTACTCAAACTCTTCCAAAATATTGAGGAGGAAGGAACACTTGCAAATTCACTCTGTGAGGCTAGCATTACCCTGAAACCCAAACCAGACAAGGACACAATTAAAGAAGAAAGCCATAGGTCAATATCACTGATGAACATAGATGCAAAAATTCTCAACAAAATACGAGTAAACTCAATTCAACTACACATTAAAAAGATTACTCACAATTATCAACTGGGATTTATCCCAGGGATGCAAAGGTGGTTGAACATATGCAAATAGGTAAATACAATACATCACATTAACTAAACCAAGAACAAAAGCCATATGATTATTTCAATAGACACTGAAAAAGAATTAGATATAAATCAACACCAGTTTAAAAACATCATAAAACTGTGTATATAAAGAGCATACCTCAATATAATAAAGGCCCTATATGACAATACCACAGCTAATATCATATTGAACAAGAAAAAATTGAACACCTCTTCCCTAAGATATGGAACAAGACTAGGGTGTCCACTTTAACCACTTTTATTCAACATGGTACTGGAAGTCCTAACTAGGGCAATTAGGCAAGAGAAAGAAATAAAGAGCCTCCAAATTGGAAATAAAGAAGTTGGAAGAAGAAATAAAGAAATTAGGCTTGTTTGCAGTTGACATTGCCTTATACTTAGAAAAAACTAGACTCCACCAAAAAACTGTGAGAACTGATAAATGAATTCAGTAATTTTGTCAGATACAAAATCAACACATAAAAATCCAGTAGCATTTACATACACCAATAGCAAACAATTAGAAAAAGAAATCAAGAAAGCAACTTCATTTATTATAGCTACAAAAAAGTTTAAAAACATAGAAATCAATTTAACCAAAGAAGTGAAGTATCTATACAAGACAAACTATAAAGCACTGATGAAAGAAATTCAAGAGTACACAAAAATGAACCGATATTCAATGTTCATAGATTAGAAGAATATTATTAAAATGACAATAATACCCAAAGCTATTTGCAGATTCAGTTCAACCCCTATCATAATACCAATGGCATTCTTCACAGAAATAGGAAAAATAATCCTAACATATACATGGAAACGAAAAGAAATTCCGAATAGCCAAAGTAATCCTGGGTAAATAGGACAAACCTGGAGGTATCATACTACCTGACTTCAGATTTTATTACAAAGCTATATTAACCAAATTAGCACAGTAATGGCATAAGAACAGATATATAGACCAATAGAACATAATAGAGAATGGAGATAAAAATTGATGTATTTACAGCAAACTCTTCTGCAACAAAAATGCCAAGAACATACAACGGGGAAAGGTAAATATCTTCAATAAATGGTGGTGGGGAAACTAGATAACTACATGCAGAAAAATAAAACAGACCCTTATCTCTCGCCATACATTAAAAAAATCAAAATGGATTAAAGACTTAAATCTAAGATCTAAAACTATGACAGTGCTAGAAGAAAACATTGAGGAAATGCTCTGGGACATTGATCTGGGCCAAGGCTTTTGTGTAAGACTTCAAAAGAACAGATAACTTAAGGAAAAATAGACAAATGGGATTACATCAAGCTAAAAAAATCTGCACAGCAAAGCAAACAATGAAAAAAGTAAAGAGACAAACCACAAAAATGGAGAAAATATTTGCAAACTATCTACCTGACAAAGGATTGAAAACCGGAATATATACAGAGCTCAAACAACTCAATAGCAAAACATATACATATATGTTTAAAACATAAACATATACATATAATTATACATATACACACACATGTTTTGCTATTGATGGGCACTTAGATTAATTACATATTTTGATTACATTTTTGTTACATTTTACAAATTTTAGGCTGAATACATATATATATATATTCTAATTAAAATGGGGAAATTATCTGAATAGATATTTCTCAAAAGAAGACATACAAATGGCCAACAGTTATATGAAAAAAAAATGCTCAACATCACAAATTATCTTGACAATGCAAATAAAATTTACAATGCAATATCATTTCACTCCAGTTAAAATGGCATTTATCAAAAAGACAAGCAATACCAGATGCTTGTGAGGATGTGAAGAAAGGGGAACCCTTGTACACTGTTTGTGAAATGTACATTACCACAGCCACTGTGAAGAACAGTATGAAGGTTCTTCAAAAACCAAAATTAGAAATAACATATGATCCAGCAATTAAACCACTGAACACATACTCAAAAGAAAGGGAATCAATATGTTAAAAAGTACATCCAATGGTTATTGCAGCACTATTCACAACAGCCAAAATATGTAATCAACCTAAGTGTCCATCATTGGATGAACTGATAAATAAAATGTGGTATATATACACAACGAATATTATTCAGCCATGAAAAATGAAATTCTGTCATTTGGAGCAACATGGATGAAACTGGAGGTCATTATGATTAAGTGAAATAAGCCAAGCACAGAGATACAAATATTGCATGTTCTCACTTACATATAGGGGATAAAAAATTGAATCTCATGAAGACAGAGAGTAGATTGTGGTTACGAGGTCGAGAATGATAATAGAGAGGAGGGACTGAAAAGAAGTTGATTAATGGGTACAAATATACAGTCTGACAGAAGAAATAAGACCTACTGTTAGATAGATTAGTAGGGTGATTATAGTTTATAATAAGCTACTGCATATTTCAAAATATACAATAAGGTATTGTATATTTCAAATAATCAATTGTATATATTTATGCATATTTCTATCTTATAATCAATTATATATTGTATATTGTATATTTCAAAATATATAATACATTATTATATATTTAGAACATATTAGAAGAAGAATATACTAGAATGTAGCTAGAAGAGAAGTATTTGAGTGGTTCTAGCATAAACAAATGACAAACATTGAAGGTAATGGGTATCCCAAGTACTTTGGTTTGATCTTTACAAATTATTATAATGTATTAAATTATCACATGTGCTCCAAAACTATGTACATCTATCGTGCATCAATACAAAAATGTAATTCATCATGCTAACAGAATTTAGAAGAAATATTATTTCATCATCTCAAAAAGTTGACATGCTCTGTATTTAAATATATTTGAAGTCAATTTATCTAAAATGATCAACCAAGAAAGATGTGTACAGTGAAAAAAGAAGAGAAGAACTCTGAAATATTGTAATTGAATAAAGCCATGGAGCCTATAAATGAGAGAGAGAAAGTTTTCAAAATGGTTGGGAAAAGATATAAAAATGTGGCATGTTGAAAACTAATAAAAATGAATGTTTCACAGTAAGAGAGTATCCAAGTACATTGAGAGTTGCTAAAAGGCTAAATCACTGTCCTTCAGTTTGGCATACTAGAGGTCACTGGTAACCTTAACAGGACAATTTTCAGTGGAGTAATTCATTAATTTATTCAAGAAATATTGCAATGTGTACACTGTGTATGAGATACTCTTTAACCTGCAGTGAGTGAACTGAAAAAGAAAAATACCTGCCCCTTGGAATTTACTTTCTAATAGCAAGGGAATGACAATAGTTAAATAAGTAAAGTATAACTACATCACATTATGATAAGTGTTAAAAAAAGAAAAACAAAAAGGAGTGCACACAATTTCACATGGGATGAAAACATTGACAACATTCAGATGGTAATTTTTGAGCAAAGACCTAGAAAAAAACGGAAAACGCTAAGATCCCTCTGAAAAAAAATACTTGTAAAGATTAGGAAATTTAAACTATAATAGAATTTTTTTAATTTGTGTACATTTAATGGGTACAAATGCAGTTTTGCTACATGAATATATTGCATAATGGTGAAGTCTGGGGGTTTAGCATAACCATCACCAGAATAGTGCACATTGTACCCACCAAGCATTTTCTCAACCCTCACCTTTCTCTACACCCCACCCTTCTGCTTCTCCAATCATTATTATTCCACACTCTATGTCGATTTGTACACATTACTTAGCTCACACTTATAAATGGGAACACGTGGTATTGGACTTTTTTTTCTGAGTTGTTTCACTTAAGATAATGGTGTTTAGCTCCATCCATGTTACTGCAAAAGATATGATTTAATTCTATTTATGGCTGAATAGTATTCCATATCACATTTTCTTTCTTTCTTCTCTTTTCTTTTTTTTTTTTTTTTTTTTGTTGTTTTTTGACACAGGGTCTCACTTTGCTGCTCAGGCTGGAGTGCAGTGGCATGACCATGGCTCACTGCAGCCTCAACCTCCAGGGCCCAAGTGATCCTTCTACCTCAGCCTCCCAAGTAGCTGGGACCACAGCTATGTGCCACCATGGCCAGATATATATATATTATATATATATATATATATAATATATATATAATATATATATTATATATATTTTATATATATATATAATCTATATATTTTATATATAATCTATTATATATATTATATATATATATTATATATATATTTAATTTTTTGTAGAGACAGGGTCTCTGTATGTTAGTTACCTGGCTGGTCTCGAACTTCTGGGCTCAAGTGACCCTGTGCCTTGTACTCCCAAAGTGCTGCGATTACAGGTAGGCACCACCATACCTGGCTACCCCACATTTTATTTATCCAATCATCCATTGATGGACACAGGTGGCTTCATATCTTTGCTATTGTAAATATTGCTGTGATAAATATAAAAGTGCAGGTATCTTTTTGATATAATGCTTTCTTTTCCTTTGGGTATAAACTCATTGTGAGATTGCTGAATCAATGGGTAGCTCTATTTTTGGTTTTCTGAAGAATCACCATACTGTTTACCATAGAGGTTGTACTAATTTAAATGCCAACCAACAGTGTGTAAATGGCCCCTTTTCTCCTTATCCTTGCCAACATTTATTATCTTTGTCTTTTTAATAAGTCATTCTGACTAGTGTAAGATGGCATATCATTATGCTTTTAATTTGCATTTCTCTGATGATTAGTGATGTTGAGTATTTATTCATGTGCTTGCTGGACATTTGTTTAACTTCTTTTCAAAAACAGACATACAAAAATGTTCATGTCCTTTATCTACATTTTAATAGGATTATTTGAGGGTTTTCTTGAGTTGTTTTGTTAGAGTAAGCAAATAGCCAGAAATTAGCAGGCAAGGGAGCCCCTAGGAAAATAAATTATGGAGATACTGCCCTGTAATAGTCAGTGCTGCCCACTGACAGTCAGCAAATAAGACAATGGCTACACTGGCTATTCTGGCCTTGTGGTTGGGCTCCTCTAGCCCTAAAGTGGATTTATGAGGCCTTAGCCAGAGATAACCACGGTAGGAACTTCTGCTGATGAGCATCCTCACTCCTGCAGTAACTCACCCTAAAGCAGCCTTTTGCTCATTACAATAGTAAAAAAAACAAAAAACAAAAAACAAACAAACAAAAAAACACTCCTGGGTGGAGACTGTAAATGGTAAGGAGATATGTGATGTGTGTACTAGCATGTACAACCACAGAGCATGCGCACTCAAGGGGACTGCCTACAACATGATTGCAAGTGACAAACCCTCACATCCTTCATGAATAATTATGTAAGACTGTCATAAAGAGAGTCCGCCAGCACTAGCTGCTTCTTGTGCATTCTCTCAAGCAGCCAGCTCTGTTTCATCTTTCAGAGTGTACTGTCTCTTTAAATAAACACTGGTACTGCTATTTTCCCAGCTGGACCAGCCCAGAGCTATATTCCAGCCAGGTCAACTCACTCCTCTCTTGGAATATACATTACCTTCCTTCAATCAGCTCTGCTACTTACCCCTTGCTGTGTGTCTCTTGGCTGAAATCTTTCTGCTAAGGAGACAAGAACCCAGGATTCTTGCACTTCCCAGTAACCATTTGAGTTCTTTGTAAAACCTGAATATCAATCCTCTGCCTCATGAATAGTTTGCAAATATTTTCTCCCATTATACCAGTTGTCTGTTCATTCTGTTGATCACTTCTTTTTTTCTGCAGAAGCTTTTTAGTTTTCCTTTGGGTATAAACTCTGTGAGATTGCTGAATCAAATCATTGTGAGATTTGTCTATTTTTGTTTTGCTTGTTTGTGCTTTTGAGATCCCAGTCATGAATTCATGGCCTAGACCAATGTCCAGAAGGGCTTTCCCTAGACTTTCTTCTAGTAGTTTCATAGTTTCAGGACTTACATTTAAGTCCTTGATCCATCTTGAGTCGATTTTTGTATATGGTGAGAAACAGGGGTCCAGTATCATTCTTCTGCATATGGCATCCCAATTTTCCCAGCACCATTTATTGAAAAGGGTGTCCTTTCCGCCATGTATGTTTTTGTTGACTTTGTTGAAGATCAGTTGGTTGTAGATAAATGGCTTTATTTCTGGGTTCTCTATCATGTTCCATTGATTTATGTGTCCATTTTTATACCAGTACTATTTTGTTTTCATTACTCTATCCTTGAGTCTAATTTGACTTAAGGTAATGCGATGCCTCTGGCTTTGTTCCTTTTGCATAGGATCCCTTTGGCTATTTAGGCCCTGCTTCGGTTCCATACAAATTTAGGATTTTTTTTTCTAATTCTTTGAAAGCTACTGGCATTTTTATAGAAACTGCATTGAACCTGTAGATTGTTTTGGGCAGTATGGTAATTTTAACAATATTAATTTGTTCAATACGTGGGCATGGGAATTGAATTTTTGCTTATGTCATCTTCAATTTACTTCATCAGTGTTTTGTAGTTTCCTGCACAGAGAATTTCATTCACCTCCTTGGTGAAATTTATTCCTGGGTATTTTATTTGATTATGCTGTTGTAAATGGTATTGTCTTCTTGATTTGGTTCTCAGCTTAATTGTTATTAGTGTGGAGCAATGTCACTGACTTTTGTAAATTGATATTGTATCCTGAAATTGTACTACATTTCCTTATCAAATGTAAGAGTTTTTGGAGGAGTCTGTGGGGTTTTCTAGGTATAAGATCATATTATCAGCAAACAGAGAAAATTTGAATTCCTCTTTCAAATTTATATTTATTTCTCTTGCCTGATTGCCCTCACCAGGACATTCAGTACTATGTTGAATAGGAATGGTGAAAGCAGGCATCCTTTTATTATTGAAGCTCTTAGGGGGATTGTTTTCAACTTTTCACTGTTCAGTATGATGTTGGCTGTAGGTCTGTCATATACGGGCTTTATTATTTTGAGATACTTTTTTCTATGCCTAGTTTGTTGAAGGTTTTTTTATTATGAAGGAGTGCTGAGTTTTCTAAAATTCTTCTTCTCCATCTATTCAGATAGTCACGTTTTGTTAAATTCTGTCTATGTGGCGAATCACATTTATTGCTATACATATGTTGAACCATCACTACATCCCTGTAATACAACCTATGTGATCATGGTGTATTATCTTCTTATGTACTTTTAGACTTGGTTTGATAGGATTTTGTTGAAGATTTTTGCATCTATGTTCATCAGGGATATTGGTCTATAGGTTTTTTTTTTTGTTTTTTTTTTCCCCCTCATTGTTGTGCCCTTGTTTGGCTTTGGTATCAGGATGATACTGGTTTTGTAGAATGAATTAGGGAGGATTCATTCCTCCTCAATGTTTTGGAATAGTTTCAGGATTGGCACTAGTTTTTCTTTGTATTTCTAGTAGCATTTGCCTGTGAATCCATCTGGGCTTGTGCTTTTTTCATAGTTGTTGGGAGATTTAAAATTACACGTTCAATCTCACTGCTCATTATTGGTCTGTTCAAAATTGCTGTTTCTTCTCTGGTTCAATCTTGGGAGTTTGTATGTTTCCAAGAATTTATCCATTTCATCTAGGTTTTCTAGTTTGTGACAGTTTAGTTGTTCATAGTAGTCTCTGATGATTTTTTGTATTTTTTTGGTATCAGTTATAATCTCTCCTTTTTCATTTATGGAAGCACAAAAAATAACTAATCTGTTTGGCATACAACACTGTGCAGTACACTAAAACACAGAAGCTAATAGACTGGTTGGTCTAATTATGGTGTAGATCCCTAATCTCACAGCTAATCCACAATTATATGGTCAAAAAATAGCACTAAGTTTCTTCAGAAAGAATGACTGCAATAATGAAGCTATTAATTATGAGGGTACTCTTCAGGTGCATTTAGGAGGTATACATTTTGAAATTCATTTTTATAAAGAAATTTTATTCATATGCTGAAGCAAATACTCCTAGAAAATAAGATTCAATAGTTGATTAAATGTATTAATGGGACAAGTGAAATTTATTTGGTAGTATAAATATGATTTATACTAAAAATTAAAATTGGTATTTAAAGATAATAATGGAAAAGAAAAGGTAAGTTGAACACTGCAGAGTTAAAAGACAATGTCTAGATTACATTTGCCAACACTTTAATTTCATGATGGAGAGAGATGCCCTGAGAGTGTAAGCTACCTAATATAATACTAGGGTGAGGATTAGACCTATATACTTCACATGAAGACAGTATTCACTATATTCCACACAAAGCTCACAAACTCTACTTTGTGCTTGTTTAGGTGAAAGTGTTATTATTAAAAATGTGTTTTAATTCAGGCAATTTAATAGAGATCCCGTTTTCTTCTAAGTGGTATAAACACTTTTGCTAATAAAATTGCTACACTCCTTTAATCTCCCTACACCTATGTCAGGTACCCAATAATCCATGAAATGGTTTAGTTTCCAATGTGTTTAAAAGTGCTTAGCACTTTTAAGTAGCAATTTTAACCATGTGAATCTATTAAGGACTTTTATATTTTATTATGATATTGTATTAATTAATTGATATATCTGAAACTATTTTTGACAATGCTGCCACCACACAGAAAAAACAACAAATAAAGAATCTAAATTTTTTAAATAAAGACTTTTTTTAAAAGTGTTTGGACTGTGAAAATTATTTTATAAGGAAAATTTGGGCTAACCTAAAATACATTTTAGAGAAAAATATTTGATTCATCTAAAAGGATATAACTTATAGGGGAAAAAAGAAAAAGCTAATGAATAAAAATACAACCTATAGTAATATATTTTATATTCTATTTTTAAGGCTGTATTTGCAGTAATAGAAATATATGTTAAATTCCAGATTTAAAAGATGACTCAAATAATCAAGTATCATTATAAAGCATAAAATGTAAAGAAAAGGATAATTAATTCATTTAAACATTTACCTGGTTATTTGAAAAGATTCACTTACCTGAAATATTTATATATACATTTGAATATATTAGAGAAAATTTTATTTGACTTTGTATTTAATTAGTCCTTTGGGAATACTGTGGGCCAAATTGTCATTTTGAGATATTATGGGCTGAAAAATTATCAATGGTGATGTAAACTTTTAGAAAATGAAAGTGATTATTAGTTTTCTTATGTTGTAAAAATATTAGAAATTACACTACTGGAGTTGTTAAAAAAATTATTAAAATATATTTTCCAGTAGAAAATTTATATATTAATTTTACGAAATATAAATATAACATTAAATATTCTCCCTTATTCATTTCTACAATGTATTTTCACAAGTTACTTTTAATTTTAAAATATTTCTCAATGAGGGTATATTTTAGAAGATACTCGAAAAGAGCTTTCCTTAAGAATGCATTTTTTAAATATTAAAATAAATGTTAAGTGTTTTATAAATGCACATTTAACTAGTTTACTAAGGTATTCATAAATATATTACAAACAGTATTTAAATATTCTTTAATTTTTTAGATTAGTTGTAGACTTACAGAAAAATTGTGAAGATAGTACAGAGTTCTCATATATCTCATATGCATTTCCTCTGATTATTAACACCTTATATCAGTATGGTATGTTTGTCACCAATAATCAGCTACTATTGATGCATTATTTTTAACAGAAGTTTGTACTTTATTCTGATTTATTTATTTACATTTTTAACCTAATGTTTAACCTAATGTTCTTTTTTGTTCCAAGAGTCTCTCCAGGATATTGTATGATATTTATTTATTCTGTTTGTTAAGGCTCCTCCTGGCTGAAACAATGCATGATTTTTTAAATTAGTATTTTATTCCTAGAAATTATAAGTGTTCACAAGCTAGAGCTCTGTCTCTCTCTCTCTCTCTCTCTCCTTCTCTCTCTCTTTGTGGAGTCTACAGCAGCCCCCCAAAATGTTATCAATATTAAATGTGTAGCTTGGCTTACTTAATTTTTGAGATGAAGTGGCAAATTATTGTACAATATAAGAATGTTAACAGGTTTGGTAATTGCACACCATTTTATTTAATTACAGATACATTCTGAAGTTGTTTTCTAAGTGACTCAATTAATTCAAAATATTTATTGCTCTATCAGTCATGTTAGGCTAAGATAGATTGTAGCAACAACCTGCTTGAAAATGTTAATTGCTTATAACAACAAGTATTTAATTCTTAATCATTTGGCATGCCCCTTGAGACTCATTGCATTATTTCTTCATTTTGTGACCCTACTGAATGAATAGACACTATCTGTGGCATTGCTAGTTTTGTGGCTAAAGGAATAGAGGAAATGCCAGAATTACGTGAGAGCCCTAATAGGCAAGACAGACAAGTATAAACAGGCTGATGCGATATGGTGCCAGTAACCCAGTGATGGAGAGATGGGGGAAGGTTATGGAAGTATTTCTAGGTGAACGAATTTTCCAGGCAGAATCTAAAGAAGAGTAAATTGACGTAGTAGAAAAGAAACACAAGAGTACTCCAGGCAAAAGGAGTAACATATTTAAGTGACAAAAAGTTGAGGATTCCTTGCTTCTTTTAGGGAACTGGAAGTATGTGGGCATGGCTAAAGAGCAAAGTGGGAGAGTGAGGCAGGGAATGAAAGAAACTGAGGCTGGAAAGTTGCATTGTTTTGTGTATATTAGTTTAGTGATGAGGGATGATATCTACACAGATCTTGAGGAAGACTGTTCCCTAAAAATATATAAGATGAATAGTAATTTCATGGCAAACTAATAAGTTGATATAAAACAGATTATAGTTTTCTGTTTTTCTCACCAATAAATACTATTGACATGGAGAATTTGAAACAAAAGGTATGTATTTACAACATGGAATTGGAGGAACATGCAGCACACTAAGCAGATTGCAGATTTCTGTGGTGAAATGTGGAGGGCTGGATGTCCTATGCTGGACATTTTCAAGATGTGCTAACCAGGACAGTTTCTCTCCATTGTCTCACAGGTTTTACTTTAAAAGGTGTTCAATCTGTAAGGGGAGGGGCAGCAAGAGTGAGAAAAGTAGAAGCAAGCTGAGGATAATGGGAACTCCCTTGCCTCTCAGGCCCTATCACAAAGGAAGGCTCTAGGTTTTATGGACCTGAACATAGCAAAAAAGGAGACCCATACATCTTTGATCTATATTCCATATATAATGCAGTGCATAGTCTTACTGGGAATGTAAGCTGTGCCCACCCCAATGAACCAAGTGGTTGGTCAAACAGCAAATTTCAAGGGTTGTACTGGAAGCAAGGCTGAAGATTGGCTGTGTATCTATGAGAATGGAATTGTCAATAAACAAGTGTTTTGGGACACCTACATGCACCAACAGTACTTGCAAGTCTTTTCCTATCTGGACCAGAAACAAGCATCACTTGATGCTGAGAGGACAGGTTCAGACTTTGAGGAAGCCACACCCCACCCACCCCACATACACACAAAATGATGTGAGCTAATTAAACAACAGAGAACAACACAGCCAACCCCGAGAAGAAGGGCTACGTTTTTCTTACACTGAAAAGAATAATCTCATGAGCATGAGTGTTCTGATGGTAAGACTTCCTTAGAATCAAATAGAGTAGGGGAAGGTAAGCCAAATATAAAACTTTAATTGAGCCTCATTTATCAATTCTTAGTTGATCAGAAAAACCACTAGATGGACAAATAAAATGCAGAATTGATTGAACTAGGAACAGAGATAGTTCAGGGTAAGATATCAGCTTTGTATATAACAGAATATAGTTGTGCATACATGAAACTCAAATGAGTATGTTAGGAAATTTCATACCCAACATGAGCTAAGCAGTCTGGATCCTATAGAAAAAGCCATCAAGAGGTTGTTATTTTTGAAAAATCACTTGGACTGCATTGTGGATGATGGACTAAAGAGAGCATGAATATAGGATGTATAGGCAAGGGGCTCATTGGGTGACTGATGCAGGAATATTCTAATTGTTGCTTTGATGAGCCCATCTTTTCCCTAGAAAATGCAACATGAGCCCATTTAGAAATTGTAAATATAATGTGTCATTTTAGTATAGCTCCCATTGCCTTTACATTTATGAATTCCAGAGGCTCTGTTGGTTATACCAACTTATTTATATATACTAACTTCACCAATCAATCTTATTTGAGCCTTGATGATTAGTAGAGGACATTATTAGGGCTGTAATTACTTGAAGCTTTCCTTTTATCAATTTCTACAAACTTTTTTTTGACAGGGTCTTGTTATGTCACCCAGGCTGTAGTGCAGTGGTGCAATCTTAGCTCCCTGCAATCTCCACCTTCCGGGTTCAAGTGATTCTCCTGCCTCAGACTCTGTAGGAGCTAGGATTAGAGGTGTGTGCCAAAACGCCCAGCTAATTTTTGTATTTTTAGTAGACACAGGGTTTCACCATGTTAGCCAGGCTGGTCTCAAAGGCCTGGCATCAGGGGATCTGCCTGCTTCGGCCACCCAAAGTGCTGAGATTACAGGAGTGAGCCGCTGTGCTCGGCCTCTAAAAACTTTTTACACAGAGTGTTGATGTTTTACTGATACTGTTCTCAAAACACCACCCAAATAGCAAAATTTTATTTTTAATATGTGATATTTCTTATCAATAATCATTTAGCATAAAACTTAATTTAGCTTCAGTTCCAGTGTATCATTATCACACCTAGTTGATACTTTGTTACTGCAACTTTTCAGAAGTGTTATTTATCCCCAGTTGGCACTTTTATCTATGTGGTGTATACCATTACTGTCCTATATATTTTTAAAATTTAGCTTATTTTCCTATTATTATGTATGTTTATGTGAAGTATTTCTTAAAAGAGAATATTATTATTGGTTAAATGTTCTAAAATATTTCCTTTATTCAAAGCTTTAACCATAAGTTTTGATTATAGATAATTCACTAGCTTAAATAGACTTGGTAAATGAAACTAATATTTATTTAGAAAATTGTATAACTTTAGTATAGGTGTATGTGTAATATTAAATGTAGGTCCTAAATTTGCTTGATGAAACCGTTGATATCACTGATATCATGATATATGCCAAATGTGACTGGAGGCATATTGTACTGGAATCCTATGAGGGAAAAAAGCAATGGGCTTTGGTGGTTGGAGCAAAGCCTCTGCTCTGCACACTACCTGAGTGATCTTCTATAGCTCACTGGTCTTTCAAGCAGAAGTAATTCACAACCCTGTACTTTATTTCTATTTCTGTAAAATGGGGTCACAAAGCCCTTGTTTATAAAGTTGTTGAGCACAACATCTAGAACCCATTCAAACATTGGAAACATTCAAGTTAGCTATTTTTATGACTCTTAGAGATAGTTATATATTATGATACAGAACATATTATTTAATCTAAGCAAGGAATGAAATTTATAACTGATAAATTATAACTGATAAATTGCATTCTTTGCTTACATTAAATGATACGTTTGGTGTGACCAAGTGGTTAAAAGCATTTTAACAAGTATGACATCTGAGAATAGAATTTTCTCCTAATTTGAATCTACAAACTTAGATTTTTTCAATTAGTATTTTATTTCAGAAATTAGGCCAATAAGAAACAGAAGATAAGAGAGCTTTAATATTTTCACATCATTGACTATTGAATACTATATACATATTTAAATTGCTGTGGTATCCATAATATACTACATCTTTTAAAATTGTAATCATATCCACCTTATATACATTCATATAATTTTCTTTGACAAAAAGGTGAAGAATCAATATAGTTTATAGAAAGACCATTTCCAAATTTCAACCCAATACTTGATTAAAATAAATAAATGTATAAGATATAAATAAAAAGCTACATTCTTCATTTAATCCACAAGTATTTATTCAGTTCCTATTATGTGCCTGACTTCTAGATGTTGATATAACAATAGAGGAAATAAAGTGACGGCTGTCATAAAGGGTACATTTAGTACAGAAAAAATGTACATATGATTTGATCATTTTCTACCATGTGTTGATAGGTGAATGCACACATACACTCACACACACACAGACACACACACAATAAGGAACACAGAAGTAGGAAGGTGTCAGTGTGTTTGGGCTGCTGTAACAAAATATCTTAGAATGGGTAATTTATAAACAACAGAAATTTGTTGTTCTCAGTCCTGGAATCTAGGCAGTCCAAGATTAAGGAGCCAGAAAAACTGATGTATAATGAAGGCCCAATCTTCATAGAGGGCACCTTCTATGTGTCCTCACATGGTGGAATGGGCAAACAGTTTCCTTCAGGTCTCATTTATAAGGGCACTGATATAGGCACTAATACAGGCTTTTTCTACCATACTCTGTGCACTTCTATTGAACACTTACCAGAAATGCCTTTAATTCCCTATTTCTGTCCATGCTGTTTAAGGCAATCCGGACTTATTCTACTATTCTTCACAATTTGACCAACCTTTATTTATCATCCAATTCCAAATCTACTTTCAAATTTTTAGGTGTTATTTTTTTTAACAGCATCCCATATTCCTTACCAAATCTATGTTAGGTTATTAGGGCTACTATAATAAACTACTGAAGACTCTGCAGCTTAACAACAGAAATTTATTCTCTCACAATTCTGAGATCTTTTGCAATTAAAGTGTTAGCTAAACAACCCTCCCTTTAGAGTCTGGAAGATAATCCATTTCTTGCCTTTTCTAGCTTCTGGTGTCTGCTGACATTTCTTATCTTGTGAACGCATCATCCTAATGTCTGCCTGCATCCTCACATTATATTATTTTGTGTGTCTGATCTCTTTTTGCTCCTCAGGAAAGTTGTGATGGCATTTGGGACACACGCTCAAATAGTTCAGGATCGTCTCCCGGTCTCAAGATTCTTAATCACACCTGCAAACATTTACGATGAAAGGTAACATTCATTGGTTCCACAGATAAGGACATAATGCCTTTATTGGAGACATTGTTCAGGAAACTATACCTGTTAACGTGGAATTCTCTATCTAATCAAAGCAATATTATAAATGAAGGTGAATAAAAGATATTTTCAGATAGACAAAGTAGTTTATATTTATCTGCTGAGATTTCCTATTTGTTCATAATGCATATTTAATTTTTTGTTCCTGAGAAGTTATAGCAGCTGCTTTAAAATCTTTAGCAATTCCAACAACTATGTCATCTCAGGGTACTCTCTATTGATTGTGTTTTCTTGAGTTTGGGTAACATCTTTCTGTCTCTTTG
Organism: Homo sapiens; assembly: GCF_000001405.40. Classification (NCBI taxonomy): domain Eukaryota; kingdom Metazoa; phylum Chordata; class Mammalia; order Primates; family Hominidae; genus Homo; species Homo sapiens. The sequence goes on along the minus strand of NC_000001.11, from coordinate 188,199,697 downwards.
TGTGTCTTAATATATGTATGGTATCCTGATGATACATTGTAAAAACTCTAGATTCTGTTATGTTCCTCTGAAGAGCATTTTGTGTTTAGTTTTAATATACATTAAATTATCCTGACTCAGAATTCAATTTATGTTTCCCTGTGGATACATGACATTTTCCTTAGGTTTTCTAGATTTAGCTAGACTTCTTGGAGTCTGCTCTGAACATCCATAGTTTAGATATAATCAGAAATTTAAATAGTTTTTATTCACATAATTTGGCACTGTTTCTCCCTTAATGTGGAACTTCTTCACTCTCCAGATGTGGTGGCTCCAACTTTTTCTTTAAGCCAGTAAGACTGATAATTTTTTTTTAAGTTTTATTCTCCTAAAATTGGCAGTCTCACATCTGCATTCAGGCAAAAAGAGGCATGCAATGAGAAACAATGCCATTTCCTTTCAAAGTGCAAACTCTCATCAAGCAGTAGTTTTTCTTTTCTTTCTTTCCTCTTCTCTTCTCTTTTCTTCTCTTCTCTTCTCTTCCTTCTCTTCTCTTCTCTTCCTCTCTCTCTCTCTCTTTCTTTCTTTCTTGTAGTTATAAACGAATTGGATCGACAGGAGTTACAGAAGCAGAAACCCTTCATTTTGTAATTAATAGTTAATTGGTGGGAAGGAATTTTGAAACCATGTAAATATTCTGTCTTTCATACAACTTTCACATTATTAATTTAATTATTTATATCAGCATAGATTGATTTTCTTCCTATTATATCCAAAATATTATAACCTATTTCCATCATTAATTATTTTAACACAGGACAAAAGCAGCCTCAAGAGTTACACTCACATTTTTGTGCCTCTTACATGTTTAAGATCTCAACCTACTCAATATATATGTGCAGAATAAATAAATAAAGGAATAAAACCAAATTATTGCTGGCTCTTATGAAGCAATTTGAAAATATAGTGGAATAACGTTGAGGGGCTAGATACATATAGACCTTCATATCTATGAATTTCTTATTTATGTTTCTTCTAATACATTACAAGTTTTCTTCATTTCCAGAGAACAGCTTTGGAGAGATCTCCAGAAATTAAGGGGGTATGGGGAAAATCACCTAAGCAATTAGTGTAGGAGAGCCAGAAGTACCAGAGAGAAATTGTTTGTGCTCCCTACAGAGACATCTTGGCAGAAGTGTAGAGGAGCTGACATAAAGTGTGTACTGCAAATAGTGTGCACTTGCATATTTAATAAAACAGCTCATGTCAGGGAATTCGAATCTGTGAAATCTCACATTATTTAGCTACATTTTATTTAATAAGGTCATCCCAGCAAGTAATTATCAGAAGTATGAAAAACAGTTTCCCTTAGGACCATTTAAGTAACAGTGTCATTACTGATTTGAGACAAAGACTCTTAAAAATCCGCAAGATTTTTTTTAACTCATCCAGGGTTGATTTGGAGTACTCCATTTCATTGCAATGGTTAACATTAAAGTCCTTAAAATAAGAGGGCCAATTAATAAAGCGATGGGAAATATATTCCCCAAAACAATTCTGGAAGCTGATGAGAAAGAAAGAATGAGATATTGGCTTGGAAATAATAAAAATACCCTGATTTTATCCATTAGAGCTGGTTTTATGTGGTATCCTGCCTCTGATCCATCTCCTGTTTCTAACAGTCCTCTATGAAAATAAAATTATAAGTACTTCAGGAAAGGTTTCAGCACTCCTTAGGCAAGTAGAATATTTGCATAGCATTGGGATGAGCTGGAATGTAGGAGCATATTCTGCCTGGGACTATAGTCCACTTTAATTAAATCCCATAAACTAGTTTATATGCTCAAGAAATACAATTTTGATTCTGAGAAACCTTGGTCCCATACTTATAAATATTACAAGATGGTCTGGGGTCATCTATTTATCATTTTTGTTAATAGTCACATAAATTTTTCTAAAGCACATTGCATATTTAGTACTATCTTTTAAATCTAGTTTTTAACCCAGATGAAATAGTTTTATATTTCAGGTAATATTTTTTATATTTTTTCTTAAATCATGTGCTGTATCTTTTGAGGAGTTCAGGTTTAAAAAATGTTTAAATTGTTACTCTTTTGTGTATTTTAGAAGCACATACTAACTCGTATATACAAAAAAATTACCTTTTAGACCCAACTAAAATGTACACAAAAGCTAGCATTCCTTTGCATTAGATAACATTAATGAAACTCATTTCATAACAGTGGTCTATAAACTCAAATGTGTTCCAGGGCCAATCAGGTAAGTAAATTAATAAAAAAGGGATGTAATAACAAGATGGTAGTGACCAAGTAGTACATTCTGCATCTAAAGTCAATTTTAAAACTCTGATAACCAATCATAACGTAACTCCTATCAAATGTGCAATTGCTACTCTAGATGGCAAAGAAAACTATATTGATTCTTGGACTCAAGTAAGCTGTGCTGCAGTAAAATAAACCCAAATTATCACTGGCTTGATGCAATAACATTTTATTGCGTCTTGTGTTACTGTCTAATATGGTCAGTGAGGGTTCTCTTACCTAGATTCATTTAATACTCAAACTTCTTCCACATAGTGACACTACCAACTTCAACATGACATCCTTGGTCACTGAAAAGGGGGAAGTAATATGGTGAAAGTTCTCCAAGAAGACAAGTAGTCATGCCTGGAAATCATGTGTATAATTTTTACTCATATTCTATAGGCCAAAAACCAGTAATACAACTTGACTGCAAGGGCTTGCGAAGTAAAATTATTTGAGAACCCAGAAGAAAAATAAAATGGGTTCTAATACAAAGCTTTGCCATTGTCAAAATTAGGTTTCAACAAAACCATGTAATTTTCTTTTAATAAAGATCACCTTACATTATGCTTTACAAGCAAATTTTAAATATTAAATTAGTAATTATATATGACAAATTGAAAAAGTGAAAATGCAACTGATATATACATTATTACTCAAATATTAATTACAAATGGAGTAGTTGTATTTCACTCTGGCATGTCTAGTCGTTACCTTACTTAATAAATATAGTTTTCCTTAGTCTAACCTCTTAATAACCTTCAGTACAAATTATCCCAGTGTTTGCCAAAAATAGAGTATATAAGAGATCTTCCAGAGGCAGTCTTAAAAAATTCAGCCTCTTTTTGGAAATAGAAGTTTAAGAAATTTGTTCTAATACTCTGCAGAAATTTTCTACCCTTGTCTTTGAAAGGAGGTTGATTATATCATCACTAAAAACTCAATCATCACTCCATACTATAAGGCAGAATTTAAGTAAGATCTTTCTTTGTATTCCAAAAGATTCAAACATGAAATGTATTCTTTGAAACTTTGACATGTTTACAGCTTATCAGAGATAAAGGGAGGCTAATACAACGAGAGAGGGTGAGAACCTCTAAAAATAGTATCAGTTAAGGTGAGAATTCAGTATAAACAGCATCACAAAGGGCATTATAGCCATGTTATCCTTATTACTCTTCTGCTTATTATAAATATAAAAATATGCTGTAATTTTGTGTTTTTCCTAATATAATAAACTTTTCCTGAGCAGTGACCATATTATTTTTCTGTTTTGTTTGTTTGTTTGTTTTGATTTTGCATCCAATGCATGCAGAGTAGTAACTGGTAAAATCCTGTAAAAACTAACCAATAAATGATGAATTAACATAAAAAAAACCCAAAAAGTTATTCTAATGTTCTATGAAGCTAACAGACTATTAAAAGGTAACACTGATAAAATGCAACAGCTTAATTTTTTTCCATCTTTCTTTGGTTTCACTTTTCTTCTCTTTTTTGTTTGAGACAGAATTTCGCTCTGTTGCCCAGGCTGGAGTGCAGTGGCGAGATCTCTGCTCACTGCAACCTCCACCTCCCGGGTTCAAGTGATTCTTCTGCCTCACCCTCTCAAGTAGCTGGGATTGCAGGCATGCACCATCATGCCTGTCTAATTTTTGTATTTTTAGTAGAGATGAGGTTTCACCATGTTAGCCAAGCTCGAATCGAACTCCTGACTTCAAGTGATCCGCCCACCTCCACCTCCCAAAGTGCTGCAATTACAGGCGTGAGCCACTGTGCCTAGCTTTCTTTTATTTTTTGAATGCAAGAGTAGAAACATTTTTGCTGTTTATCTTTCACTCCTTGTATTAGTTGTCTATTGATATGCAACCAATTACCAAAAATTGAGAGGTTTAAAACAACTTACAGTTTTTATCTTATTTTTTAATGGTTTAAAGTAAGAGCTAGGATTGCTTAATCATATAGGCCCAAAGGGGGAAATAAAATAAAAAAGCATTCTTTACCTATACTCTTTATCTATACCTCCACATAGTTATGTATCTGTGAATTATTTTGATTTGTATAAAGAATTTATATACTGTTCCATTGGTTTTTACTTTTATTCTGATAAGTTAGGAAACTGTGGGGTCCTATGGGGGTTTCTGGAGTCTTACAAGTTGGTAATCAATGGTATATGCTGGGCTGTATTCATTTCTGGAGCTCTGGGTCCTCTCCCAAGCTAACATGGATGTTGGCATAATGCTTGTGGTTGTACAACTAAAGTTCTTGTTTGCTTGGAAAGCCACTTCACCTCCTAGAGACTGACCTTAGGTTCTTGACAAAACATTTTTTCCTAAGAGCACTCGCAGCCTGGCAGCTTACTTGTCTGACTTCAAAGGAGGCCCTAGCCCTCTTAAGGGATTGCCTAATTAGATGAGGCCTATGAATCTCCCTTTTAACTCAGAGTCAACTGATTAAGGACCTTATTTGCATCTGCAAAATCCCTTTTGTCATATAACATAATGCAATCAAAAGAGTAATCTCATCATATTCAGATGGTTTTCCCACACTTAAGGGGAGGAATTATACAGGATATGGGCCATTGGAAGTTCATGTTAGAATTCTGCCTACCATACCCCAGATGCCAAGTTGTATGTTAATCATGCTTCTTGATGTGACTCCATACACTGAGTGTGGCCCACTATTGTCAATGCTCATCCAATGCCTCTCCCCTATTCCGTATAATTAATATTTGGTTAGCCACTCCCTTTATATCCATTATACTATGTTAAGTCACACACTGTTCTTTGTATAAAGTATGTTTTATTGTTTTATTGCAGTTGATTCTCATATATGTTAATGATATTGTGTTGATCCATTCTGTTCTTTATTTTACTTTTTCTGTAAACCCTGCTTTTTGAAAGGTATGCTTGTAGTATCATGTGCACATCTACTCCTTCTTTCTAAATGTTCTGTTGTGCTCCATGTTGAGCATTAATACCATTTTATTTTATATTTATTTATTACTTAGCTCCTTTTTTATTACTTTTATTATACTTTAAGTTCTAGGGTACATGTGCACAAGGTGCAGGTTTGTTACATACGTATACATGTGCCATGTTGGTGTGCTGCACCCATTAACTCGTCATTTAACATTAGGTGTATCTCCCAATGCTATCCTTCCCTCCTCCCCCCTCCCTCCATCCCACAACAGGCCCCAGTGTATGATGTTCCCCACCCTGTGTCCAAGTGTTCTAATTTTTCAATTCCCACCTATAAGTGAGAACATGCGGTGTTTGGTTTTCTGTCCTTTCAATAGTTTGCTCAGAATGATGGTTTCCAGCTTCATCCATGTCCCTACAAAGGACATGAACTCATCCTTTTTTACGGCTGCATAGTATTCCATGGTGCATGTGTGCCACATTTTCTTAATCCAATCTATCATTGATGGACATTTGGGTTGGTTCCAAGTCTTTGCTATTGTGAATAGTGCCACAATAAATATATGTGTGTATGTGTCTTTATAGCAGCATGATTTATAATCCTTTGGGTATATGGCCAGTAATGGGATGGCTGGGTCAAATGAGATTTCTAGTTCTAGATCCTTATCTGCATCTCCTACAGTGTAGCCTCAAATTGCCTTCAATTTCTAATGCTATAAAAAATACATATGTGGATTTTTTATTTTTGGTCCTGTATCTTTTGAACAGATAACCAGGAAGATGATTTCTGCATCTTGATATATAGTAACATTTAATTGAAATACAGTACATAGTGCTGTTTTGTTCTTCACAATGACTGCACAAAACTAACAACATTTCTTTTTCTTTTTCTTTTTTTTTTTTTTTTTTTTTGAAACAGAGTCTTGCTCTGTTGCCCAGGCTGGAGTGCAGTGGCACAATCTCAGCTCACTGCAACCTCTGCCTCCCACGTTCAAGTGATTCTCCTGCTTCAGCTTCCTGAGTAGCTAGGTTTACAGGCTCCCACCACCACGCTGGCTAACTTTTGTATTTTTAGTAGAGACAAGGTTTTGCCATGTTGGCCAGGCTGGTCTTGAACTCCTGACCTCAAATGATCTGCCCACCTCAGCCTCCCAAAGTGCTGAGATTACAGGTGTGAGCCACCATGCCCCATAAAAACTAACATTTCACAGCAAGCCTTGAGGTTTCCAAGAGATTCCAAGGCAGGTATTCATTTAACATTTTCCAGCTTTCAATCTAGTGAGCACTATGTAATATCTCATTTTTGTCTGTTATGGGTTTAATTATATTCCCCTAAAAAGATACGCTGAAGTCCTGACCCCTGGTGTTTCAGTATGTGACGTTTTTGGAAATAGAATTCATGCATCTATAATTAGTTAAGATGAGGTCATACTGGAGTAGTGTGGAACCTAACCCAATATGACTGGCATCTTTATTAAAAAATAGTCATATAGAGACACAGAGAGAATGTCATGTAAAGATAGAGACAAGCCAAGGAATAGCAAGGATGGCTGGCCATTGCCAGAAACTAGGAAATATGCATGAAACAGATTCTCCCTCAGAACCCTTAAAAAAGAACCAATTCTACTAACAACTTGATTTCAGACTTCTAGCCTTCACAACTGTGAAGGAATAGATTTCTGCTGCTAAAACCACCAAGTTTGTGGTACTTTGTTACACAACACTAGATTTTTTGATGCTTATATGTAAAAATAAAGTTAATATATGCTTTTTATCCAATAACTTTGATAGATTTACTTAGCAATTAGAATAGCTTATTTAAATTTTCTGCATATCCAGTCACGTTAACTGAAAATAAGTTTGATTATTTTCTAAACCTTACGTCTTTTTTCCTCTTTTCTTGCCTTATTGCACTGGCTAATTTGATTGGAAAAATATTAGAAATGGATTATTATATTTCTTTTTTTCAGCTTGAGAAACTTTTATTTTATTTTTATCAAATAGTCTTTCTACATATCTTGAAAAATCAGAGAGTTTCTCCTTCTCTTGATGTAAATTTTATTTATTCATTTTAAGGCTATGCCAACCATGAATATCCAGAATCCATCTTGATTGTGATGTATAATACTTTTCATGTATTGCTGCATTCACTTTGTACAATATTGTGTTTAGGGTGTTTCTATCTTTATGAAATAAATCTGTTCATGTTTGTCTTACAGTCATTCTTGCTAGGTTATTGTCTATTTTATCAGGTTTTTTTTTTCAGAAAAATAATTTTTATGTTTTATTCTGTTGTGTATATTTGTAAAAATGTGCACTTATTTAAAATGTATTAATTCAAACTCATCTTTATTGCCTTCCTACTCAGTTTCAATTTTAATTTCATGTTACTTTTTAAACTTCCAAGCTAGAATATAAAACCATGATTTTTTAGACTTTCTTCTTTTTAAAAATATACATTTAAGACTTTGTCTTGTGCACATGACTTACGTTGCATAACACAAGTTTTGATATGTCCCATTTATGATCACTCAATTAAAAGTATTTTAATTTTAATGTTTTACTTGTTCTTTGACCTGTATTTAATTTATAATAGAACACTAACAATTTATTTAAACAATACAATTTTATAAACAATAGCTATGATTTTGTTTTATTTTCTGGCTTAATTTCAGATAGATCAGAAGACATGTTCTATGTATATCCAAACTTTCAAAATATGCTTAGGCATTCATTGTAAAGAATAATTTTTCTGCTTTTGTTGAGTGCATTGGTCTAAGTCTGTCAATGTTGTCATGATTATTAGTAATGTTGCTATTATCCTCTATATCTTTACCTGAAGTTTTAGTACTTAATTATGAGACTTTGGCTGAAATGTATGAAAATTCCTAAATATAATTGTGCATTTTTCTATTTCTTTTTTGAATCTAATTGTGCTTTATATATGTACATTTATCTTATCACATACTGAAAAGCTATAATTCTTTTCCTTTTTTCCAAGCAATGAGACATTGTATTCTAAAATTTGTTTTTTTTAACCTTGATAACGGCTTTTATTCATAAAATACTTTGTTTAAAATTAGTGTAAAAAGATGAAATATTTTATTGTGTGTGTTTGCTGTATCTTTTTCAATTCTTTTTACATTCAAATTTCCCATAACCCTTTATTTCTTTTGTGTCTCTTGTGAAAAGTATAGGTTTGAATTTTCCCTTATAATATAATGCTTTTCTTTTAATTGATGTACTAGTTCAGCATATAATTAACATAATGCCAATAGAGTTGTGACTAAATAGGACAAATTATAATTTGATTTATATATGTGTCTTCCAGACTATGCTTCTTTTCCTCTTCTTTATTATTTTCTTTCTTTCTTTCTTTCTTTCTTTTTTTAAAGATGGAATCTCGCTCGCTCTGTTGCCAAGCTGGAATGCAGTGGTGCAATCCCGGCTTGCTGCAACCTCTGCCTTCTGGGTTCAAGTGATTCTCCTGCCTCAGCCTCCTGAGTAGCTGGGACTACAGGTGTGCACCACCACGCCCAGCTAATTTTTGTATTTTTAGTAGAGACCAGGTTTCATCATGTTGGCCAGGATGGTCTCAATCTCCTGACCTCGTGATCTGCCTACCTCGGCCTCCCAAAGTGCTGGGATTACAGGTGTGAGCTACCGCACCTGGCCTATTATTTTCTATTTAAGACATTTTATTTAGTTCATTTCTGCTTTTACTAGCATATTTATTAATATATTGTTTTAGTATATTTTAGACTTCCCTTGGTATGATCAAATTCATTCTTTACATAGTTAAGTATAAATCATAATGTTTACCACTTCCAGAACAATATATAATAACCTAACAACACTTTAAATCTATTTATTTCTTCTACCTTTTTCTCATAAGTTTCCAGATATTTTATTTAGTAACATTCATTTAGATTTACCCAAGTATCTGTGCTCCTTTTCTTCATTCCTTCTTCTACTTACTTACTACATCTGTGAACAATTTCCTTCTGTCTATAGAAATCATTTTGCTATATTCTTCAGTGTGTGTATGTTTTGATAAATATGTCAGTGTTCAATACTATAAATATGTGTTAAGCTTGCCTTTTTTATTGAAGATATTCTCAATTGGTTGTAGAAATTATTGGTGACATGTTTTACCTTTATTTTTGAAGTCTATTGTATTATAATTTATATCATTTCTATAATTTTGATCATAACTGCTCTCATTGTATTATCATTTCTATCATCCTAACATTGTAATGAGTTGAATAGTATCTCTCCAAAATTTATGTCCACCAGGACCTCAGAATGTGACCTTATTTGGAAATAGTCTCCTGTGGATACAATTAGTTAAGGATCTCAAAAGGAAATCATCTGTGTTTCTGGGTGGAACATCAATCTAATGACTGATCTTCTTATAAGAGGAGGAAAGGACAAGCAGGAAAAGAGAGAAAAAGGCCATGAGAAGATGGAGGCAGATATTGGAGTGATGCTGCCACAAGCCAAGGAATTCTAGGAGCCATCAGAAGCCAGAAGAGACAAGGAAGGATTCTCCCTTGGAATGTTCAGATGAAGTGTGCCCCTTGACAGCTAGATTTTGGGTCCCTTGCCTCCTGAACTGTGAGAGAATAAATGTTGTTTTAGACGAGTTTGTGGTAATTTGTCCAGATCTCCTAGGAAACTAATGTAGGATCTCAACTAGTAGCCTTATTTTATATTCACTTCCATGAGAGCAACATGTCATACTTCCTCCTTCAGCCATACCTAGAAATGTTTTTTGTTTTTTTTGTTTGTTTGTTTGTTTGTTTTTCAGAAATTAGCTGTGATATGCCTAGATGTTGTGGTTTTCTATATTTATTTATAGCTCTGTTCAGATTTGTAAACTTGTTAAAGTATTTCTATAGCTTTACAAATCTATGGTCATTGTCTCATCAAATATCTTCCCACTCTATATTGGAGTCATGTCCTTTCCTTTGATGAGCCTAGCAATCCTTTCAAACCCTTGGGGAAAATGATATGACTCCAATAAGGAAGAAAAGGGAAATATTATTGGAATTAATTAGAAAATAAATTAGGAAATGAGGTTTATCCAGTCAATAGGACAATCAGTTGGCAAAAGTGATCTTAGATGGCCTTAAATGGTTAGCACTCAAAATTTGGAATATCTCAGCGTCAGTTTTTCATGGCATTGCTCTGTGTTGTATTGTGATCTATGTGTTGTGTATGTGTGTGGTCTCCTCATGTGTCTCCTTATTCTGATCAAGGAGTATTAGTATTTGAGTAAACTCATGCCATTGGAACTGACATTAGAGGTCAGAGGTGTTGATCTGCCAAAAGAATGTCAGCCCACCTTCCAGGTCCCCCCTAGACAGGCACTGCACTTTGTAAGACCTGTGGGCCTGAATAGGAAAATGAAAGAAGTGCATCCCTCTGGACCATGGGTGTGCTACCCAACACCCTGCAACAGATTATAGAGAGTGGAGGTACCTCTGGCTGGGACCATGATTTGGGGTACTCTTTCCTAATCCCTGGGAATTACTATGGCAAATAAATGGGACCATAAGCCAGAGATGGCAGGCCAATGACAGCCTCCTAAGCATATGCAGTTGGGGAGATAGATGCCTTCGTAAGCAGCTAGCATGCCTCTGCAGCTGGCAGGCTGGGATTTCTTATTGTGTATGGTATCATTTTTGTCCCTTCCTGGAAGGATATTAACAGCCCAGTCTGGGCTGAGCTGACTAAAGCATTACTTAAAATGACTAAAGGTAAGAAAGGTTATATTCTTACCCCTCTCAAGACTCCAGAAAGAGGTGGCTATCCTAGGGAACAGTAGTTATAAACCACACGATGTGTGCTGGACTTTGGTCACTGTGACTTCTCACCACTGTGCCACCTGAGGAGAAGTTAGGAGCTTCAACTCCCAGCTAGGAGCAGAGACAGAGGGGAAGAGCATCTACAGGTGCCCTCTAGTGAATAAGGCAGCACAATACCACCATGAGACTGATAAGCATCTTTTACTCTTTGCCTCTAAACACCAAGGGAAAGTAATATAAACAAAAAAGACAAATGGCGAAGGTCTAGTTGAGAGTTGGTTCTCCTTCATAGGAGAAAATATATCTTCTTCTGTTTCACCATAAGAAGCAGTCTCTCCTCAAGGACTCACCCAAAAACTAAACAAAAAGGGGTTGCCCAGCTCTATTGAATGTATCTGGCTGGAAGCCAGCTCAATTAATAAGGGGTAAAATTAAACATTTGGTTTTTATAGTAAGATTAGAAAAATGGCATTTCTACTAAAGGATCTTCACGATTGGTATAGAAGATAGAAATGACCACCAAAGGAGCTTTTGGGCCCCTGTCCACTGTACATACTTTCTTGGTGTGAATTTCTGTGGCTTGGACAGCCACCTATCCTACCTTAGGCTCAGGCTAGGCAGCTAACTATCAACGGAAAATGTTAGCTGAGGCCACAGATCATCAGCTGGGGATGATAGAGGAGGCTTATCTGGCCATGGAGAGTGTGATGCATGATGCTTTGGCAAATTTGGAGGAGGCTGAATTGAGTCCTGAGTCCATCTGGACACACATAAGTCCTCTGCTGGTATTGATGGCTAATGCTAAAACAGTTCAAGAAGCACACTGCCCTAGATTAAATAGAAACTTCCAAAAGAGAAACTCAGTCAAGTGATGCCTGCTAATTTCATAAACTGCACCTTATTTGGACTTAGTCAAAATTACCAACAAAAGGAAGGCCTCCATACTTCTAGGTCAAACAAACTACCTACAGCTAGGTTTATACATAAGCATGAAACCTGAGATGAACAAGATTAGTTGTCATGGACTCTAAGGAAAGAGGGGCTCCCACATTGAATGATATCTGGTAAATTGGTGGAGCATTTACATTACTTACTGGGTTAGGCTGCAATCGGCAGCAGGCTTCTCCTTGGGAGACAGCCTCACTTTCACCACCAGCCCTTAACCTTAGCCAGTGTTAGGTACCTGCCCCTACATATGGACCTAATTGCTTTGAAAGCTTGTATTTTTCAGCAATCATTCCTTTACCACATTAATTATAGTTTGGGCTCCAAAAAAAAATAAACACTGGCTGTCTCTGTTGAACAGAAGTGTGCAAATCTCCCTAATCTCAGGAAACACTCATGCATTAAAGGGATCCGCCAGGAGGTGACTTCCTTGGCAGGAGGATTAATTAATTGGTGGTAAATTACCCACTTAACTATTAAAATTGGCTCAGTTTTGCTAAGAGATGCTTCAGTTCTTACTCTCACTCTCCTGTACCCACTTCCTGGGGACTATCCTTTTTGCCATTATTGGAATGATGAAACTCCTCAGACAGAAAGTAACCTGATGGAACAAGCCTAAGGCTTTTAGACTATTGGTAGACACCACCCAGTAGAAAACAACTAACGTTTCCCTACCAGTGCAAGTGGTAAATGTCAGCTAAGGTAAGGCAAGGCAATGCATCTAAGGTAAGGCAAGGCAATGCATTGAAGAATTATGACCTGTCATAGCTAAGTTAAAGAAGGTGCTGATTCCTTCCATTTCTCCTTTCGGTTCCTCAGTATGACCTCTCCTGAAAGCTGCTAGAAGGTTAAATAAAGCTATTCCCTTTATAAGATGCTTTTATAAACATCCAGATATCTTTACTAGCACATGACACTCAAAATAACATGGGTAAATAGTTTGGAGTTGTAGACTTGGCCAATACGTTCTATTTAGTACAGATTTTACAGGACAGTCAACCACTACTCACCTTCAACTTTGGGGTAAACAGTATACTTCTTGGCTGCCTATGGGGTATATAAATAGCCTTGTGATTGCACACAGACTTGTAGAATGGACCTAGATGCCTGCCCTGTACTCTCACCAGAAACTTCCTTTTGGTATTATGTCAATGACATCCTCTTAACAGGACCTGACTATAGGTCATCTCAATGAGGTGTTTACTAGTGTTTACGATGAGTCTCACAGGTCATCATAATCATTAGTAAACACTTCACTGAAAGGGGATGGGAAATTTTGTTGCTTGAGATAAAAGCCTACCCTGCCACAAGTCTGTTAAATTTGAGGGATACTTTGGAACTCAGAAGAACAATGATTCCCAATCTCATAAAAGACAAGCTTCTAGCACTCTAACATCTTACATGAGGAAAAAGGCCCAACATGTAGTGGAAATGTTTGGATTTTGATGCAACACATTCCTCACCTCTAATATTTGCTTTCCCTCATCTACTCAGTTACCTCTAAGTCTTCCCCTTTTCAGTGGAGATCTGAGCAACAACAGGCATTAGATAATCTAAGAGGAGGCTATCATTTCAGCTCTCCCATTAAAACCTGGAAGGCAAGACTTAGAATCATAAGTTTCAGCCATCCCCAAGTTTGCTTCCTAGAGCCTCTGGACCAAATAAACAGGTAAATGTATATCCACAGGCTTTTTGGGGAAGTGGCTCCCAGGCTCAGCCCAAAGATATTCACCATGAGAGATGCTACTTTCAGTGCTGAACTAGGCAGTTACTAAAATGAAAGGCCTTGCAGTACAAAGCCTGTTACTCTATGAACTGAGATTCCTATTATGCCCTGGTGATAGAAAAAGCTCTCTGTAAAATTGGGTCATCAATAGAAGCTTCCTTGTTAAAATGGAAATTGTCTTTACAAGACTGAGCTTATTCTCTTTCTACTGGAGTGTCACCGTTCCATGAGGAAATAACTACAGTGCCTGTCATTGAGGTTAACTTGCCAAAAGCTTCAGAAATGCCTCTTGCTCAACAGCAACTAGATGGAGGATGATCAGTGCTCTCAAAACAAGAAAAGCAATAGGCTTTCTTTACCGATGAAGTGAACATGCGGTATAACAGAGCCAGACAATGGATAGCTAGAGTCTATCAGCCCTATTCAAACACTCCCCTTTCCATACAGGAGATAGACCAATGTGTCTAATGAACTGATCTTTGTGTAATATTTCTAGCAATATAGGATGCCCTTGACAAATATTTTTCTAAGGTTTATGTTTTCTTTTCTGTTGGTCAGTGGTTAATGAGGTAGGAACTTTGGAAAATTAGGGCTGGAAAGTAAGTATAAGGCTAAGAAATTTTGGGTAAGAATATGGGGAAGATCACCGCATTGGCTCCTACTCCTACACCAAGATGTACCATATCTCAGCTTATACTACATAAATCCCATTGGAGGAATGATACAACCTTAAAACTGATGAACTAACCAAACAACCAAATAGATAAGACTCTTAAAGGAAAGTGAATCTCCAGAACTTTGGGATAAGCCACTCTACTTCTCCTTTCTATCAGTGGTCCCAGGAGAACTCAGGACATTTGGCCACAATGGATTTATAAAAAAATGATTTTTAAGAGAGAAGTATATTGAACAGAAAGATACTTACCAAACCAATGGAGACTGTGTCACATACCAGCAATCTCGATACTGAGTCTATCACATGGGAGGAGAAATTTACAAAGAAGGGCCATGCCACAACTGGAAAATGAACTGCATTGGGCCTCTCTCTGCAGCAGCAAGAGCCATCAAATATGCTTAATAAGGATGCACACCTACAGGGGCCTTCTACTGGCTTACCCATCCTAGGCACCAACCTCTGCTAATGTTATTGAGGGATTAATAAATGAGGTTTCACATCTTTTGCATAGTGCCACATGATTTACAATAAGATCAACATTTCCACTTCACTCCAAAGCAAAGGCAACATCAGACATTACAAAATAATACTGTTGGGTTTTTCACCTCTGCTATGGTCCTACAGGGAGTGGGTATCATAGACATCCTGGGCTTTTAAAATAAAAACTATGGACACAACTCACAGGTAAATGGACTCCCAATATATCAAAACTACAGTCCACAGTCTTGATTA